>NC_000020.11:41769264-42072294 GCF_000001405.40 Homo sapiens | reverse complement strand
CTAATCTCAGCTAGGCTCATTCATGTGTTGGCTAAGGGCTCTATTCTAGGCAAGGCTTGGCTGGGGCACATGAGCTGTTACAGCCTTGCGCCTTATTTTTTCATCCTCCTCCTGGGACCAACAAGGTAGCCTGTGCATATGCTCCTCATGATAATAGCAGGAGCATGAGAGAGAGAAAGTCCAATCACATATATATTTTGCTAGGCCTTTGCTTGAATCATATCTGCAACATCCCCTTGGACAGAGCTAGTTACATGGAATACTCAGAATCAAGGGGCAGGGATTCTACTTCTTGACATAGACCCCTCCTCTCAATTTTCCAGTAAATGCTGAAGTTGGCCAGGCATGGTGGCTTACACCTGTTATCTCAGCACTTTGGAAGACCAAAGTGGGAGATCACTTAGGCCCAGGAGTTCAAGACCAGCCTGGGCAACATAATGAGACCTTATCTCCACAAAAAGTTCAAACAAATTAGCCAGGCATGGTGGCACACACCTGTAGTCCCAGTTACTCAGGAGGCTGAGGTGAGTGGATTGCCTGAGCCTAGGAAGTTGAGGCTGCAGCAAGCTGAGACTGCGCCACTGCAGTCCACCCTGGGCAACAGAGTGATATCCTGTCTCAAAAATAAAATAAAATAAAATAAAATAAAACACTGCTGAGCTTAGGTATGAAACCAGTGGTTCCTGATGCACCCGTTAACTCTCTAATCTCAGAGTGCAATCCATGGGTCACCTACACCATTACACCAGGGAAACTTCTCAACGTGTAGAGCCTGATTCAATAGGTCCAGGATAGGAGCTAGGATTCTATATGTTCAGCAAGTGCCCCAGGTGATTATAATACATGCTAAAATTAGGCAAGCACTGTTTTTAATGCTGTTGTTATTAGAGGGGAACAGATATGAGCCCAAAAGGAACTGGGACAAACCAGTACTCAAACTGGGACATGAGGCTGCCAACCTCTCAGTTGGATGCATATGTCCTCTATTTTCTTCTGGATGAGCAGAAGAAATAACTAGAACCTGACTCCTTGGAGTTTACTAGTTCCCAAGTTCTTTGTATGTGTCCAGATATAAGCCTGAGCTGGAAACACAAGCCGCAGGGGTGGAGCGCAGGGTTCACCTTGTTCTCTTGCAGTCTTGGGAACCCTGGCAGGGTTCTTCTGCCTGAGGAACCTAGATACATGGCTCACTAGGCCTCCCAGGCCACAGAGTCTAGAGAACATGTGATTCCCAGCTTGGGTATGACATGGGGAACCTGGTGTCCAGCCGGCTAGTTATCTTGTCACTTTGTCCTTGGTCATGTTAATCTCACGTAGTCTGCCTGCTACATTTATGCTTTGGCCACAAATGTAATACGACACTGGAGAAAGAAAATTAGAAAGAAGGAAAAAAATCTCACATAACTCCCACTTTAAAAAAAAATATTTGGGGGCATATCATCTTTCCCCAAAATGGAAATTGCTTTTAAAGTGTTATGATAAAAGTAGCACATACTCACTTGAAAGGACTCAATATAAAATTATTTAAGGCAAAAGGTGAAAGTTCCCACTTCTCAAAGGTACCTGTTAACATTTTTATGCCATTCCAGACCTTTCTATGCATAAACATATTCTACGTAAGTGGCATCAACCAGTATATACTCTGAGACCTGCTTCTTCTCACTTAACAGCATACAGTTGTCATATTTCCATGGAAATATGCTTAAATATCTCTTATCTTCCTTGACACCTCCATAGTACCCCTGAACTTGAAGCTAAGCTATTTTGGGTGCTTCAAGTCTTGGGTTCTCACAGTGATGCTAAGGATCAACGTTAGCAGAGAGGGACATCCCACCCTATGTGCTGCCGTCCTGGAGAGAGACTGATGATACTGGCACAGCTCTCTTTATGTGTCTGTTGGCTGTCCAGGTGGATCCTAGCCTGGCCTTCCTGTGTGGCTAGACCTGGAGTGTGAGCGCATGTCAGACCTAGGAGCACCTTGATTGGTAGCTCTGGTTTGACTTAAGATCTTTCTTTAATTCCAAAGGCTCAAGCCTTCCATCAGAACTCCAGGGAACCTAGAAGCCCTCAGATTCCTGGAGACAAGGGATGAGGTCAACAACATACCATGCAGAAGGCAAGAAGAGGGATTTGATTCCCTCTGACAGGGTTTGGGGGTGGCAAGGAGAAAAGAACAGGAATAGAAGCAGAAGCAGCTGGTGAGATAAGAGAAAGAAACCACTCTAGTTAATTTCAGAAAACTTTTGACCACTTAATCTTTAGGATATGCAACGAGACTCAACAAAGGCTTGGCCTGAGTGGCTTTCTCTTGAAATTTAATGACAGGACTGAGCCTGGACTCATCATTGACATTCAGTAGAGACATGGCACCCACAGGGAGATGATACTCACAAACTGAACAACTGGAGACAGAGAAAAGCATGGGATTATAACCCCCTGGAAATTAACATAAACTGAGGAGGTCATCAGTTCTCCCACTCTATTGAATAGGCATTGGAACAAAATTTAACTAGTTATTCAAGGACATTTGGAATACATGAATAGATAGAGACATATACAGAGAATTACAGATGCATAGAGAAAATAAATTGAATATATAAATGTATGAAAAACAACATCAGTATATTAACAGTGGTTATCTTTCATCATAGGGAACACAAGTAATTTTTGTTCTTTATAATTTTCTACATTTTATAAATGTTATATTACTTTAATACCCGGAAAGGCCAATTATATAAAAAGAAGAGGTGAGAAGAACATAGGAAAATCCAGGCAGAACAGATAAGATGATGCCAGGAACAGGGTCATACCCCAAGACCTGCCATATACCTGGATCAAGAGGTTTGAAAATGTGGCACTGCCCATCTCCCACAAAAGGGGAACACAGTCAGTTAGTCAATGTCCAAAAGGGAAAAAAAAATCTCTTGCTCAGAATAACTAAAAAACATTCCTGCTATAGAGCCTAGAAGAAATTTTTTTCATGAGTCCCCTTAATAAATAATGGCTTCAACAACATCCTTCGCTGACACAATGGATTCCCCTCCCTGAAGACTCATGGCCTCATGCCATAGAACAATTCAGTGAAAGCTCTTCACTGAAGGACCAAAATGAAGGGGCCCAGCTACATGGTTCTCTGCAAGTCAGACCTAAGCCAGATGTAGGGTTTCAGAATCTTTAGTATTATATAAACAAGTTTTCTCTCCTCTCTGAGTGTCCATGAGCTGGAGGCTTTTAGCCCAGAACCAGTGAAATAGCTATTCTGAGTTGTTGATTGAATTTGGAGTCCGAGTTTAAGAGCCAGCTGAGCCAGAAAGAGAATTAGTATCTCCTTTTGAATGATGAAGAGCCTAACAGATACATGTGCTGAGATAGAAGATGAATCTGTTTCTCTATTAAGGCGAGGCATGGCAGGGCCAAGAAGTAAACCCCTGCTCCGGGTTATAATGAGGACTGACTCCATCCCATCCCACTTTCCTTTAAAATCCCTACAAATATGTAGTCAAAGCTGGAAACATGGGACCACACCTGGCGGCCAAGCTATTGTGTGAATCCGGGAGGAATTTCCTCTGATTACAAGACACAAGAAGCTGAAATGAGAATCGTAATCAGTGGTTGATGCTGAATCATGTTTTGCTGCCTAAAAGATGCAAAGAAGCCTCAGAGAAGATAAAGTGGCTCATCCCGCCCAGGTGCCTGCTCCAGATGGTCTGTACTCACTCAGAAAATTGGTCAATCGTCCATTTCTATCTCCTGGGAGATGAAATGACATTAAGAAAAACTTGTATGGGCAGGAAAACAGCAGAGAGAATCTTGAAGAAATGTATGCTGAGGATTTTGGCTTTCAAATCCATTTGAAGCACCCCAGAGAGAGGAAGGGAGTGGTAAGAGCACCTTGTTGGCATACAAAACTGGGTAAAACAGATGCCTCTTGTGTACCACTTCAAATATTCTCAGCCTAACCGCTTATGTCATCCACGGCCATGGGAACAATTTCCAAGCATGCTTCTTCAGATTTCATATATGGGAAGTCCATGGTGCCTTTCCTCAGACAGGCTCTGCAGCTCTTGTTTCCTGTGCCACAATTTCTGGTACTATTCTCTGAGATGCCCACAGGAACCCACTTAGCACTTGTGAGTGTGCTACCCAGAAATGCAGGGAAGTTAACAATGAAATCTTTGACTGATAGGGGCCTGGAGGCTGTGAACAAATGCTTCCTCCTCTCTTTCCTCTGAAGGCAGTTCTTAAGTGTATTTCATGCGACTTTTCAAATGGTCCCAGAACAAGCAGACCCTGTAAGAGTAGCCAACTCTATAACACACCTTGTAATACCTCTTTCTCGTTCCTTCCCTGACTTACAACTCCTATTCTCATTGCTTCCTGGAATCATATTTCCAAAAAAAATTTCGTTTAAGGTTTTGCTTTCAGGGGAACACTAGCTGGGAAACTGGGCTTCAGCTATGCACAATAGCCTATCATCCAGCTGTTAATCTGAAATGGGATTCTGCCAACACCCATAGAGGGCCGCCAGATGTCCAACCAGGCTTTTGATCTAGGGATAAAAAATGGACTTGATGTAAAGTGATTCATGGGAGAAGTTCTACTCATGTCCTAAGCTCATCCTATGTGTCAAGATATTAATTTCCTGCTCAGGTTTGGGAACAGGAGTCCTGCCATCTCATATTTTTGTTGAAAATACTTGGTGAGCCTACCCAATAGACAGTAAGAAGGATGGTAAGGGGTCCTGTTTTACTAAAATCCCACTGAGAGCCCTAGCATAGGGTGCAAGAGCAAGAGGGTGGTTGACCAGTGGGGTGGAGAGTATGTGGATCTGGGATCCATGCATGCAGAGTAAGCAGCTTGCAGCAATGCTTACGCCCAGCCTATCCTTGGCAGAACATGGCTCCTGACAAACCATGTAGGCAGCTAGCTCCTAATGGAGAAAATTGTGACAGGAAAACAGATGGGGGCGTGCGTTCCAGCCAACACTAAATGCCGATACAAACCTCTCCCAGGGTTGATGAAGCTCCTTGTACTAGCTCCCCGTACCAGCTCTGCCTAAGCTCTCTGCCCTCACAGGCTGTCAAATTTCTGGCCTGCTAAAGAAAAATAACAGCACATCTCAACTATCCCTTCCCTTTTCTGGCCCCTCCATGATGCTCTCTGGCAGCCCAGACCCCAACTCTGAGCAAGCTCACACCTTCGCTTGTAAGGGTGAACAAACAGGAAAACATCACCAGACACATGAAAAGATGCAGGAGTTCAAAAGCAGAGGTTCACTTTGAGGAATGAGAGAATGTGCCTGCCTGTGAAATCAGGTCTCTGCCAAAAAAAAGAAAGACATTTTACAATGAATCTCCACAGATGCAGAAAAACACTAGATTTTCTAAACACAAGAAATTTTTTGTTGTTGTATCCAACAAAACAAATTGCTGAGAAGTCTAATCGAGAGAAAACACAAATAACCAAAATTAGGAGACAGAAAGGGGATATAATAGTGAATATAGAAATTATACATAATTATAAAAGGATATCATCAACAATCATGGCTAGTAAATTTTAAAATCTTGATGATGTATATTATCAAAATTGGCTCAAGAAATAGAAAACCCAAGTTGACCTGCTATCAGAGAAGAAAGTTTTGTTAAGTTGTTGACTCATCTCTGAAAGATACAAGAGCAGGTAGTTTCATGAGTGAGCTGGATCGAACTTTCAAATTAAAAAATAGTTATTATGCAGTATGTACTATTCCAAAACAATGCAAATAAAAGAAAGCTTAATTCATATTATGAATATTATGAAGAAATTGCACAGATACCAAATTTGACAGAATACACACCAAAAAAACCCCTACAACCTCTAAACCAGCCACATAAATGTGAAGATTTTTACTAAATTTTAATGATTACATTAAAATCATTAATGACCCCCATAGTCTTTTAAAAAGTAATATACCAGCCAGGCGCAGTGGCTCATGCCTGTAATCCCAGCACTTTGGGAGGCTGAGGCGGGCAGATCACCTGAGGTCAGGAGTTCGAGACCAGCCTGGTCAACATGGTGAAACCCTGTCTCTATTAAAAATACAAAAAAAATCAGCCGTCATGGTGGCACGTGCCTGTAATCCCAGCTACTCAGGAGGCTGAGGCAGGAGAATCGTTTGAACCCGGGAGGCAGAGGTTACAGTGAGCCAAGATCACACCATTGCACTCCAGCCTGGGCAACAAGAGTGAAACTCTGTCTCAAAAAAAAAAAAAAAAAAAGTAATATACTAAGTCCAAGTAGCCTATATGCCAAGAATTCAAAAATACTTCAATATGAGGAAGCCTAACAGTAAAAAGAAAGACATATAATCATCTTAATACTTAAAAAACATTTGACAAAATTTAATATCAATTCCTGATGAAATATGATGGCCTCAATAAGCTATTAATTGTAGGATACTTTGTTAGCATAAGAAGTTAAAATAATTAGTGGTAGATATTACTAGAGTTCACCAGTATCCACTTCTCCACTCCTTCTTGGCATAAAGGAAGATTACACCGCTCACCCTCCTTGTAATTAGCTGGAGTCATGTGACAAGTCTTGACCAATAAGCATAAGCAGAACTGATAATGTATCAGTTTTATACCAAAGTATTTAATGACTGTTGAGAGACTCTCTAGCATTTTCTTTCCTTGAGTCATCTATCAAGGAGGTCCTGCATTGTAGATGGTGCAGCCATAGGGATGGGGGAGATTCCCTCAGCCTGGATCACTGAATCACCACACGGAGTATAGTTACTCTTGGGAGTTACTGGACTCCCAGAACGTTGTGTGTATGAGAAATAAACCATTGTGGTTCTTAGCCACTAAGCTTTGAGAGTTATTACTACAAAATGCATGATATCAGCAGCAAGCATATTAAATAACAGAGAAAATCTAAGTGTATTTCTAGTAAAGTCATGGATGTCTACATCCTTGCTGTAATTTAGTATTTTTGGATGATGCCAATGCAGCTAGCAATATTAATCAATAGCTAAGAGATCATTGTTACAGTTACCGTTGCTGTGTGACCAATTATCCCAAAGCAAGTATATTTTATTTTTTCATAATTTTGTGGGTCAGGAATTCTGAAAGGGTTCAGTCTGGCAGCTCTTGAGAAGGGTCTTTCATGTGGTTACAGATGTCAGGACTACAGACATCTTTAAGCCTTGACTGGGCTGGATGTCCAGGACGACTCACATGTATGGCTGCTGTTGATGCTGGCTGTTGGCTGGGAGACTCAGTGGAGCTGTCAATTAAAGTGCCTTCATGTGGCCTCTTCAGCACAGACAGCCCAGAGTAGTCAGACTAATTACATAGCCCATATCTTCACCCACAGTGAGTGTCCCAAGAGATCCTGGTGAAACCTAAGTAACCTTTTCCCACCTGACCTTTGAAGTTACATCTCATCACTTGTTAGATTCTACAGGTTACAAAGGATTCACTGAGGTCAGCAGTGATTCAAGAGAAGAGGACATAGACTTGTTCTTTTTATAAAAGCAGTATTAAAGATTTTCATAAATGTTTTAAGACCACCACAATTACTTTTATAAATGAAGGCCCAAAGTTAATTCAATCTTTGGTATATGTCTAGTAATGCCAAAAACTATTAAGACTGATAAGAAAATTCAATAAAGGCACAGGTTATAAAATAAGTATGCAAAATAAATAAATAGCTTCTCTATTCATACTTGTAGAATAAACTAATGAATTCATTCATTAGTATAGTATCAATTATATATTAGAAAACATAATGGAAAAGAAAAATTACACTCACAATAGCAGCACAAAATACAGGAAGCCCAGGAATGGACTTAAGAAATGTGCAGGACCCACATAAAGAAAGCTATAGAACTCTATCTTGAGACCTAAAAGATGACAGGAATAAACTAAGAGATTCAGTAGACAGTCACAATCACTATAGTTAACATGCCAATTCTACCGTAAACTAAAAGAATAAGTTTAATGCCGCTTCAATCAAAATCAATATGAGTCTTTTAGTAAGTAACTGGAAAAAACAATTTTAAAGTTAATATGAAAAACATAAACATACAAGAATAACCAAACAATTTTCAAGAGTGCTACAATAATTAACACCACATAGTACCAATGAAGGAATGCATTCTGATCAATTCTTTGAGATTCCTTGTCACACCAGATATTGGGAAGACAAGTCTCCTATTTGTCAATATACAGTTTGGATAAAGCCGGTTTGATATTATCTAGTATCCCCTGATCAAAGCAAAAGAAAATGACAGGGAAAACTCCTCTCTTACAAATCACCAAAGCAAAGTTTTTTCAATTCAGTGCGTTTTATTACATCCAGTATATACATTGTCAATGTTTAAGAACTGAAGTGTTCATATTATTCATTTGCTTAATTTTTTAATTACACAAATGATACAAAAATACATTCTTCTCATAAAATAATCAGAATTTTACCAATAAAGTTGGGCTCCCATTGGCCACCATCCCCAATCCCAGCCACTTCCCCAAGAGAAATTGGGAAATCTTTGGTCTGTTTTACTACTCCTGGTCTTCTCACCTCTCCAGACAATCATGAGGGCAGACAGGCTCCAGGGCACTCCTCTAAGTATTAAAAACAAGGTTAACAAATGCTTTACCTGATTAAGAATATGCAACTAGAGGACGGAAGTAAGCAGAGAAGAACCAATTTTAATATAATTTCCTATGTTGGTCCCTGGACTGGAATGATGAGTAAAGCTTCCCTCCGATTCCTGCTACATTCCACCAGTCAGTTCCAGCAAGGTCTGTGCAAAATAAGAAGCTGGGTGAGAAATTTTCCTCGGAGGTGAATCCATCTGTCTCTGAGAGTGGCCTTGGAGAGCAATCAGCCATCACTAATCACCCCCAGCAGGGCCTCAAGGGACACCCAGACAGCTTGGCATCCAGTTCCCCAGAGATAAGTAATGCTGCTTTGGGGTTGTGGAACAAGTGCAAGCTAAAAGATCCTCAGAGAGGTACCATATGTCCAAACAGACTGTGGGTGCCTTCGGAGGGGAAACGTGCTAAGACAGCTCATGTCCTGCTTGACAGAACCAGAAAGACAAAATGCCCTCGTCACAAAAACCAAAGACAATCACATGGTATACACTCTAACAAAAAGGAAGATGTTGGCCAATTTTTCTTTACCTATGCCACCGGAAAAGTAACAGATCTGAAACTAGGAATATGACTAAAATCCAGGTCTCTTGAAACGCAAAAATTGTTAACTACTTTTTAATCCAATACATCATGGCTTATGCCTTTATAACCCCAAACAGACAAGAACAAAATAAATGTGCTGTCTCTGAGGAGCATCCTCCAGGATGCTGGCTGAACCTGAAGAAGTGAGCCGTCTTACCTGTAAAAGTCATAGCTCCCTGAGACACAGGCAGCATAGCTCAGCTCAGCTGGTCTGCGGCTATGCATTTCTTTCCAGTTTTTGAAGCAGGACAAGGAGATTTTAGGTTTTCAGGACTGGAGTGAGGTGTACTGGAGAATCAACCAAAGAGAGAAAATTCCCAGAAACAGTGGTATAGGCCAAAGGCTAGGGAAGGGCCCATGAGTGCAGGCCTGCCTGCAGGGAAAAAAAGGGGGCAGAGGCCTCCATCTGGGGCCCAGCAAGAAATCAGGCCATTTGTGGAATAAGGGCTTGAGACATTTTATGTGGGAAAAAAAATCCCCAGAGGCCACAGGAGGGGGATTAAATGTGCATGATGTTGGGAATACTGTCATTATGGCTCCAACTCTGAAAGCGGATAAAACCCCTCTGCAGAGACATCCCTCTACACATCCTGCCAAAGTGCCCCAGAACGGCATCTTTCAACCTTTAGAGAGACAGACCTAGAGCAGAGAATGGCAGCCCTGATTCTTCCTGATGCCCCAGTGGCTTTTCCAAGAGAACTCTAGGCCTCTACTCTACAGGGGAAGAAGGCTCCCTTCTTTTCCGATTTTAGAATTCTCAGCCAGCTCACATTGCTTTACATGTCTGACAAATGCGGTTGATCTCCCAGCTGACTCTATTCCAAAGTCACAGTACACCCCTCTTTGCAGGCCTTCTGCTTAATGCTGCCCATAAAGGAAAGGGAGTTAGGAGCCTATTACACAAGCAATCTTCTTAAGGCCTGCCGAAGTGGAATGTGAGTAACTCAGGAAGAACAATCCTGGGGGCTGGATAGTGTACCCTACCTGCGGATACCTGTAGGGGATATCAACATCATCTGACCCTTCACCTGCGCTGGGCCAGGGCACCTCCCTGATGGGACCTCTGTTAGCCAGCCCCCTGGGTTGAGGCTTTCTGCTGGCGTGGTTTGTTCATCACAAAAGGTAAAATTAACATGCATCAGAAACTGATGTCACTCTCAGGATTTTTTAAAATGCAGTTTTTTGCATCAGGCCTGCAGAAAATGTCTGTGGCAACACCTTCCCAACCACGCAAGCGTGCAATTCCAGGTGGGGAAGCATAGCCCTGGGAGGCTGAACCATGAACCCCAGAAGCATCCCAGGGTGAGATTTTTGAAAGAACTAGAAGGTTCATCCAAGGAAACTCGAGAGTGGCTGCAGAGACAGCTGGGTGGCAGGAACAGTGGCCTAGAGATGTCCCAGATGTTGATAGGGTTTCCCACTCCTGCTGTCCCAGTCAAACGACTTTTTATGAGGTTGTTACAAAGACAAAGCAAAATTAATGAAAAACATAAAAGAATAAGAAGTGATAAAAATTTTAAATTGAGACTCAAGTAAAAAGTAATAAACAGCAATAAAATGCAAGACTCCAGTAACAGGATTAAACTATCAACACATTAAAAAATGAGGCTTCTTAAAATCATATTTATCTTATTTAACAAATACTTATATACACTGGCAGAGCTAGTGGTGTTCACCAACTAGTCCATGAGCTTCTCTGCACTGCGCGGGCTCATTCTAATAATATTGGGCCCATGTGACTAATTCTGGCCAACAGACTCTGAGGGGAGATGACACACAACACTCTCAGACTTTTAAGAAACTCTGAAAATCACGGTAAGATGCTTCACAAGATGAAGGACATGTGGATCACCGAGTTCCACATGAGGCCCCTGGAAGGTTACCTGACCCCCATCAGACACAGCCCAGATGACGAATAAACCTTTATAGATGAAGCCACTGAGATGTGAAGGTTTACTTGTCACTACCGCATATCTTGACTAATACAAATGCTTATAATTCACTAATTTAATCCTTCTTACAACACTATGATATAGGTTCCATTATTATCCCCATTTGAAATCTGGGGAAACTGAAGCATGAAGAAGCTAAGGAACTTTATTCAGATCACATAGTTGTTAAGTGGCAAACCTGGAATCCAAATCCAGGCAGTCTGTGTTCCTAACCATTATCACATGCTGGTTCTCACAAATAAAGCACCTTAAAGTAAAATGCAAGGAACTTCAAAGGCATGTACCTTCTTCTACAGAAGATTTGGGGATGTTGAAACAGGGTAGGGTTACAGAGTGTATTCGTCTCTTTTCATGCTGCTGATAAAGACATACCTGAGACTGGGCAACTTACAAAAGAAAGTTCCACATGGAACTTACAGGTCCACATGGCTGAGGAAACCTCACAATCATGGCTGAAGGCAAGGAGGAACAAGTCATGTCTTACATGGATGGCAGCAGGCAGAGAGAGAAAACTTGTGCAGGGGAACTCCTCTTTTTAAAACCATCAGATCTTGTAAGACTTATTCACTGTCACAAGAACAGCACAGGAAAGACTTGCCCCCATGATTCACTTACCTCCCACCAGGTCCCTCCCACAACACCTGGGAATTCAGGAGGAGATTTGGGTGGGGACACAGCCAAACCATATCAGAGAGTGAGGAGTCAGGCAGCTGTGGAGAGGCAAGGCAAGCATTAATCCTTTCCCCCTCATCCCAGTAGGACAAAGCCACTAATCCTGTGTGATAAAATAAAGGGGGCTTGGATCTGTGAAGGTCAAGTTTAAGCTCTTGCCTTTCAGATTTGGCCTCCTCTTTTTGATATCCAGTCCAATGTTGTATAAAGACCCTAACACCCAGGAATGAGGAAACCTGAATTCTAGCTCTGGGTCTACTAGTAACAAGTTGTATGACTTGGACAATTGTCTAAGGTCTCTTTGGGCCCTTTAGATGAATGTACTCCATCCAAAATTTGGTGATAATAACTTCTATCTCATCAGGTTGTAGAAAGTGCCAAGCCAAACAAGACTGTAAAGATGCTTTGGGAAGCTGCAAAGTGCTTTGCAAGTGTAAATTATTATTTTTATTTGACTATTAGAATTAAGGAGACAAGAAGGGCCCTGGGAGATTCCAACTCCCCCCTGCTCCATTTTATGTATGGGAAAACCAAAGTCTCCATGACTTTCCCAAGAATAAAAAGGATTACTTGAGTTATGGATATTACCTTATACAATAATGATAAAAACAAAACATGAGTAAGAACCAGGGACTAGGACCCCAGCCTCGAGCTTCTCGGGAATGACTTTTCTCATAGTTACAGTTTGAAAATGCTTAATTACTTCCTTTGTGTACCCCAGACTGCACCTGCCCAGCCAAGGCAACAGAGAGAAGAGGCAGTAAAGTGGTCAGGAGACTTTGAACCAGAGACACCTAAGCTCAGATCTGACCCTGTGGCCATCACTGGGTGTCATTTTTCTCATCTTCTCCTTATTGCTTCTGAAACTATTACATCCAATCATAAAAAACACTGCCTTTTTTATAGGTCAAAAATGGCAGATATCACAATTTCATATGATTCAACATAATCAAATATAGTACTGCATGGCAGGTATCTCCATTTCTCTTCATTGTTGAGCCGCCTTCTTGCATCTCATCCACCTTTTCCCTTAGGCAGAACATTTCCTATGAGGTCCCTCAGTCTGCATGCAAAGAGGCCCCTGCTGGCAGCCCTCCAGACATGCTTACACATACCAATATGGTCAGGCCACAGGCCCTCTTGCTGAGCACTTTCTATCTTCCCTTTATGTTATTTCATCCACACACGGCCCTGTGAGGAAGGCAGAGCAGGGGCAGTCTGTGTAGTCTAAAGGGCAAGACAGGAGACCCGGACTCTGCCACTGTCTTGCTGTGTGGCCTGGGGCAACATCATCTCCCTCTCTGACCCTCAGAGTCCTCGCCCAGAAATAAGGCTATTGGATGAGATCAGCAGCTCCCACTTCTCACTCTGCAGCAAAAGCACTGGAAAGCTTTTGGCAAATTCAGATACCTAGGCCCCCTCTAGAGATGCATTTTTATTAGGTCTGGGGATCTTTTAACCCCTCCCCAGGTGATTCTAGTGTGTAGCCTCCTTGAAAACCACTTGGCTGGATGATCCAAAGGCCCCTTGATTCTAAAATGTACTGAAGAGTAGGTCAATCCTTGTGAGCTTTTGGGGCTGAGAAAAACAAAGAGGCAGGAGCTCCTAGAAATGGGTCTGAGGCCTCATTAGGCCTTGTTTGGGAGCAGGTCTGCAGAGCCCCAGTTTCCAGCCTCCTGCAGTTAGAAGGATGCCTGGGCTCTATCAGGGCCCAGCTGGAAAGGCCATTCGTTTGGAGAAAGATTTCCTCTAGGTGCCTCTCAGAAGCCTCCTTCACTGATTCAGGGAACTAAGTCTTTTCATTTTAATTAGCAAATTCTTGTCGCTGCCTTTGGAAATGAGCCTCTGTTCTCATTTTCTTCATAGACTCTCCTCAGCTGAGATGGTGAAGGAGGGGCTGGAAAGGTGACAAGGGAGCTGTTATCTGGAATAATTTGTGAGCCGGTGAGGGGCTTGGAGAATATGAGAGTGGCTGAGATTACAAGGAACCAAATCATACACTTAAGGAAATGGCTTCATGGCTTTGGGACAAGGTGACTCCAGTTAGTGCCTCTTTGCAAAACTGCATGCACTGGTGTGATGAGGAAGATAAGGTGCTATTAAGCCCACCTGGGCTCCAGGGACCCAGTGAATAGATGTGTCACATCTTGAACTAAGAGAACCTTTATATGAGGAAAAAGCACACTTTTAACAAAATACCTGCAGATGAAGAGAAATGGAAGATGGTATTTGTCTAATGCATAATGTATAAGTCTGTGAACTCTCAGAGCTGGGAATAGTGCTCTCATTGGTCATCTCATTAGTACCTGATGCACTGGAGAGAAACAGCCTTCCTAGGGTGTCTTAGGCCACAGGAAGCCCCTGTCTCAGGTATTCAGGAGGAAGGAGAGGCTGTTCGTGTGACTCCATTTCCAACATTATATCTTGTTTTGACATGCAATGTAAACAGCACACTTTCTGGAATCATCCTTAGCATCTCTTCTATGACTTTCCCTAATTGTTTGATGTTTCCAAAATGGAGAGAAATATTTATCTTAATGAGGGCTATAAAAAAGTAAGGACAGGCTGGGCGTGTCTTATAGGCTTATGCCTATAATCCCAGCACAGGGGGAGGCCAAGGTGGGAGGATCACTTGGGCCCAGGAGTTTGAGATCAGCCTGGGCAACATAGCAAGACCCAATCTCTACAGAAATTTTCCAGGTGTGAGGTGTTTATCTGTAGTCCTAGCTACTCAGCAGGCTAGGGTGGGAGGATCCCTTGAACCCAGGAGTTCAAGGCTGCAGTGAGCTATAATTGCACCACTACATTCCAGCCTGGGTGACAGAGCAAGACCCTGTTTCTAAAAAAAAAGATAAGAACAATTAGAAACATTCTTAAACAATTAGCCAGACTAGTAAAAGGACCACAAGGAAAGATTATTTGCAAATGTCTTAGAGTTCATCTAATCAAACCTCTCAGAAGGAAAAGAAGATGGGGAAGATATAGGCCAGGGTCAACAGTATGGCTCACAAACCCAACAGGATGTGGTCTCCCTTCTCACAATCCGTTCCCTGCTGTACCCTTCAAACCCTGTGATCCAGCCACACTGAGCTATTTGTACCCCGCCCCCCGCCAATAACATGTATCATCCTGTCTCTAGACCTCACGCCCACCAGGCTCCTCTACCAGAATACTTGCTGGTTCCAGGTCCTTCCCACTCCCCTCCTTCTTTCTTTAGGTAGACAGGCACCTAGCTAAGTAGGACAGTGTTCCAAGACTCAGCCCACTGTTCCAGTAATTATTGAATATCCATATATGGTAAACAAAACCTTCATGGATGGGCCTGTCTTCATGATGTGCGGGAGGCAGATATACAATACAATGACTGCACAATTGCATGTATAATCATTCCAGAAATAAGTGCTTGGAAGGTGAGAGCTACAGAGCTAGAAGAGTGTATGAGAAGTTGGCCTGATGGGACATGTCTGGGAAAGCTTCCCAGAGGAAGGGATGATTGCGCTGGGATCTCAGTAACCGAAGGAAGTCAAGAATGGATGGGGAGGGTCCATTTGGAAGTCCAAAGAGACCTCCTCCAAGAAGTCTT
This sequence comes from Homo sapiens, assembly GCF_000001405.40. Taxonomy (NCBI): domain Eukaryota; kingdom Metazoa; phylum Chordata; class Mammalia; order Primates; family Hominidae; genus Homo; species Homo sapiens. The sequence continues at coordinate 42,056,863 of NC_000020.11, read as the reverse complement.
CTGCTCTTTCCTGTGTTAGGCATTACTTCAGGTGACCATATTTCTTAGTTTGCCTAAGACAGCCCCAGATTATGCTTATTGTTCAGGGTTTAGCCTTTGTCCCAAAGATGTACCAATTTGGATGATAAATTGTATCATCATGCTATGAGTGATGCTCTTATCACACTTCATCGTTTTATTCATACACCTGTCTGCCTGCCACACAAAGGCAAGTGTGTACACACAGGCACACACACATACACCATGTGCACTCATATCCACACAGGGATGCACAGCATTCTTGCAGCATCAAATTCTGTTCTTATTCATCCTTTGCTGCCCTGCACATAACACGGTACTGGCATATGCATAAAGAAGATATTTGGTGAATGGTTTTTGAATAAGTGAATAAAGGATGCAGGGATACAGCCTCCAAAGATGCTTAGACCTCCCAAGCCCTCCATCTCACCTATCTATTTTTCATGCCTCCACAATGCTCCAAAGCATATTTGGTGCATATTTTGAGTTTGTCCAAGGGCCAAAAGATCCAAATATATATATTTTTCCACAGCCTGACTTGGCCCTATAAGTTGACAAAAGTGTCACCTCATTAGAGGCTATTTGAATAGAAATTATAGGCTTGTTCTCTGAGTGTGGATTTGAGAGCACTTCATAAGACAAATACTGCTAAATATCTGAAAAGAAACACCCTTATTGGCTTCTAAAAGCCCATCTCAGGTCAAACTAATCTAAATTCCTCTCAATACAATTAGAACTTCAATAAGAATGAGAAAAACAACAAGATTCCAAGAACACCAGGACCTCAGAGGAACGATAAATAGCATTATTGGAGGACTAAGAGGGGACAGCGGAGGGTGGAACATTCTGGAAGGCAGCATGATGCATGTGGTGCACAAACCTACCCACGCTTTGATCAGGAGTGATCAGCTAACCTCCCTACAAGAGAACAAAGGAGTCGACCCCCATCAGCTGGCCTCCCCAGAAATTACACTCCTACTCTTCTACCCTTTCTGGTTCCACTGAGGATCAAGAACAGGCACCTGTTCCAGACCAGTTGGAGTTTCCAGGCCTGCACAAATGCAGCTCCTCCTGTTCTGAACCTTGCTTTTTTCTTTCTGCACCTCTTCCTATTCCTCCAGGATGCCTTTCTATTCCTCTCATTCCCCCCATGGTCCTCCCTTTGTCTAAGTCCTGGCACCATCTCCCCAGGGAAGACAAGAGGAAATAAGAGTGTGTCAGTGTAGGCTGCACAGGACCCCTCCACCCCATAGTTTACAGAAATGGTACCCTGCCTCTACCTCCCCAACCACATCCCTTGCCCCCAGAGCTCAAGCATTCAAATCTTTTTTGTTTGCTCTTAGAAAAACAAATACTGCTGGCCTGGCTGCTCTTGCAGCTCTGCCCCCTCTCTCCATTCTTGCCTCCTCCCCTAGACTCTGAGAATCTTGAAACCTAGACCCGAATTGAGTCTCCGTAATATCCATGTTAGTCAGCAAAAGATTAAGTCATCAAAAGAATGCATGAGTTTGAAACAAGAATGGAAAGAGGTGATAAACCAGGTTCTTGATCCAACCTGAAGGAGAACGTATCACAAAAACTGGGGGAAAACTTTCCAAAGATTTAAGAAATGCCTTTTTATTTGCTTCATAAAAAAATAAAAGGTGACCAGAAGATGGTGATGCTGGAGGCTCACCTGTACCGCCACGTTAAGCACACCTGCTCACTGGAATACTCCCGAAAAGCAATGTACCTTGTGTTGGGAAGAACTTTTTTTTTTATTATACTTTAAGTTTTAGGGTACATGTGCACATTGTGCAGGTTAGTTACATATGTATACATGTGCCATGCTGGTGCGCTGCACCCACTAACTCGTCGTCTAGAGAACTTCTTTAAAACGATTCCTTTTCTACAGTGTATATCTCTAAGTGGCCTCAGTAGGGGGTCAGAGGAGGCGGGTCATGGAGAGACAGACTCACCTTTTATCCAGGTGACAGCTGTCAGCCAGTCTATGCCCCTTGCTGCCCAGAGTCCACAAGAAGGATGTTATGGCCACTGCCTTAGAGGGCACCTATTCGGCATATCAGTTGAGTGAGCCCTGACACTGGTAGAGAGCTGAGTAGACCTTCTATGAATGGCCTGGAATCCCAAAGAGAGAGAAGGAATGTGGGTGGAACTGGGGAGCTGGAATGGAAGGTAGGGAAGAGGTGATGGAATAGGCCAACCTTCTTCTAACTCCCTTGCTGCCTTAGACCCTACAAGGGGCCCCCTCATACCTCTACCCAAGCACACCTCTACCACAGACACCAACAGAGAAATGCAGGATTCCAGAGAGCACAATTCAAAGACAGTTAACCAGAGTAATCCCTGGGGGCCCCTCCATCTCTGACATTCTGTGAGTTTAACCTTCAGCTAAAATCATTGGCACAGTTAGGCAGTGGCTTAGCAATTCCTTTTTATGAAATTACTGTCTCTCTAAAGTGCAAAATATCTACTTAGAAGCTTGGATTCATTCTTAAGATGAGTTGATGTTTGGACTCTCACCCAAAACAATATAACCAGTTCCTTAAAAACAGTCTACCTCCCTCCACCCTCACCCCAGTGAGTGGAGAACACTGTAATGAGAATGTGAGAAGATACTCTGGACTCCTCCTAAACCTTATCCCCACCTTGCTCAAGATAGTAGGGCCTTGTTGCCTGGCAATGGACCATCAGGACTAAGATTCATGTTGGGCCATGAGAAACATCACCCAAGATGTCCCATACTCAAGGCCTCTCTGTGGCAATTCCAGCCAATATAATTATTCTCAGGAATGGACCTGGATGTTCTAGTGACCTTCACTATGTTTCTTGACCAGAGACTGATCCCTGACATCAGACCCCAGACTGACTACAGACTCAGCCCAGATTCCTGCCCCAAACTGACCCCCAAATCTGATGAAAGATAGACCCCTCTTCCTCTCCAGCACCTTCGTACATCACCGTATGAATCACAGTAAAGTAAGACAATGATGTCTGATTTAGCTCTATTTCCCAAATACCAGAACAGGAGCTGGCTCCAAATAGGTGCTAAATAAATGCTAACCGAATATGCAAAGAAAAAAATTAAGTGAATGAATAAGTAAATGGGTTCAAGTTGCAAATGACTAAGTCTGGTCTTCTACTAATAGGTGGATTTTTCAGAGACATGTGGCCCAGGAGGTGGGTTTGTTTGCAAGACGTCCATCTCTCATGTCCACTCCAGCAGCTCCAAGCTCTCCTCCATGCATCTTGTTAATATTCCTGTCACTGGGCTTAACTGTGCAGTGGCCAGCATCTCCTGAGCTAAATAACAGGCAATTTAAAACTAATGAGGTGAGAAATGCCCTCGTTGTCTGAGTCCATTGAGGCCCACAGCGGAGCTTGTCACACCTCTGGCATATTCCAGGGAGGGTCCCCAGAGGTTCCCAAATATACAGTGGTATTATAGCAAGGTGGGGAAACAGAAGGCATCCTGGGCTGGGAAGAAGACCACAGTACCGCTCCAATTGTGTTGTCATTGTCCCATCAGTAAAAGGAGATGACCTGTACACTGCACTTCTGGTTTCATTTCGTAATCATCCATGATATTTACAAAAATACAGATTCATGGATCCCACCGCAGAGCCACTGAATCTGAACCTCTGGATACGGGACCCAGAAACTGGATTTTAACATGCACTCAATAAACAATTACAGCCAATATAATTATTCTCAGGTCCCAAGCTCTAATTCAGCCTTTAGCAAACTACAGTTGGAGAGCCACACCCAGCGTGCCACTTATTTTTATAAATAATAATGTATTGGAACACAGCCACATCTATTAAGTTACAAATTGTCTATGGCAGAGTTGACGCATTGCAACAGAGACCCTATGACTCGAAAAGCCTAAAATACTTACTATCTGGCTTTTTACAGAAAAAGTTAGCCAATTGCTGCTCTAATTTATGAGTTCTACAAGTAGCTGGGATGAAAGCCACCGACACGGGCCTCATCTTTTCAGGAGGGAAGAGCACTTTATTCCTGACCACTGTGTAAGAGGAAAGCAAGGGAGCTCCAGCCTGCAGGAGCCCTGGACTCACCCTAATCAGAGATTGCTTTGGAAATATAAATGGCACTGCCAGGTGGGGATGGTGGGCATCTGCAAGGTGAGCACCTGAGACTGAGGTGAGGTTGGGGCCCAACTGAGAACCCAAGCTCCTGTTCTCAACCCTACTCCTGGTGAGGTGGATACCAACGGCATACACAGAGATGAGTTCTGCTCCTTCTTTTTCAAATGTTCATGCCACTGCCCCTCTGCTGAAGGCTTACCTGATGATCTAAAAAAAATGGTATGGGAGGGGAGACAGGGAAGTATGCGGGGTGTGGGGGGGCCACTCTTCAAAGCTCCAAATGCTTCAAAACACAAACATAAGCAGGTACATAATTGAACTTGTGACATCACTGGGACCCACAGGGTGTCTGAGAGGGAAAGAGACCACCCAGACTGGCTGTGGCTGCAGCTACCTGCCTTATCAGCCACACTCTGGGGCCTGGGAAAATAGGTCTCATGTGAGTCTGCCATCTGCCCTGTGCTCAGAAGCAGGCAGGGCCCAGCAGAGTGCCCTCAGAGCACAAGGGTCTCCAGGTCTTCTGGGTCCCAGAGTGCCTTGCTGCATAGATGTGTGCCCTGGGGTGCTCCCATTGCCAGGCCTGGTCTGTCTGTGCCAAGTCTGGCTTCCACTTGTCCTTCCGTGCCCAACAGGGTATGCCACCCCAGATGTCCGGAAGCAAACTGCAGTCAGCACCGGGAGTCTAAGCAGATTTGCGTTACTTAGAAATGATTTGAAACCCACACAAACACATCAATCAGTATAATCTGTTCAGCTGGCAAATAGAGCCAGGTCTCGAGGAAATTCCAGATCAAACAGGTTCATCAGGAGCTAAACAATCTGGGAGTTTTGTCTGGAAATTGCTTGTGCCAGGAAGTTTGGAAAATGTGGACGCTCAAAAACAGAAGACACAAGGTCACTCAGACTTGAGAACAGCTGTCTGCGACGTTGCACTACTCCCAGGGATAACTGTGACTTCAGTCGGATGTATGAAGACATATTTTAATTTTTATTTGTACACATGCACCAATGATTGACGTAGATGGTGATTGAGAATATTATCTCAGTATTTAGAGGAACTTCGTCTCTTGCCTCTCTCCCCCTTGTTCCCCAAAATTAGAAGTAGTTTTACCACTGGTCCCCATGGGGGTCTGACAACCACTCTGACTGCTGGTCTCAGCCTGTCGTTCATCCCTCAGTTCACCCTCACTGGGGGACCTGCCTAGGTTTTGCAGTTGTCTGTCATCTCAATAATCCTCTGAAGGAAGTTAGGGCAATTGTTAGCTGAAGACTAGACCCTTCAAAACAAAGCAGGAGCGAACTCTCACAATTCTTTTCCCTCCTTGCCTCACTTCCCCATTTTTCTGTAGAGCTTCCTGGGGTCACCACGCAAATAAGCCATTGCACCCAATTCCTTGTCTCAGAGTTACTCCTGCAGAAACCCAACTAAGACAGTGGGAATGCATCCTCCTCTCTACCCTTCTGTCTCATAGAGACCTCCAAAGCAAATCCACTGACACACTGACACACTGCTGTTTTCAGGGCTTTGAGGAAGAATCCAGGCGATGACCACTTTTGGTCCTCTGGCCAAAGTGAGTGAAAAGCAAAGACCCAAACCGTGGGCCCAAGCCAGTCTGCTGGTCTCCATGGTGCTGCTGAAATAGGATCAGTGCATCTCTCAGCATCTTGTAAATAATCTCCAAGCCATTCCTGGGTAATACATTTACAGCAGCTACATGAGCTATCTTTCTCCCATTTAGTTCTCACCAGGTGGCACTGATGCAGAGCTTTTCTCTGCCTAGTTGAGCCAATGTTTCTCAATAGGGAGGGCTATTTTCATAAATTTGTGTTTTTGGATAACCCACAGCTCCTGGCCCTGCTTTTGACATGTCAGTAATAGCCAGTGGGTCCCTCTCAGGGGCACAGTGACTGAATCATGGGCACAGCAGCCTCAGCTGCTCCCCTCTAGGCTACCGAGTCAGCCTCCAACTTCACTCCTCACCCGCCTCCGTGATTCAGGACCTCTTCTCCTGTTCTGGTCAGTATCCCTGTGGCCGCACCTAAAAGTTTCCTTGTGGAGTTAAAGCTTCACTTCCATTCATACCTAAAAATAGACATATTCCTTCACAAGGAATATTCACCAGGCTGCTATGTGTCAGGCACTCTCTTTACTATTAGGGATACAGGAATGAGTTTCATGAGGCCAATACATGGTCCATTGTGGGAGACAGCCCGACACACAGCATGCAGGGGCTCAGTACTCACTGGAACAGAGCGGCTCAGAGCAGAGACTCAGAGCTAGATTTCCTGAGTTCAAAGCCAGGCTCTGCCCCTTACAAGCTGTGTGACCTTGGGCAAGTTACTTAATATTTCTGGCCCTCAGTTCTTAAATCTGAAAATGGGGGTATCTCTGTAAAGAACTTAAAACAGTGTCTAGGCAAGAGTATGCATTTGTAAATGCTACCAATCCTTTGGAAGAGACCAAACGCCTCAGACAAGCAGAAGGATCCCAGGAAATAGTTCTGCTTACAGGCAGGAAACTGCATCCTACGGAGACCACGAAAGGGGAGATTTCCCTCCCACTCACAAGGCACTTGCTAAGTCCAGCAATGAAAAAGGAACATCACTGAGATCCCCAAATTGGTAGTGAGAAGAAGCCAAATATCCAAGCTGTGCATGCAAGCATCCCTGGAGTTCTCCGAAATATTTGTGGAAGAGCCCTGGGAAAAATCAGAATGTCTGCTAGGTATGCTGATGGTATGCTCAGAGCCATTCCATGTGGCTGTAATGAATGAGGCTGAATATCTGCAGGATGGTGGGGGGATAGGAGGGAGCACTATATGGGGAGCATCAGCCTGAGCTCTGCTCTTGCCTCCCCTCAACTTGCAGAGGGATGCTGATCTCAGCCCCTCTTGGAGCCATCTCGGTTCTTTCCTTTCTGTATGGTGAGATCAGCCACTTTATCTCGAAGTTTCCCTTGAGCTCTGAAAGCCCAAGTGGAGAGTCTCAGAACTCAATGAGATGGGGGTGCTTCTGAAAATTGAGGATTTCTGTACCCCAGCCCCACAACAAGCTCACTGCATGGTGGTGCCTAGCAATCAGCATTTTCAGTAAGCTCCCCAAGAGATTCAGAGCATACTTTGAGAGCTACTGCCCTGGGGAATGAGGGAATTTGGTTATTTTTGTTTCTGTGGTTGCAGTTAGGCCCTGGAGGTTGGTTTCTTTCAAAGTTGCATTTTATAGGAGTAGTTCCAGGTTCCCTTTAAGGAATCTATTCATGAAACTTGCCTTCAGCCTAGCAGACACTATTAAGGTGTTCACAGAAGGTTTTTATGATTTTAATTAGAAACAGGCAGTGGAGCCCATGTAGCACTTTCCTTTTGACTTGGCAGTCCAGACCAATATTCCCCTAAGGGGAGGCCAAGAGACATGTGAAGGGCCTTCTGGAAGAGTAAGAAACCATGATTTGCTGAGCACCTACTGCATGCCAGCAGCTTCGATGTGCATTGTCACATATATACCCTGTTAGTGGACGTCATTGTCTCACATTTGAGTCAAAGGAGTTAAAGGTCCAATTCAAAGCCACAGGGCTAGTGGCTATTCCAGTTATACTTCGCTAAGTAACAAACTCACCTAAAACTTAGTGGCAGTGGTATGCGCCTCTAATCCCAGCACTTTGGGAGGCTGATGAAGGCGGACCACCTGAGATCAGGAGTTGGAGACCAGCTGACCAACATGGTGAAACCCCATCTCTACTAAATACAAAAAATTAGACAGGTGTGGTGGCGGGCATCTGTAATCCCAGCTACTTGGGAGGCTGAGGCAGGAGAATTGCTTGAACCCGGGAGGCAGAGGTTGCAGTGAGCCGAGATTGCGCCACTGCACTCCAGCCTGGGCAATAAGAGCGAAAGTGCATCTCAAAAACAAAACAAAACAAAACAAAAAAAACTTAGTAGTATTTTATTAGGCTCAAAATGTGAGTGTCCCTGAGTCAGCAATTAATACAGGTCAGAGGGAAGATGACTTGTCATACCCCTTCATGCCTGAGGTTTTAGCTGGGAAGACTGGATGACTGGGAGGACTTAATGGCTAGGGGCCAAAATCATCTAGAGGCATTCTTGCTCACATGTCTGTAGGTTGATGCTGGCTGTCAGTAGGGAACACACTGGGGACAGTGGGCCGGAACACCTACATGCAGACTCTCCATGTGTCCTGAGCTCCCACGACGTGGCAGCCGTAGCATTCTTATATAGTGGCTCAGAGCACAAAATGTGAGTGCCCCAAAAGAACCAAGAGGAAGCTTTATCACCTCTTATGACCAAGCTTTGGAAGCCACATGGCATCACTTCCGTCCTACTCTGTTGGTCACCTAGTCACTAAGGACAACCCAGATTCCAAGAGAAGAAACACAGAGCCCACCTCTCATTGGGAGGAGCACCAGAGAATATGCAGGCATGTTTTAAAACATATACAACAACAGAGCCAGCTTCTGAGCCTGCATCTGGGACCTTTCCCCATACTCAGGAAGAACTGAGTTTCCCATATGAAAAACATCATGCATGAGTTTTATTATGAACTCTACTGGTCAGGGATTCATCCTTGGCCTTTTCTCAACTTCCTTCAGAGTGTGACTAGCCCCTGAGCTGCTCTTTGCAGAGAGGAGCTGGCCATCAGTTGAAACTCTGAAATTCAACCTATGAAACCCAGGGAGTGACCCAGAAAGCCCAATTCTGTTGTTTTCCTCTCCAGCGCCAAGTCAGGAGAATCTTGAAATATTCATCCCCTCAACCCTCACCCTTCAAACCCACTCCATATTTTCCAGAGCAGAGCCTAGGCTACCAGATGTCTGCATTGGGAGACCAAGACTAGGAAGATGATATTGGGCACTGGGAAGAGTATCAAATACAGAGTCAGCAAATAAAATATGAAGTCCTGCCTCCTTCAATACAAAAAGGTAATAGCCATGGGTTTATGGGGTCACAAGGGCCCAGTGTCTCCCAGAAAATGTGACTGACAAATCTCCCAGAAGAACCCATCAAGCATAGCCGCTTAGTCACAGCCCCAAGTTTCAGGATTTTGTGCTTGTCCAGAACTAAAGGGTACAGCCATCCTACTGGACTAGACTCACATTTACCAAGCTTACAAGAAGCTAATGAATATACCTGAATGCCAGTATTTAAATTCAGGTATGAGAAATGCAAAATCAACCATTATCTATCCACAGAGAATCTGCATGGAAGGCCAATTCATCACGATATGATTCTCATGTGACCATGAGCTCAGTGCAAGTGGAACTGGCTATGGGACCAGAATGTGTAACAAGCTGAATGAAGAGGGTCTGGTGGCCTGTCTTCAAAGGAAGAGGGTCTTGTCACTTGCCAAGCTGTCTGACAGCCCAGGCAGCAATCCCCCAGGGGTAGTATAGGTCCTCAACCAATTTAGCCTATTTGCTAAACAAGGTTTCCTATTTGCTAGGATTGGGGCTGAGCCTAGCTATCTCCTACCTCACCCCCAATTAATGACAGTGTGTTTGTAGATGCATCAGTATCACCCAATAGGCTGTACCAAAGATCTTGTCCCACTTCTGGTCTGATTGACATTACGTGTTTAAGGCAACCTCACAAAGTTGTGGGGTTACCTTAACCCCCAACAAGTTACTTGTCCACACTAAGTTTTCATTTCCTCATTGGAGAAGTTTGTCAGGGCCTATGCAAGAATTAATCCACATGGCACAGTGCAGAACCCAACTCACAGGGAGCAATTCTATGTAACACAGTGAAAGTATCAGGCATCCCAAATCATCTCAGGGAGGGCTGGGTGCCAGCTGTCATGGCAGCCCCCAAAGACATGAGGAACCACATCAGAGAGAAACTGAATCCCTCAGGCGTACTTCTGTGGCTACAGGCAGAGCCAGGAATCCTGTGTCCCTCCCTCCGTGCCCCCTACAACACACAGACACAGACACACACACACACACACTCACATGACAACCTTTTCAATGTGTACACGTAACCAGCAGTGTTCTTCCTCGGCCTAACTAAACAAATTGATCAAGAGTCAATACAGGTCCTAATTACAGACTCTGCACTGGAAGATTGATAGAGGGAGATAAAGAGGGAAGAACAGGCCCTTGATGGGCGCCTATAATGAGGTGTCACTGGTCCCCACTGTAAGTCGTTTATAAACATGGTCTCACGTCTGTGGCTGTCAGCATCCCTGCCAGAGCTTAATGAGCTGCTCCTTCCTGCCCTGGGGTTAATGTCAGAAGCTGATCATGTTTTCTGCTGCAAGAGGCACTGGCTGCCTGATGGTTGGTGAATTTCATCTGCAAATGTCCCCATTCACTCAAGAAATGCATTTTCCCAAAACTCCTGGCAGAGATAAGCATTGATTTTTCCATCTGAGCCTCTCAACCCCCAGGAAGTGCCATTGTTGAATTCTCCACTTGCAGCCTCTTAGATTGGGTGGGTTCAGGAGAAGAGTGTCGGCAACACCTGGAGTCTTGAGTCCTTGAATAAAGCGATTAAGAAAGGAGACTTGCAGGCTCGGGGTACAGAGGCTTTCAAGAGCTGTGATCATGGGCACTAAGACCCTAATGGACCTTGGGTGCTCCCAGCCCCAGGAAAAGGCCAGTCCAGCAACTATACAGACCAGACCAACGCAGAGGCGGAGGACATGACTCCAGGGCACTTGCCCACTTCCTCACCTCCATGAGGTCAAGGGAAACCTCCCCCACCAACCCCTGCCCCTTTAGACATAGCCTTGGGAGAGTAGTTGAGGGGTAAATATTGTAAGAAAAAAATCTGAGAGACTTAGTGTATTGCTAAAATAGACTGAGCATGTAACTAGAGGGATGATTTCAATGACTACCTTGAATTATGTTTCTGGATTCAACTAAATTGTGAGGGTCAGCTGATGATTTATAGAGAAATAAAGAAACTACATTTGCTTTGGGAAAAAAAGGAGAAAGGGAGACTTGGCCTCAGTTGTTCAGGTATGAATCCTGGCTTTACTATCTTCAAGTTATGTGGTGTCTGTAAGTCTCAGTTTCCTCATCTGTAAACTGGGAACAATAATAGTACTGTTTAAAAGAAAAAAAAAAGGACTTTCCACTTGTACAGGCACTGAATGCTGAGTTTTACCACACTGGCAATACTAACCAACTGAAGCAGATAAACATCTACGGACTTGGAGTGACCTCAGGACACCAGATCTTCCCTAGACCAACCTGAAGCCTCTCGCTTGGTGAATATAAAAAGACATTTTAATGTATGGATCAATTGATTTATTTTGTCTAATCTAGGATGCAAACTTCGATTCTTAATTAGCATAATCACAACGAAACTTTCTTGCCTGCACGTAAAACTCACTGACATTTTCCCTTCAGGGAGCCACTCAGTGTATTTCTTCCCCAAGTTATCTTCCCTTGGTTGTTAAATTAGTAAATTCAGTGCTGACTCTTGCAATCACTGTGATGGTCTTGGTCCTCCTTTAATAGTACCTCCTTTATTAACAGTACTCTCTCTGGTAGGTAGAATAATCCCCTCCCAAAGGTGTCTATGTCCTAATCCCTGGAACCTGTGAATATGTTAGGTTACATGGCAAAAGAAAATTAAAGTTGCAGATGGAATTAAGGTTGCTAATCAGCTGACCTTGAGGTAAATAGATTATCCTGGATAATCCAGGTAGACCTAACATAGTCAAAAGCATCTTCAAACAGAGATGAGAGAGACAGAAGAGAACCAGAGATGGTAGTGTAAGGACGACTCAGGTGACACTGCTAGCTTTGAAGGCAGAAGGGGCAATAAGCCAAGAAATGCAGGCGGCCTTTAGAAGTGGGAAAAAGGCCAGGAAATGGATTCTTCCCTAGAGTTTCCACAAAGGAAGACAGCACTTCCAACACCTTAAAATTCTAGCCCAGTTAGTTTCATGTCAGATCTCTGACCTCCAGAATTGTAATGTAATCAGTCTGTGTTGCTTTAAGTCACCAAGTTTGTGATGGCTTATCACAGCAGCAGTGGGAGACGAAAGCGAATACCTCTCTCATTGGGTTTCTTCTGAGGATTAAGTGAGTTCTTACAGATAAAGTACTTAGACTCATGCCCAGCAAATCACAGATATTCACTTAACATTATTTTACTTATAAATGCCATCAACTTCTTTATTAATAAGGTTTCCTGCCTCCTCCCTCTTTGTGACCACTCCCATGACTTAACTCTGGCCAACAGACATGGAGGACAGAGAAGAACTGCCCTTTACTGGGCAATTCCTGTGACCAGGCCTTGTGCCAGGCTCTATGCCCAATGCCTAGCATGAGTCCTCTCGATTGGTGTGTGTCTGGAATCATCTTCTTTGGAAAACCAGAATGAGCCTGGGCCTGAGTGGTTGTAAAGTCCTCATAATCAAATCATCAGCTATTTGGGACATCTGAACAAGTACACACCATCAATTACCAGCACACAACTCTTCTCCAAACACCAGCACAAGGCACTGCGTGGCTGGCATTTTCTCAACAGTCATTGTCAAGGGAGCTGAGCTGCCCACAGAGTCCAACTGGAGGAGGCCTCTGCTTCATCTGGGCTGCTAAGCCCTTGGCTTACCCCTCCTTCTGGGAAACAACCACCCCATGTTGTCCTTATCTGTCTGGTTTCTCATTTGACTGTGACTTCCTTGAGGACCAGGACAATGCCTATTTACTCCTCTGTCCCAGTGCTGAGCTCTGGCATGCTGGTCTCAGTGAGTCTTTGTTGCCTGAAGGAGGAGTGAGATTACAAATCATTTTTACTTGTTCCTTTACAAAGCAGGAGCTCTCGAGAGCAATGCTGAGATGAATAGTTTGGGCCTTTTACGTCTCTCACTTGTCTCACTCTAGTCCCAGCCCTGCCCACTGCAGTCAGATATTGTTTCTCCAGCAACTGTTGCTGAAGCTTAAAGCAAATCTCATTAAACTTTTTAATAATAAACAAATCGATTGTCCAACATCACTGTAAGATGATAAAAGTGTCTTGTATATTGGTAAAGATAAAGCTGGGTTATGCTGTGATAGCAAATTAATCCTGAAATTTTAGTGGCTTAACAGAGCAGATGTTTATTTCTCACTCATGTTCCATGTCCACAGCGGCTCTGCAAGGGGACTCTGCTCCACACAGTCACTCAAGAAGCCAGGATGACAGAGGCTCCACTACCTTGTAGCTGTACCATCTGGAATATGTGACCTCATGAGTCATCACAGAAAGGTAAAGTGAGAACCGGAGAACTCACCCCTCATCTCTATACTTTGGCCCAGAAGTAATATGCTTTATTTTTGCATACAGCCCATTAGCTGGAAATGATTGCGTGTCTCACATAATTGCAAGGGAATTGGGAAATAGACTCTTCCTATATATCCATCAGGAGAAAGAAGGGACCCAACATTGTTTACTTGAGGGATAGAATTCAAGTCCCTGCCTTAATGGAACTTACAGTCTAGGGCAGTGGTTCCCAAATTTTAGGATGTGGAAGAACTAGCTAAGGGCTTTGTTTAAAAATACAGATTCTTCACCCCTACCTCCACAGGCTGATTGGAAAAGTCTTGGGAAAGCTTTGAAATATATATGTTTTGTACATTCCCCAGGTGATGCAAGTGTTCTGTGGACCACACTCTGGAAAACAATTATCTAGTGCCTGGATTTGGCCAAACAGGCCATTTCCACCCAAGAACTTGGCCACTGCCAGTGCCATGCATATTCTGACTCCTGTGTGCTCTCTGAGGGCACACATCAGTCTCTCTAAAAAGCGGTGATGTTTGATTTACTTCCTGAAAGCACATACCTGGATGGGCTGGTCTTACAAGGGAAGGCCAGGCTGCCAGCTACAGCTGTGTTGGGGTGCCCATCCCCATGGAGGGATCCAATACCACACTACACACATTCCTGCAAGTCAGGAAGACTGTGGTCCTGACTAGAGCAAATTCTGAAACATGAGCTTTCGCAAGTTGGAAAATAATTCAAAATTGAGTAGATCTGAAAACACTAACTGGCTATAAGGCTGGTGAGTGAGTGAGTGAAACAGTGACCCAAAAGGGCAGTAGCCTTATTTTTGTGTAACATATGAAGAAACATTTGACTTCTCAGCAACTGATATGAGGGAGGTACTATGTGTGCCAAAGAGCGGCTCAGATGAGCACTTTGAGGGCTGAAGTAAGCAGGAGTCCAAACATTATGCAAAAGAATATGCACCAGCAATCTGTGGACAGCAGAGCCTTGGTTAAAGAGGGAAAGCTGCTCCCAGACCAACAGAGGTCAAAGATAGAAATTATTCTGAATTATTTTTAAAAGAGGAGAGGAAAGAGCACCATGGCTTAGAAATGTCTGAGGGACAGGTGACTGGCAAAAGCATCCTGGCAGGCTAAAGAAGTGTTTAATTTATTAGGTGTTTTGCTGCATGGTATGCAATAAAACCATCGTTTGGGCCTAATCTCCAGGAAAATCTCTATTGCTCACTAATGCTTGGCAGAGTGAATTTTCTTTGCAGGAGGGCTGAGTCCTTTGTGAAAAATGTAAACCAAAGGGCAGTGAGCCATTCTCCCTGCTCCACTCTGGGTCACTCCACAACTTAGAGGCTCTGGGCCTTTCAAATGATCTCTGAAGAACTGCTGGACCTGGGTGAACAGAGGAAAAGTCAGTAATAGCTGGATGAAGCCATGGGGCAGTACCAGTGCTTGGCAGGAGTACAAGTGACAGTGATCACCAGCAGATGAGTAGGCCTATGAGGCTTGACACTAAATGCAGGAGAGACAGCATCAGGAAGCTCCCCAAATACTTAGGGCAGGGTGAATTTATTTAATAGGGATTGAAGCTAGGGCATAGGAAGGAAGGAGCTAGAATCAAAGGTAATTTCGATTATGCCACTACCCTAAACAGTTGGCCATGACAATAAATGTAGTAGCAATAATAATGATAATTATAATAGTAAAGAACATTTATGTAGGACTACTACATGCAAGTCTTGTTCTAATCACTTTACAAATATTAATTTATCTATCCCCACAATTTATAAAGTAGGTATATTATTGCCCCCATTATACGAGAACATTGAGCGCAGAAAGAGGGAGTTGCTCAAGGTTGCACAGCCTGCAATGGAAAGCCATCATGGGGATTTAGGCAGCATGCCTTCAAAGTCTATGTTCTGAACTGTTTCCTTTTAATATACGTAAAAGTGCTTTATGAAATAAATGTTAAGGGGCTGAACAATGTAATGTATCACTAGGCTCCTGGATGTCTAGACAAGAGATATTAAAAGAAAAGAAAGGAAAAACCAACCCAAGAACTGAGGAGTTTCTAGGAGGTGGAGAAAATTGCAACTTAAATATATTCCCTGCGACCTCCCCCAGGTGGCAGAAATGCTCACCATTCCAGCCTCTCAGCCCTGTTTCACAGTAACAATTGCTATTCCAGGCACTTCTCTTTGGCAGCTCACAAAAATCAATCAATCTTTAGAGATTGTTATGAACAAGACCAAGCATAGTTTATACTCAGAAAGTCACAGGGCCGGAGAGAGAACCCCAAAACGGGAGCATCGAGGGCAGTAGTGGATTGGACTTATTCAGCACCAGCAATCTATGGACAGCAGAGCCTTGGTTAAAGAAGGAAAGCTGCTCCCAGATCAACAGAGGTCACAAAAAGATGCGAACAGAACTAAGGTTCAGTACTAGAAGCTAGGAGTCCTATGTGAGCACACGCAGAAACACAAGAACCAACACCAAAAGGCTGACCAAATCTGCAGCATCACATCAGCCAAAAACCCTCTAGTGTCAGACAGAAAACCTTTGTACAGAATCTGGAATATGATACTGAAAATCCTTCCTCCAGGTGACTCCAGGCCCAAAGATCAGAGCAGCTTAGGCTTTGCCTGCACCACAGCCAAGATAACACCCCCTGAAGGCACATGATGTGTTTCTAAAGCTCTGCCAGGCAAAGGAGACACCCCTGCAGCATGTGAGAAAGGCATTTCTGATGTCTGTGTCTACATTTAGTCTTTGTTGATGTATTTATGTCAGATCTTGATCATCACACTTTTCCATAATTTAGGCTGTTTTCCTTCCAAACACACTAAATACATGTTACTGCTAAGAAACTGAGCTCTCAATTTACACTGTTTTGCACTCATTTCTTAAAATATCTTGGTGACATCTCATGGTGAACCACAAAGCTATTCCTGATGGAATTCCTATCTGGATGGTGAGGGAAAGTAGATGGGCCTTCCTAGGAGCACCTTTAGAGAAGGTTAATCCTCCACAGTCATCTCACAAGGTATCTCTCTATCATGATCAATATATACCAGGAACCCCAGAGAAAGCCAAGTCTCTTAGACTTTGTTCAACTTTAAACAAGTCCAGTTAAACAGACCCCAAGCTAGCCCACCCTGACTGAAAAAGACTCTAGCAATCTAACCTCCTTCTCCTCCCGGTGTGGCCCCTCCAGTAAGGAATGGAGGCTGAACCTGCTCAGACAGCCTGTTTCTCCTGTCTCCATGGCTAGGTTGGAAGGCAACTCTGTGGCATCATCCCCTTTAAGAATGAAGCACTGTGCACTAATTATCAGGAAAATGCCACTTACAACCACAAGGAGATATCACACCTGTTAGAATGGATATTAGCAACAAGACAAGAGATAAAAAATGTTGGTGAGACTGTGGGGAAAAAAAAGGGAACTTTTGCACACTGTTGGTGGGAATATAAATTAGCACAATAATCGTGGAAAACAGTATGGTGGTTCCTCAAAAAATTAGAAGTAGAACTACCGTATGATCCAGCAATCCCACTACTGGATATATATCCAAAGGAAATGAAATCAGTATGTCAAAGAGATATCTGCACTTCCATGTTTATTGCAGCACTATTTACAATAGCCAAGATATGAAATCAAACTGTGTCCATCAATGAATAAACATTGTGTATATATACACAATGGAATATTGTTGGAATATACGGAAAATACCTTGGAATATATATGGGTATATATATATACATAAATACATTCCAACAATACTGTTGGAATATATGGAATATACATTACTATATATATACACAACAGAATATTGTTGAGCCTTAAAAAAGAAGGAAATCTCATCATTTGAAATAACATAGATGAACCTGAAGGACATTATGTTAAGTAAGCCAGGCACAGAAAGATGAATACTGCATGATCTCACTTATATTTAGGATGTAAAATAGTTGAGCTCATAGAAATAGGGAATAAAATGGTGGTTACCAGAGGCTGGGGGCAGGGAGTGGGAGGACTGAGGAGATGTCAGTCAAAGGTCACAACATTTTAGTTACATAGGAGGAGTAAGTGCAAGAAATCTATTGTGCATCATGGAGACTACAGCTAATAACATATTGTATATTTGAAAATTGCTAACAGAATGGGTTTTTTGCCAAAAATAGGTATGTGAACTAATGCATATGTTAATCAGCTTTATTTAGCCATTTTACCACATATGCATATATCAAAACACTATGTGATCTACCATAAATATATACAATTTTTACTTGTCAATTAAAATAAACATTTTTAAAATAAATTAATTTTTTAAATGGGGACAAAAGAAGAAAGCACTTTGCATGTAACTGGATCCACAAGTAGTCTCCCTGAAACTGTGCTCTGAGAAGCAAAGGAAACCACTAGACAGATCAATCCCAGACAAACCAAATCTCTGCAATTAGAAACTCCACAACCCCGCTCCTGCAACCCACCAACATGGCAAAATTTGGTATCTGGGGTGAAGAAGCAAGAATAGGAAGTATCGGGGAGAAGTTTGGGCTGGAAGAACTTTTGTACATTCAGATATCTGTGGGAAGTGCCTTCCTAATAATGCCCACTGGTGACTCCCTCTCTCCTCTCCACCCAGTAGTCCACCATCCAGCAGTCTCTGCTGATGCAGCACAAGGTCTGGTTCCCCTCCTGGAACCCGAGATTCTCCACATTTTACCTTAGCCTACTCACCTGGCTCCCACTCTCTTGCTACCTTCTGAGCCTACTAACTGCTGGCTTGTCTCCATGCATGTGTTAGCTCACTATATCATCACCACACCCTACAGGGTAGACTCTATTCTTACTCTCCTTTTAAGGGTGGGAAAAGAGTAGCATGTCTAATGTCACACAACTACAAAGTTATAGAACCAGGGACTGCATCCAGATAGTCTAACCATAAGCCCACCATCACCATGAAGCAAACCATAAGCACTTTGTGTCCCCACACAGATGCCCTTCCTTCCCTAGTCCACTCTGCTCATCCTTCCAGGCCCTGCTCAGACACCAACTTCTCCACAATTGCCTCCCACATCCCCCAAGTTGGACTCACTCGTGCATTTCTACATCATGCCTAACACTTCTCTTGGAAGTCTTAACAGTCTGGGGTATAACTTGGGCTTGTTTCCTTCTCGTATACTTGTAAGAGTGACTTATATTACACTCTAGGTTCTCCACACATGAGCTGTGTCACCTTGAGGGAGCCACTTTACCTCTCTGAGCCGATCTCCTTATTTATAAAATAATGTCTACCTTCCAAGTTGCTGGGCGGATTAAAGCAGAGCACATTTATAACTCACCTGTCACAGTGCCTGGCACACAAAAGGCACTCCTTGAATGTCAAGTGGAATATTATTCTGTAAGGTGTAAAAAGGTGGGCTTAGTTGTGTGATGTGAGAGAAGCTACTAACTCTTAAAGGAGAGTAAGAATAGAATCTACCCTGTAGGGTGTGGTGATGATACAGCTAGCTAATGCATAGTCTGGCATAAAGTGAGTGCTCCATAAATGTTACCTGCTATTGCTGGCAGCCACTGTCCCCTCCTGGAAAGCAGCAGCTGTGCCTCCTACACCCCACCTAGCATCAGGCCTGGTGCACAGCAGAGGAGCTGAAGCAAACCATAAACGCTCATCTCAACCTTCCTCCAACAAGCAGCTCCAGATAGCAGGGAAGAGTTTGCCAAATGTGTCTTCAGTGTCCTTCAGTTATCTATCTTCACATCACAAAATGGCAAAATCAGAACGTTTAGCCATCTCAACCACCGGCACATTTCACAGGTGAGGATGGAAGAACTGAATCCTGAGAAACTCCTCTGAGGTCCACAGTGCATGCATTTCCTCTCTCAGCTGGACTTTCCCAGTAGAAACGACTGTCATTACTGAAATGTCAGTTTTCCCCTCCTGCCCTTGTCTAGCCCCTCGGGTGCCACTGGGTGTTGCTCACAAACCAGGGGTGATGCTTCATGTCCATGTCTAAGTGTGGTCAGACCATAGTTTGCACAGAGCAGGAAAGGGGATCTTAAATGAGAGGCCTCTCCTTTTGGTGGAGGTGAAAGTGTTATAGGGTCCCCTGTACCCCTCCCTACAGTGTTGGCTCTGAGCTCACTGTTCCCTGCAGACCAGGTGGGGAAGGGCCTAGAGGGAACTTCCATGTGAGCTCTGCACCAACCACAGGATGGGCTGTCAGCAGCAGGTTCACACCTATGACCTCCTTTAACCCTCACTGCCACACAGCATCATTGTTTCTGTCTACAGACAAAAGTGATGAGGCTAGGGTACGGGGAGGAATTTACTTGACCCACTTTGCACAGTTTACTTGGAGATTCCAAGAGTCCATTTGTAAGTAGTAACAATTGATCCATGTGTGAGAAGTGGGATGCCTGTTTGCTTCTGCTGCATGGCCATGGAGAAGACGTTTCTTCTGGCCATGATGAGGACCTGGTCCTCTGAGGGAGGGTTGCTTCAGCTCTGGCATGCTATCACAAATGAGTGATCACATGTTTGGTGATTCTTAACTACACCAAAATGAGTTATTCAATCTTGGAGTCCCACTGATTCTTTATTGCCTCTTCCATTTGATGGACTTAAGAAACAACAACTTCTTTCTGCTGATATGCAAGGTGCTTCTGGATGTGCCTGGAGGTATAGGTTTGTCCTCTGCTCTCCTTGTCACAAGCTGAGTACTCCCTGGGTCTCCTCACCTGCAATACTTATGCCTGGCTCTGACTGTGGCCTCTCTGGCTGAACCAGCCACTTGGACTTTCTACTCTCTCACTTTCTTCCCTTTAAATTTTTACTCAGCCTGTGTTTATCTCAGGCCTTCATCCTCTAATGCTGGACTTTTAAGTGCTCTTCGGGATTCCTGCAGTTCCTGACTTTTAAACCCAATCATTATCTTATTTGCTAAGCACTGCTGGAGGTGCAATAAAGTAGAATGGGCACCAACTGTGGAATCAGACACACCCAGGGAGAATATTGAGCTCTGCTACTTACCAGCCTGGACAAGTTAGGTAGCTTCACTGAGCCTCAGTTTCCCCATCCATAAAATGGGGCTGAAAATAGTAACCTCATGGTTGTGAAAACTATGTAAGAGTATACGTGTGGCTGGCACACAGCAATTTCTCAATAAACTCTAGCTATACATTTTACTAAAGACCTTGCTGCCTAAATGAAATGAGCAGATGTGACCGGTGCCCTGATGTTGTGTCCACTTGTCCTAACTCAGAAGTCTTCTGGGGACAGTTTCTGTATGCACCAATGGCCACAGGACAATGCTGGGGAGTTAGCAGCCCAGGAACAAGCCTCAATTACTGAGGGATGGGAGTTGGTGGATAAATTTTCTAGATTCCTCACCCCAGTGGAGTAATCTAAAGAATGTTCAACACCACCACTCAGAAGGCTACAGTCGGACTGAGCTCCAATTGCCCACAGCTATTGCTCCTCCCTTACTTGTCACACTTCCCCTACCTAGTCATAGTTTGTCCTGTTATCTTCTCCCAAAGAAACTACTTACACCCAAACCCTTGTCTCAAGGTCTACTTTAGATGGAACAAAAACACAGATAAATGAATGAACTCCCCATTGCAATCTAGTGCATTCAGTGCTATGATGAGCTGTGGCACTGAGGGCATCATTCTAGTTTAAGGGATGCATAAAAACAACCCATTCTGGGAGCTCCTGCCAGAAATGACCACAGTCTACCCGAGCACTATCAATTTTTACTGAGTGCCTATTTTGTACCAGGCACTCTGCCAGGTGCTAGCAATAGTACCCAACTTCTATCCTGGAAGAACTTACTGACCAGAGGAAAGTGGCAATCATAATTATGTGCTCAGTGCTGCAGCAAGCATCTGCTTGGGGATTGTGGGATGGGGGCTGTGTCAGAGACAGGACTGATAAACTGAAAGCCTGAGTGGTGGATAGCCAATAGCTGGGCTGTTGGGATGCTCCAAGGTCTCTAGGCTGAGGGTCTCTGTGAGCTTCTATATCAGAGTCATTGCCAGAAATGTTAGATATTGATGCTACCTTTCCCATGGTAAGACTGACCAGGAGTTCTGGCTCTTGGGAGCTGGTATGGAGCTACATTATATTTTGTAAACAGCCTAGAATTTGGAGTGTGAATTCCAGCCCTGTCTCAGCTTCTTGCTACCTAAGTCACTTCGTCTTTATAGACCTCAGTTCTGCAATATATAATCTCTCTTGGCTGTCATGCAAATTAGGAAAAATAAATTATGTAAACATCCAGGGACTGAGACCTGATGATCAGGTGAAAAACATACCTGAGAGGTCAGTGGGAACTAGGGGGAAATGATGAATGAAAATTTGAATGTGGACTTAGCAGATCTCCCATGTCCCAGACGGACATGGGCTTCCTGAGAGATGTTTTTGAACTGGGTGCTTAATGTAATATCTGGATAGTGGGAATTATGCCTAATCTCCAAACCTGGTTTTAAAACACAGGGTCACTACCCCTCAGTGAACCCCTAACCCTGAGCCAGACTGAGACTCCCCAACCCAGGGTCCTAGAGCTCTGACTGGGCTAGGATTCTGCATGGAGAGAATGTTCACTGTTAAGCCTCAGAAGGGTTTAAGACCCACATTGAACCTCATTACATTCACTCCACTTTTTTTAACACAATGAGTAGAAGCAAACCAGATGTCACCTTTTCAAATAATTTATACTTCTCACAGAATGTGTCAGCATAACAAAAAATCATCCAGTAATCCAGGATAAAACCATTTAAACTACCTAAGTTAATCCTTTCTGTTAACACACACACCACACACATAACTGGGGGTGAGAGCAGCAGGTCATTGTGCTTAACCCCCAGGAAGGTGCTAAGATGGTCTCACTCCCTGGAAGATCTCTGTGCATTACCCTGGAAGGAACCCTACATGAGGATCCTTGTAACAGTGAGGTCCACAGCCTCTGGCCTGAGACTCAATCTTTAGGTATTAGGACAGCAAAGGAAAGCATGGACCATGACACAGGAGTGAGTGTCCATTGGGCTGTGAACTTTTATCCTTAGTGAACCCTAATAGTCTCCCTCTCCCCTTCTCCCTCTTTCCTCCTCTCTCCCTCTCTCCCTTTCACTCTGACTCCTGTGTGTTTGCTCTGATGAAGCAAGCTGGAGATGTCCACAATGGTCAGGAACTGAGGATGGCATCTCCTCAACATCCAGCAGGGAACTGAGGCCCTCAGTCCAACAGCCTTCAAAGAAATGAATGCTGCCAGCCACCACGTGAGCTTGGAAGTGGATCATTTCTCCAGTTGATCCTTCAGGTGAGACTGCAGTCTCATTCAACACCTTGATTTCAACCTTGCAGAGGCCCTGAAGCAAAGACCCAGCTAAGTTGTGCTCAGATTCCAGACCCACAGAAACTGCAAGGCATTAAAGGTGTGTTATTTTAAGCTGCTAAATTTCGGGGTAAGTCAGTATGCGCAACAGAAAACTAGTATACCTGATATATTAATTAATAACATGTAGACATACGTATCTGTTATGGATTAGTACTGACAGGGCTCTGGGACCATAATTAGGACTTATTCATAATTCATACATAAAACCATTCTATAGTCAGCAACAGAGAAAGGTAAGAAAAAATGAATTTGAGTAGAAAATGGCATTCTGTGGCATCACAAAAAATAGTAACCAATATTTCTGGCAAGTACACCTGTGCCAGATCCCCCCATGCAAATCATCTCATTTAATTCATACCATGCCTTGTGATGTTGGCACCCTTCCCATCCCTGTTTTATAGCTGAAAAAAATGAACTCAGAGAGGTTAAGTAATTTATCCAAGCTCACACAGATACTTTTGAGCACCAGACTATCAGCCCAGGCCTCTCTGACTTTAGAACCTTCCCTCTTAACCATGCATCATAACCCTCTGTAGGCTACAAGTGGGGTAGGAGCCTTTTACAGGCTGTGAGAATGAGAGGGAGGATCCACCTCAGACTCCATTTTCCACATCCATGACATGAAGTATGGCAGCTCCACAAAGAACCCTCCAGATCCTGAGACTGTGGGTGGAGCACAGTGTCCAGTAAGTCTTCAGTAAGCCCCTTAATCATGCAATAAGCTATATGCATCATGTTTTATTATAATATTAATGACAATAAAGAATTATTAGAAGAATAAAATTAAAACCCCTGAGGCAGAGAGAACTCTAGCCTGGAAATCAATTGCAGTGAATGTTGCCGAATTTATAGACTTAAAGGATTCGAAATTCCAAGGATGTTTCAGACTCTTCGCCTTCCTATATTTCCTCACTCAGATAACCCACCAAAATGTCTGCAGAGTGATTCCATATGGAAAATCTTGACTTTCTAGTCAAAACATCCTAGCCCATCTGATAGTTGTTCACTTATCCGGTCTCACCTCTGCCCTAACCACACATACATCACATGTTCTAGTCTAGTGGGTCAGGGATCTGCGAGCAACCTAGTTGGATGCTTCTGGCTAAAGGTCTTTCTTGAGATTATAGTCATGGAGTCAGTGAGATCTACCCTCTTCTCAAGTCTCAACTGGAGCTAAAGGCTCTACATCCAAGCTCATTCATATGGTTGTTCACAGGTTCATTTCCTTATGGACTGCAGCACTGAAATACTCAGTTCCTCACCATTCTCTGGGGGTGTAGGATTGCTCACAACATGGCAGCTTGCTTTACTCAACACCAGTGAGATGAGAGGGAGAGAGAGAGAGAGAGAAGGAGAGAGAGCAAGAGCAAGAGAGATAGAGAGAAGGCATTGCCTTTTATAACCTAATCTTAGAAGTGGCATCCATCACTAATGACATTCATTAGAGAGAGTCTGCAAGGCCAGCCCACACTTAAAAGGAGGGGATTACACAAAGGTGTACCTACTAGGAGGCTGGGATCACTGGAAGCAATGTTAAAGTTTGCCCACTATTCAGTTAGTTCTCATGATCAATAAGGAATCTCATGATTAATAAGAAATGAGTGGCCTTTCCCCTTTTCTGCTTGTTGAGCAGCTCTCCAGGAGCCTGGATCAACATGGGGATCTGTGACTTGCTAAACATCATGGAAAACAATGATCTCTTTTGATTATCAGTGTCTCTCCTTGAAATAAGTTTGTTCGCCCAAGAGCTCTCTCTGTCTCTTCTCTTCCAGGACATTGAATGGAGGAACCATCTTCTTGAAGAAAGACCATGTATGTTTTGGGATGACCATCACTTTCCTGGCCAGAGTGCTCTCCTTCTACCTTGTGGTCCTTCCTATGGATATCCTATCACTCCCCATCCCTTTCTCTTTTGAGCCCATGTCTCTTCTTTTTCCTTCTCTCTCTCTCTCTTTTTCCAGGCCTATTTCACTGAGTCAAATTCCAGTTTAAAAAAAGGCATTCTGTCCTTTGGTGTAGTCGCCAATGGCATGAATTATGGAGCCAGATTGCATGGGTTAGAATTCCAGGTCTGCCATTTACTAGATGTGTGACATTGGGCAAGTTATTTAACTTATTTGGACTTTCTTCATCTATAAAATTGTGATAATAGTGTACACATCTCACAGTGTTGCGAAGATTTACAAAGTACTTAGAACTGCCTGATACATAGGGTTATGAAGATGCTTTTTGAATGAATAAATGAACGAATGATCTCACCAAAGAATGTGGCAGAATAAAATTAATAATTAATGTCCTTACCCTTATATAGTGAATTGTTTATAAAATGCCTTCATATACAGATCCTCTCTTATTTGTAATGTAGTATTTATTATCCAATTTTGCAGATAATTAAAATATAAAGAGGTGAAATGCCCTGTCCAAGGTCACATGGAGAATTAGTAACAGAGCTAGGAGTAAACTGGGTCTTCAGATCCTGATTACTCTACACTACGCAGGAAAGTGGATATTCCTCCAAGCTAATGTCTGGCATCTTTTTCAAGTCACTACAGTTCTTATTCTCTCATAAGGGTAAATCAACAATTAAATGAGCAGCATGAGGTCCCTGTTGATGGAGTTGGCTCACAGCAACATCTTTTTCAGTATGTTGATTAGTCACAGAAATCTTGAGATGCCTCAGAGGGCTAGGTATGCAGGTGATTCTATGCCATCATCAGCTGGCTGAGACATGGGGCCCAGAAGGTGCAATAAAGGTTCAGATTGGATCCACACCTGCCCATCTTGAAGAAATACTTTGCTGTCATTATATATTAGCTTCTTGTATTTCCCATATCTTAATGGGTCTGCTGAGAAATCTTGCCAAATTGGTTTGACATCTGTAAAATAAGGAGCCAGAACTTGCTCCCACCTTGAAGGAAAGGACCATTTCTTATCTAACCCTGAATTCCCAGCATCTAACTAGTGCCTAGTGATTATGTGCTCTGAAGATCTACTCATGAATGATCTTTGAAGTCTCTCTCAGATCTAGCATTTAAAAACATTGACAGCAAAGACAGAGACAAAAAAATAAAACCAATTAAAAACAGACACAATAACTCAATGAGATCTATCTGGAGCCAACCATACAGGGGTAAACAGGCTTAAACATTTCAGCAGGTCCTGGGGGCATCAGTGTGTATTCCTATATAGTCAACAAATGTCCATGGTGATGATCCCAAGTTACCCGTAGATAGTCCAGTCTTATTTAAGGAGGCATTGGCTATTGTTGTTTGATGAACCATGTGGTTACAGTCTGGATGTTTGTGTCCTTCAAACCTCATGTTGAAATTTGTTCCCCAATGTTGGAGATGAAGCCTAATGGAAGGTGTCTGGGTCATGGAGGTGGATCCCTCATGACTAGATTAACGCTATCCCTGGGGGTGAGGAGACAGACTGATTTCTCACTCTATTATTTCTCAAGAGAGGTGGTGATTAAAAAGAGCCTGGCACCTCACTTCTTTATCTTTCTTCCTCTGTCACCATGGGATGTCCGCACAGGTCGGCTCTCCTTCTGCCACGAGTGGAAGCACCCTGAGGCCCTCATCAGATGCAGATACCCAACGTTAAACTTTTCCAAACATCAGAATTAGGAGCCAAATAAACTTTTTTCTTTATAAATTACCCAGCCTCAGACATTTTTTTATAGCAACACTAAACAGACTTAGACACCTGTTAATTACAGAACCTCCACACTGAAAAAATAATCTGCTGAAGACAAGATCTGATAACCAATAAAAGCACCATAAATTCAATTCAATTGACATTTCTGGATACCTATTATGCATCAGATACTGTGTGAGTTTGGGTTCTCTGAGAAGCAGACACCAGGATGGGATTGGATATGTAGGATGTTATTGGGGTAAATTCCTAAGGATGACAAAGGGAGCAAGGGCAGGTGGGGAGAACTCTCAGACAGATGCAGTGTGACACCTGTGAGAGAGGGATGGAAAGAGGGAAGAAAGATCTCAGATCACAATGCAGTTCTGAGATCGTATCAGCCAGGCCAATAGAGAGAACCCAGACAAAGTTTCTGTTGGAAGAGCTCCACACTGGGCACAAGTGGTGTGGCTCTAGTTCTCCTGAAATGTTTGGTCTTGAACTAGAAGCAATGTAGGGGAGACTTGGCCTTAGCCTGAGCACCATGGACAACCCAAATGCACAGCACCTGGAGCCTGCCAGTCAACCTGCCTCAGGTCCTCTTGAGGGCAGTGACACAGGTATATGGAAGTAACAGGTGGTCTCCTAAATTCCAGAGGTAAAGACCTTCATGAGATACTGTGTTTTTCTTTGAAGAATTTTGTTTCACTTAAGGAAAAAAGATCATAAACAATGATAAAAATATGAGAAGGGACATATGTTGCAGAGAAGAATGAATCATCAACTTATTTGGGCAAGGAAAGGAGCCTAAGAGAAGTCTTCAGAGAGGATAAGACAACTGTTCAAAGTGTTGAGAAATGATAGCTGGGATGGGGTGGCAGGAAGTAGATGACTGATGGACTGACCTGTGTGAAAAAAACAGATTTTAAAAATCAAACTGCCTCCATCTGTGAAGATGTAGCTTGAGAGGCACCCTAATCAAAGTCTACAAATTCATAAAGGCAGAAGAGAAGGTGGAAATGAAAGTGTGCATCAAATCCCACAACCAAAGAATGAGGATAGAATGTTTTACAGCAGATGAGAAAAAAAGGCTCACTTTAAACTGAACGTTATCACCCTTAACTGCTAATCAAAACAAACCAAAGGTGTTGCAGCAATGCCCCTGTCATCTGACCCTACCAGGAGAAGAGTTTCTTCATGCTATACAATGTCCATGCGACAGGATGGGCTTCTTTCAAAGATAACTATAAAAAAATCAAGCATGTAAAAGAGAGATTTTTCTGAAATGAATTGACCAATGCTCTGCCTTCTTAAGCATCATTCCAATTTTTTCAGATGACTCAGATGAGTTTGCTATGAGCATGAGAATGACTGTGGTCAGTTACAGCAATACCCTCAAATCCAATAAGGTGGAGAACTATTTGCGCTTACACCAAATAGCTCCAAATATCCCACTTTGAAATAGCCTTGTCACCTTCTCCCTCCACTATCTAGCAATCAGTGGATCCTTCTTGCTGCTTACAATGAATTTGCTCCTATGAAATTTGGATCTACTATCCCTTCTAATTCATTGCTTCTAATTTCTAGGTGGAAAAACCTGGTAACCATTTTCTCATTTAAATTGTACTTAATATGGGACTAAGAACACTCTGAATGAAGAACTGAGGTCCTTTTCTATGAGTAAGCTGACTGAGAGTTCATGAATTTAATGACATCTATTTTTGCACGTGCTGCCTAGGAGATGGGGAGTATTTGTTTCTTGGCTCCAAGCTATAGTCTAGATAACTGAGGTTGCTGAGTAAGTGACTTCTGGATGAATGAGATCCTAGATGATCTCACCACGAAGCACAGTTAAGGGAAACCCAGGCATTTAAAACTTTGCTGTCCCACAAATATCCAGGTACAATAAAAATAAAAGACCTTGAGCCAGGAGTGTGTTGAAGCTGGCTACGTCAGCTTACAAGACTCCATTTTTCAATGGTAGGTACGTTACAAACAGATTGATAGCAAGTTAGTAGCTTGAAATCAGGCATGATGTGAGTTTTCCACTACAGAAATCAACAAATGCTACAATTTAGGGGGGAGGGGAGTTCCTTTTCTTTTTTTCAGAGAGTCTGTTGTTAAACATTTACCAAGTGCACCACCACCTTGCACTGTACCTGGAACACAGTAGCTACTCTGGATGCGTGAATGGGTGTGTGTGTGTGTGTGTGTGTGTGTGCATGTGTCTGTTGTGTTTACTTTCTGTCATTTGAATTACACTTAAACTCTTTTCTCTGATCCCAACCTCCCACACTAATTCCTGCCACCATAATTCAATCCCTTCCCCACTTCCCTACCCATGATAAAGCAGCCCAGCATTTGATTTCACCTTACTAATGGAAGGACACCATCTAGTGACAGAAATAGTAAAATAATCTCTGTAATGTAGTCTTCACTACAGCAGGGTTAGACAAATTACTGCCATGAGGCCAAATCTGGCCCTCTGCCTGATTTTGTAAATAAAGTTTTATTGGAACACAGCCATGCCCATTCACCAACAAATCCATGGCTGTTTTCACACTACAACAGCAGAGTTGAGTAGTTGTGACAGAGATGGTATGACCTGCAAAGTCCAGCCCTTCCCTGAGAAAGTTTTCTGACCCCAACCTTCAGAACAGTTATATAAGCTGCTTTCCTTACACTTATCCACCTGTATTCATAGACCTCAAGGCCCTCGGATTTATTGGCTCCATGACATTTGATGCCCTACTGTTATATAGGTAGGCCATCTCCAAGACCCCTGTTATAAATAGTTCTGAAGTGAAGGGATGTCATGTTCACTGTAAAATTGTTGAAGTGTTCCTAAGGTAAAGCGCTCACTCCATCACCAGAAGAAAAATGCTCACAGAATATCTCTGTCATTCACTGCCTGTGTTGTTTGGGGCAAAGTAATGAACACTTCTGAACCTCAGCTCCTTCATCTGGTAGTTGGAACTAACAGTATTATTTGCCTTCCTGGGTTGTTGTGGGGAACAAATGAGATAATTTATTAGCTAGCCTTTCACAAGCTACAAAAACAAGTTCAGTAATGTTGGGTGTTATTACCTATATCACCAAGGGATGTGGTATATGACTTTCCTCATTAATTACCCAGGGCTCTGTGGAGAACACAAGTTCTTATTTTAAATGTGTTTCAGAAAGGCATCTCCAAACCACACATCTAGTCCTACATCCCACAGATGCCCTTAGAATGTGAATGCTTCCTAGTCCCCACCCCAGACCTAGTTGTGGCTTAGAAACAAAGGATATGTCTGGGGGATGGGGGATAAAAGTGTTAAGCGTCAAACGTGGGACATCCCCAGAATAGGATGTCTTTGGCCCCACAGTATCTTAGGGTCTGAGCCAGAGAAGAGAGATTGTTTAAAAGAAGCAGAGAGGAGGGCTGCCTAGCCTGCCAGGGGAGGAAACTCTGTCAAATGCCCCCAGGAGAAGAGCTGAGTAGCAAAGCTCACACCCATGAAGGTAGGAACATAACCCTGAGGGATATGGCTCCTCTGGCCTCCAGCAAGCCCCAGGGTCAGCTGTCCCCAGTGCCATCTCTGAGAAGGGTGTCCCCAGATGGCAGGGTTCTACTCTCCTTTATGCCAACTGTCTTTGGCATCTCCACCTTCCTTTGTCCTTGCTCCTCTCAGCCCGTGTGCGCACATGCACACACGCGTGCACACACACATTGTAAGTGCCCCCAATGATGATCCTTCAGCACTCCCCATTCTCATGCCCACAGACTTGACTTCCCACTGAAAACACCTGCAACTCTGCCTGCTTGGCCCTCTGGACAGGCTGGAGGTATCAGAGTTCATGCCCCCCACCAGAGCCTAAGGGCAGCTGGTGTATAAACACCCCTGCTCTCTTGCCTCTCAGTGAGAATAACTCAGGTGTGGCACACACTCTCCGAGAGATTCCCTGAAGGACTGAGCCCCATTTCCCACAGCAGCAACATGCTGAATGAGCTACCTGTATTGGCTTGCTTTATTCCTCCTTTTCCCCACATATGCACTGGTGCTTCCCGGAATCACTACCCAAATAAACTACTAGCACCCACTTTCTTGTTCCAATGTCTACTTCTAGAGTGTCCAATCTAAGACATCCTG
Source organism: Homo sapiens (assembly GCF_000001405.40). Lineage (NCBI taxonomy): Eukaryota > Metazoa > Chordata > Mammalia > Primates > Hominidae > Homo > Homo sapiens. The sequence goes on along the minus strand of NC_000020.11, from coordinate 42,026,339 downwards.
TTATGACTACCTACTTTATCCCAGGCTCTCTACCAAGAAACTCATAATAGAAAAGGAGAAGACAAACACTTTATGGTGGCGTAGAAGGCCCAGCATGGTCTGGCTCCTGTCTCCCCTTGTGATCTCACCTCCAATCACTCCCTGCTCCCTCACTGTTCTTTAGTCACGTGAGCACATTTGCAGTTCCTCCATCATCCCAATCTTATTTGGCCTCAGGACTTTTTCTCTGCCTGAAACAATCTTATCCCATCCCTTTACCCAGGTGACTTTTCAGCCTTCAGATCTTACCTTAAATGTTACATCTTCAGAGAAGTCTTTTCTAACCACCTTACCTAAGTAGGACTCTCCCTTCATCCTCATTATCCTATCTAAATATTTTATTCATTTACTGATTTAAGAGCATTCATAAAAATTAGTAATTGTTGGCTCCATTGTTTGGTTACTTCTTTAGTAACTATCTTCCTTTCTAGAATGGGAAGGGGCAATATCTGCTTTATTTACTTTTGTATTACTAGTGCTAAGCATAGTGCCTGGAATGTAATAGGCATATAATATATATTTATTAGATCATTGGATGGATGAAGCTCAGAGCTAATACTTTTCATCTTCCAATATCCTTATTTGTGTACTCACCTTGCCCTCACCAAACGCTCACAAATGTGATTACAATCTCCTTGGGGGTATGACCATATTTTTTGTGTCCCCAAAGAACTTTAAATAGATCAATTAATCAAATCCTATTTCTTGAGGCCAGGTGGGGTGGCTCACACCTGTAATCCCAGCACTTTTGGAGGCCTAGGCAGGAGGATCACTTGAGGCCAGGAATTTGAGACCAGCCTGGGCAACATAACGAAACCCCATCTCTACAAAAATACAAAAATTAGCTGGCCACGGTGGTGCATGCCTGTAGTCCCAGCTACTCGGGAGGTGGAGATTACAGTGAGTCGCGATCACACCACTGCACTCCAGCTTGGGCGACAGAGGGAGACTGTCTCAAAAAAAATCCTATTTGTTGACAGGACAAATGGAAGGAGAAAGATAAATAATTCAGAACTCCCTAGTCCTGTAACTTCCTTTTGCACCATTCTATGACTGTGGAAGAGGAAGTGTCTTCTGCAACTCAGTTTCATTATCCATACAATAAGCACAGGAATCCCAATTCAGTCTCACACAGCAGATTTTGTGTGTGTGTAAGGACCTTATAAACTGCAAAGCACCTTCGAAAATCTTACTGAATTCCCTTGTGAGTTTCTGCGAATTGCCACACCAATCCCTTGCTGTTAACGTGGCAAGTAGCAACACTCTTTTAAGCCCTGAGAGTTTGCTTACAGTTACTAACAGTTCCCCATGTAATACATGTTCCCAAGTGCACTTGAGGAAGGAAGCCAGAAGAGAAGCTGCCTAAACCAAATGAGGCCTGCCACACGTGGGTTCTTTAATTGCTTACAGCTGGATTCACTAAACCCATCTCGTGGTGGGTTGTTTCAGGACACTGGACAGCTCCAGACCCACAGCAGAGCCTAGAATGAGCCTGGGGAAGGCATACTTGTCCTGGGTAGGATGCGATCTTGGGAGAGCCCTACTTGATGAGATCTGTAAGTATAAGTTCTGCAGAGTGAGGGAAAGGACAACAGAGTTGCTAGCTGACCTCGCTTTCGCATGCAATGAATCCAGGAAAGGCCAATGTGTGAGTGAAGTGGAAAGGATGGAAAATTATATAGGCACATGAACCTTAAATTTTGTTCAATTTCTCACTCATCTGAGAGATTAATTCTAGGACACAAAAGCATATAGATTTGTGTCAAGGAAGATCTCAATGACCTCTTGAAGTTGGAATTCATAGAATTTTCGTTCAGAATCAGCATCAGGAGAGAAAGCATGGCGTTTGGTGCCCAATAATTCTGGGTTTGAATCTTTCCTCCACACAACTAGCCACGTGATCTGGCAAATTTTCCACCTCTCTGAACTCAGATCCCCCGTCTACATAGCGGAGGTAATAATGCCTGCTTTATTAAATCATTGTCCTCAATTCTTCTCCCTTTCCTGTACCTACTCCCTCACCATGGCCTCATCAAGAGTAAAGTTCCCTGCCCTTTTTATTGGCCATGTGACTTGTTTGGCCAATGATATATGAACAGAAGTGCCATCAACACAGGATGAAAATATCCTGGCTGACAGAACAGAAGAAGAGAGACCAGACCATACCAGCCATCTCACAGACTTGCAGTGAGAAGCAAAGCTATTCCAATTAAAAATTAGGCTTCAACAAGTCAAGCTCCAGCCAATCCAGAAACATGTGAGTCATAAAAAACCATTGTTTTAAAACACTGAGTTGTGAGGTTGTCTGCTACATGGCAATAGCTAATGGATTCCATAGCCAATAATATCTACCTCTCAAGTTGGTCACACAAATTATGTTGGATCATGTGTATAAGCTTTGAGTACAGAGTCAGATGAGAAGCCCAGTAATGGAGTCTCTTTCTTCCTCTCTCCTGAATGTGAAGTTTTTATGGGGGCTGCTGCTGGTTTCTACATTATCCTGATTTCCCAACTTCTGCTTCAGAGATACCACCAATGACTTGGAAAAAAAAAAAAAGAATGTTTTTCTTCCCTATTTCATTTGCCTGCTGCCAATTAAATCAAATTTATGGAATTAACTCTGTTTGGTAATTATCCTAGGGAATTTATTTTAGACTGTTTAAGACGCTACTTCACCTTTCTCCCCTGCCCCACCCTCCAAGTCTGCTGGCTGTAGGGCAGAATTATGGCTGCAAAGCCTCAACTGCAAGGGAAAGAAACTAATGCATTATTTATGTCTTTGTATTTGTATTTATCAAGACAGGTAAGGGATTTCAGGCTATTCAAAACTCTTATTAGAGAGGAGGAAAGTGTCAAGAATTTGGTTTCTAAGGCTGCTATATCTTCACTATGACCAAGTTCAAAATGAAGTTAATTATATCACTAAGCCCTGAGTGGCTCCTTCAACACCACAAGGCTCATTTGTTTATTCTTTATTTATTCATTCCTTCATTTTTCTGCTGCATTAGATAGTGGCAACGCACAGGAGGTCTGAAAGTAGATTGTCTGGGTTCAAAGATGATCTCTGCCAATTGCCAGATGTGTGATCTTGGGTAAGTTACTAAGCCCCTGTGAGACTCAGTCTCCTTGTTTATAAAATAAGTGTAATAATTGGTGACCTCATACAGTTATGCAGTCGAAGTGAGACAGGTCATGTAAAGATGTAAAGTATTCAAAGCTTAATGAAGGGTTACTCCATATTTTCTGTGGGCTTTCAGTAGACTCTGCTCTGCACTGGGGATCCAGGAATAAATAAGACATCATCCATGCATAAGGATGGCACAGTCCTGTGACAGGCATAGAAAAGTGAGTCAGACTAAGGACAGAGTGCTGCTGGTGCAAAAAGAATCCAGCCAACTCATCTTGGGAGGTGAGAAGTCAAGGAAGCCTTCCTGAAGGAAGTGACATAAAAACTGAGTTTTGCAAGATGATCTGTTTCATTAGTCTCTTATATTTATCCTGACCCCTTCTCAAGGATGATTCCACAAGTCCCCAGAACCCCATACAGTCATACACATCCAGAGGAAATCAGTCTCAGAAGAGCCTAGAAAGAAAGACAATGAACTAACATTTATTCAGCCCCTAGGATTAATCACATATTTTCACATAACTTTTCTTATTTAATCCTCACAAGCCTGCAAAGTAGCTTTATTGATTTCATTCTACATATGAGGAAATTGAGCCTCAAAGAGGTTGACTTATCAGAGTCACAGAACCAGTAGGGCTGATAGAGGGTTCACACTTAGATTTCCCAGCTACAGATCTGGTTCTGTCTTTGTGTTCTCCCTGAAATATTCTGAAAATAAAATAGAACCAGTTATGGGGTTGCTAAAGAAGGAAGACCCAAATTTGTCAGTACATTCCCTCTTACTTATATTTCTGCAATGCCAGTAATATAATTGTTAAATGAATCAAAATCTAAAGTGAGAATCAGAATTAAAACTGTAACATTCCCAAAGGTTATAGGAACTTCCTTTTATCAACGTTTCCTGATTCCTTCACCCCTTCAAAAAAGATCCATCAAGAGTCCCATAGAGAAAGCATCTTAGTTTAGGGCCGATATTGGTTGGGTTGTAATTTTCTCTGTAACTCTAAGAGGATGAAATATAAACTCTCCATTTCTTCTGCCTTTAAATTAAAAACAGAAAACATAACATACACTGGTAAAAAATATAGCAAGGATATAAATGTATTTAATTTTCAAATTATGACAAATTCAGTTAGAGGAAAGGAAAGGACAGAAAATTATGCAGGTCAAAGAAAGGGAAGAGGCTGAGAGAGAGGAGAGAAGTAATAGAAAAACAGGCTGAATCTGGTTGGTAAAGAAGAGACCCAAAGAGAAGGGAAGAGAGACAAATGCAAAAGAAAAGGTGGGAGAGTTACACAAGGCAGGTGTGTTAGGGTTTGCCAGAGAAACAGAACCAATATCAACATACATACATATACATACATACCTACGCACACACACACACATATATATACACACACACACATACATATATGAGAGACAGAAGTACGTACAAGGAGACTTATTACGAGAATTTACTCACCTGATTATGGGGGCCAAAAGCTCCCATGATTTGCCATTTACAAACTGGAGACCCAGGAAAGCTGGGGGTGAAATTCAGTCTGAGCCCAAAGGCCTAAGAACCAGGAGGACTGGCTGTCCAAGGGCAGGAGATGATGGATGTCCCAGTTCAAGCAGAGAGAGCAAATTATCCCCTTCTCTGCCTTTTTGTTCTATTCAGGCCCTCAACAGATTTGAGGATGCCCACCCATATTGGTGAGGGTGGATCATCTTTACTGAGTCCACTGCTTCAAATGCTAATCTCTTTAGAAACACCCTCACAGACACACCCAGGCACAACGCTTTACCAGCAATCTGGGCATCTCTTAGCCCAATCAAGTTGACATAAAATTAACCATCACAAGAAGAATGCTGTTAAGAAAGAAGGAGAGGAAAACAATAGGCTTGGGGAGAGAGGCTTGGAAACTTATGAAATAAATTCAAATACGAATTTACACCTGGCCATGGCTTTTGAGATGCTTTCACCTCTTTCCTCCTTTCCTTTAACAAATCGATTGCCAGGTAGTCATCAGTCTCAGTTTTTCTACCCATGTGTTCCTTAAAGAACTTTTACACAGCAGGACATCCTACAAGAAGGAAAATTATTTTCAGGACCAATGTAAACATACTCTGAGAACTGGATGAAACAAAATATAGTGCTACAGTTTCCCCTTTTTACTAATTTGGGGTGTTATTAGAAAATTATTGTGCCTCATATTTGAGTACCTCCCTGGAAGACCAAGTCAATGAGCCATTGAGGCCTTTTTAGGCTCAATGATACTGATATTGAAAACAACTTGAACAAAATCATTTCTTAGGTGAAGAAGAGACTGAAGTGAAACAAAAGAGAAATCAATTGATTTTTCTGCAATCCAACAGTCTTAGATCGTCAGAAACACTGGTTAATAGAGCTGCACTCTCCTCTGAGCTTCTCTTTAGGTACTTTTTTCCTGGAGCTCATGCTCTTACAGTCCTCTGTGAAATGTAAGCAGAAGAAACTGCGGGAGACTAGGGAAGATAAATAAATTTGGTCTGACACTTCAAACTGTGTCCTGCGTGGCCACTAGGGCTCAACTGACCAGACCAGTTCCTGATCTACCAGATTCAAAGGGCCAAGTCAAGAAAACTGGAGAGAAATCCCCTTGTTCTTTTGTGTCCCTCTGACTCATCCCCCAAGCCCTGAAGCAGCCAGTCAAGGACAGCCTGGCTCCCTGAAAAGATGGTCATGAGTAGCAGAGGCCTGGAATCCTCCTTACTGCCCAGAGACCCTTCCTGACCCTGGGTGAGGAGAAATAAGATGAAGGTGTACACAGGACCACGACCATCTAGGCTGTCATCAAAGCTGAAGCAATCCTTCGGTCCTGTCCCTTCAATTTGCTACTTAAAAAAAAAAAAAAACTGAACAAGCAATATATTAATGCAATAGCATAAAAATTAACATTACGGCCAGGTGTGGTGGCTTACGCCTGTAATCCCAGCACTCTGGGAGGCTGAGGCAGGCAGATCACCTAAGGTCAGGAGTTCGAGACCAGCCTGGCCGATGTGGTGAAACCCTGTCTCTACTAAAAAAAAAAATACAAAAATTAGCTGAGTGTGGTGGTGCATGCCTGTAAACCCAGCTACTTTGGAGGCTGAGGCAGGAGAATCGTTTGAACCCGGGAGGTGGAGGCTGCAGTGAGCTGAGATTGCACCACTGCACTCCAGCCTGGGAGACACAGAGAGACTCCACCTCAAAAAAGAAAAAATTAAAGTTATACCCAGATATATAAAATAAAAAGTGAAAGTCAAAGTCCCCCCCCATTAACCACCACCACTTCCATCCCTTTCTTCTCCCCAGAAGTAACATTAATAGTCTGTTGTGTCTCTTTCACAGTTTTTTTAATGCATGTGCCTATATATTCCTATACATATGTAGAGTTCAGGGATAATTTTATTTAGATAAATAGACTCACGCTGGATATACAGTCCTGTCACTTGCTCTTGGTATTCAACAATATATCTCTCCATGTTTTCTCATATTTGCATGCCAGTACATAGAGTTGCCCTTCATTGTCTTTATTTGCTACAATAGTTTGGTGGATAATTATTGTTTCCAATATTTGACTATTATGAGCAGTGTTGCATTGAACACTCCTAGCACATGCATCTGTGCCCCCAGAGCTTGAGTGTTTCTACAGAATTAACAGATACCTAGAAGGGGAATTGGTAAGGCAATTTTCCATATAGGGAAACTGAGTCTCAGAGAGGGGAAGGGTTTCTGAAGGTTACATAAAACATTAGTAGCAGAACCAGAATGAGAAGTCAAGGGCCCCAAGTGCCAGGCCAGGCTGTCCTATGACAGCATCATCCTCTTTGGGACTATGTACCTGAACATGCCTAATCTACTCCAAAAAAACTGTGGGATTTAAGACCCTGTATTCAGTGGGCAGAAACAAAAAGTTCATGGACAAAGAAGACTGTGACATCAATTCTGTTGTGCCTCAATTCTGACATCATCATGAGGCAAAGAGTAGGGTGGCCAGAAGGCACCCAGTAGAGGGCAGCAGAAGGTGCATTGAGCTTAGGGTTTACATACTTCAACTCCAGTCCTGGCTCCCTGACCCTCCACCTGTGTAATTTCATATGTTTGAGCCTCTGTTTCATCCACTGTAAAATGGACTTAATTTCTACCTTACAGGCTGATTGTGAGGGCTGAAGAAGGCAATACACCTGACACTCATGATCATAATTAGCATTTCTTGAGTTCTTACTATGTGCCAGGGACCCTGCTAAGTACTTTTCCTTAATTATATCATTTGACACTCACAACAACCTTATGAGGTAGGTCTTACTTTTGTCCCCATTTTATAGATGAGGAAACTGAAACACAGAGAGGAATTCTTTGCCCAAAGTCACCTGGGAAGTCTCCTGGTAGAGGCCCAAGAGCTGAATCCACGCAGTCTGACTCCAGAGCTCAAACTCCTGGCCATTAGAAAGGCACTCAAAGCCTGTGGGCACCCTCACATAGGCAGGAAGCCCCTAAACAGTGCACAACTCTGCAGGTGCAAGGCCCCAGGGTAAGGGACCAAGCCAAACAAGCTCCAACAGGAATGTATTGAACCCTGGCAACTGCCAAGTCTCAGTGCTCAGTCTCTGAGGTCTGCTGCCAAGCCCCACCACTTTGGGCCTTTACCATTGCTATTCCAACCATAACTAACCAGTCCCATAGAGAGCTGCCAGTACCTGGGGCCAGCAGGGCCCTAATGGAAGAAAACTGACTGTAATTGCGTCCATCCATCAACCCAGCCCACAGAAGGGATTAGAGTCTGGTTTCCGATTTAAATAAGCTATTTATCTGCAAAAACTAGGGTCACATGGCACATCCTGCCTTGCTAGGAGTTTGAACCTTGCTAGGAGTTTGAACCTTGCTAGGAGTTTGAACAGGCACTGCAGAACAAGAAGCATGCAGGCTTTGGGGCCACAAAGGAAGGGAAGAGGAAAGGATAGGGTAGAGGAGCAAGAGAAGGAGCAGAGAGAGAGACACACAAAGACAATGAAAGACAGATACAGAGACATGGTGGGCTTGACAGAAGACAGAGGAAGGCGATGTGCCAGGAATGTTATTTCTCAATCAGAAGGGGATTCTCAAATTCTCAAGTAGGTACGTAGATAGGAAAAAAGGAAGAGATAGATAGACAGATAGATAGATAGATAGATAGATAGATAGATAGATAGATAGATAGATGCATATGTATTATTTGTATGCTTGTACATATATGCATGTTTGTATATTTTCATTTTGATGATACCCTAAAAAATAAATACAATCATATTCTAGATTTTTTAGCCTGCCACTCTTGAGCAGAGTACTGCCATCCAATTTGACTGCCCAACCTCTCCACCACCTGTGAAACACAAATAACAGCATTTCCTTTTCCAGGTTAGTGTGAAAGATAATGTTTATAAGGTACGGAGTATATGTTTACTAAATAGTAACTATTTTATTATTTTTATTGCTAAAATAAAGAGAGGTTATCCATGCAAGCTTGGGAAAGTGTGTTTGGAGGTGACTTCTGAGCTGGGCTTTAAGAGAAGAGAAGTTCAACAGGCCAACAAGGAAGACAGTGGGCTTTCCAGGTAGAAAAAAGGAGGTCCTTGAAACGGGAGCAGTCAGATGTGCTCAGGAATGGCTGGATGTTCAGAGGGAGAGGAGGCTGGTGGGAGATGAGGCCAAGGAGGTCAGCAGGAACCAGAACAAGGAGCTCAGGCTTTGTGTCATTGGCTATGGGAGCCAGAGCCCTTCCCAGGGACCCACACTCCCAGGCCCAGAAAGTTCTCCAAGGTCATTATGTTAGCAGGTAGGGGGATTCCCATGGCAGAACAAAAGAAAGACGTTAAGTGATGGTAATGCTTTTTGAAGTTTATATCACTATAGACAGGAGCTAAGTCGTACAATTTTTATTTTACTCAGAATATATGGAGGCATCCACCCTTCCTACTCCCATATCACCCCTGTCCCCCACACCCATGCACACCCATGGAAGTGTGATGAAATAGTCATCTGTGCTGTGTTTACTGTATTCAGAGAAAAAGAAAGAGATTTGGGCTGAGTATCAGGTACAAACAAAGGTGAGGAAGGCACTGCTGTATTTTACCAAGATCCACATTTTTCTCTTCTTCCTGAGGCTACTGCTAGATTACATTTGCCAGCCTCCCTTGTAATTCCATGTAGCCACATGGAGTGGACACTATCTGTGCTTTGCTCGGTCTCCCTAGATTCAATTTCTGTCTGCCTATCCTCCTGTTTTGGAGTGCTCTGATTCCAAGGGTTTGCAACTGTGCCTTTTTTTTTTTTTTTTTTTTTTTTTGAGACAATGTCTCGTGCTGTCACCCAGGCTGGAGTGCAATGGCACAATCTTGGCTCACTGCAACCTCTGCCTCTGGGTTCAAGCGATTCTCCTTTCTCAGCCTCCCAAGTAGCTGGGATTACAGGCACGCACCACCACACCTGGCTAATTTTTTGTTTTTTTTTAGTAGAGGCGGGGTTTCACCATGTTGACCAGGCTGGTCTTGAACTCCAGACCTCAAGTGATCCACCCGCCTCGACCTCCCAAAGTGCTGAGAATACGGGCGTGAGCTACCACGCCCGGCGGTACCTGTGACTTTGAAGCCTGCCCTTGGCTAATGGAGCCTTGTACTTTCAGAGAGCCAGACATGTCTGGGCATCTGTACCCCCCTGCCCTGGGGCAGCCCTTAACCAGAATATGAAAGCCCAGACCCCTTGCCTTGAGGTGGGACCTAATTCATCTCCCAGAACTCCCCACAGAATCAAGCCAGCTCTGGGACTTTGCCTGAAATTACACCATGCTTGCCCTCTTCCACTTCCCAGTTCTGCTGCTTTGCTGGCTTCTCCTGGGAGCAATTCCCATGTACTAATCCTCATCTCAAGGCCTGCTTCTGAAGAACCCCACCTAGAACACCACATGACTGAGTTCCAGCCAGTGGAATATGAGCCACCTTCTTATGTTGCCCATAGAAACCTGCCTGTGCTCCTCGTGCTCTTTTCCTTGAGGAATTGGCTTGAAATATTCATAATCAATTTTTGCTTCCTAGACTGTTCCTGGGAATGTAACACCGTGGGCGACTGGTCCATTTGGAACCCTGGGATATATTAGGATTATACTTCAAACTACTCTTAGAGGTGTCCAAGATTCTGTGGTGGAGTCCTGAACACTTCTCTTTTCTCCATTCCCATGATTTAAGGCATAGTTAAAATATGCTAGCCCCAACACATTTCCTGAACCTGTACTGTAAAACTTAACTATGGCCTTTCACCATCCTATTCTGTGCTCCATTAGCTATTTACTTGTGCCTCTAGCACTTAGTTTCATTACCTACTAATCAAGTGAACTGAAAATATGTTTGATTTTTCAACTTGATTGTAAAACCTTTGAGGATGGGTATTATCTATTTATCCTCATATCATCTGTCTTGTACTCAATAAATGTAAAGATTTCTGTCTTGTTCATCACTCTCTCTCCAGAATCTTCAACATTATCTGATTTATGGTAGATCCTTGGTAAATGTTAAGTGAATGAATGAAGTAATCAACATGATATCAGATTTGTGTTGATAATAATCACAGTCTCCAGGTAAAACAGGTCATAGCATGCATGCCTCATTGCTACTCAGATGTTCCCACTAACATTCATCTTTGCAATCAAATTTGCTCTGTGCTTACAGGTGAGACTCATCTTAGACCCAGTCAACCTGAGCTGAGAAAGACAAAGAATAGTAAGTTAAGCCAGCACTGAAACACACCTCATCAACTTCCTACTTTGCTATGAAAGCCCCAATTACAAATATCTCATACCCTTTATGCCAAATGCAACTCTAGCATCTGAATTTTGGCTCAGAAAATATACACTCCTTGACTTTTCCCCTTGACCTAAGGGGCAAAACGCTGGCCCTAGAGTCATACATACCCACTCATCTGGTTATCAGCCCATGGCTTTAGCCAAGTTATGCAATGTCTCTAAACTTCAGCTCCCTCATCATTAAAATGGGCATGACAACATCTACCTTACAGAAGGTTTGTGAAGATTAATATTGTCTATGCAAACTCCCAACGCAATGCAGGTAGTAGCTCAAAGAATGCTCATTTTCTTCCTGGCTGATCACACATACACAAATAGAGGTGGAAAGAAGAAACCTCGTTCTGATGTTTTCTGGATGATAAAAAGAGGAAAGAGCTACAGGTCTTTCATGACCTTCGAGATCATCTAAGGAAAGAAGAGGGCCATGCACAAACTCACTGGCCAAAACTGTCTCCTTGGAAGCCACTCTTTCATTCAGAGACACCATGTTGACAATGGCAAGAGGGAGGAGACTGATTCCTTTATGTTGTACACCTGATTGTCTTTTAAGACAAGGATGAAATGATAGTTTTGTCCATTTATCTTCACAGGACAACTTACAACTGTGATTCAGTTTGTAGAAGAAGAGAAACACACTATTTCTACTATTTTTATTTTTTAAGGGAATAGCGGAAGAAATTTACATGGCTAAAGAGGACCAACGATGAAATTACTTTTAAAAGAACAGAGAATGCTGGGAGCAGTGGCTCACACCTGTAATCCCAGCACTTTGGGAGGCCAAGGCGGACGGATCACGAGGTCAGGAGATCGAGATCATCCTGGCTAACACGGTGAAACCCCGTCTCTACTAAAAATAAAAAATATATATATATTAGCCGGGCATGGTGGCGGGCACCTGTAGTCCCAGCTACTTGAGAGGCTGACGCAGGAGAATGGCATGAACCCGGGAGGCAGAGCTTGCAGTGAACCAAGATTGTGCCACTGCACTCCAGCCTGGGCAAGACAGCGAGACTCCATCTCAAAAAAAAAAAAAAAAAGAACAGAGAAAGTACCAAACTAATGTTCGATAATTTTCTTCCAGTCAAGAGGTTCCTAATAATGCTGGACAACTTCCAGTTTGGAAATGACCAACTCCCCGGGTGTTGTCTAATCACATTGTCCAAATGCTACGACAACAACTTCTTGAGAAACATCCACAAACTCAGGTGATCTTACGCCTGAGTGAAGAATATAATTGTTACTCTAAAATGTATTTGGCGTATTGAAATTATATGGTACTGCAAAATAAAGCATTCTCAGAATGATATTTAAATTTTCATGGGTTTTTTACTCTCTTTCATAATATTTAAATAGTTTGACTATGAGACTAAACCACTTGAAAAGGCAAGTTTACTCATAGCATTTGTACCCTTTCATATAGACCCTCATTCAAAGGCCTAAATTCTCTTTTAGAAACTCCTCACTTATATTAGAAGCAAGAAGGGAACTACATCAACAATGTAGACAGTTTTAATTCAGAATTTCTCTTGCATTAAATTATTTGGATATTTCTCAGGGAAAATAATCCAGGGACCAGAATGACCTGGATAATTACTTTCATTATTTCAGTTACTCTGCTAAATCTGGCCTAAATTACTGGCCTTGGAGAGTTTTTGAAGGAAGCATTTCAGAAAATCAAAACACTCAGAATAATATTTCACATTTTTTCCACTGGATTCACAGGCCTACATGATAGAAAAGGTCAATCGCTATTTAGAGAACCAACAAGCCTTAGACCTAGAAAAGACCTCTTATTCAACATTTCTAAAGAGCCCTACAACTTACAAAAAAATAGTTGCAAGAACATTTTGTCTTTTGATCCTAACAACCACTGTGTGAAACACAGATCATAAATCTCCATGTTTACAGATGAGAAAACAGATTCAGAGAGGAAAACGATTTGTTCAAGGTCACACAGTAAGTAAGTGGCAAACTGTGGCTAGATACCAAATCTGCTAATTCCACATCAAAAGCCCTTTTCACTATACCATAGCTAAATCTAGATATCTCCAATGATTAGTTTGAGAACACATGGTCCCAAAGAGACTACCTCTGATGGTGAGTCAGCATGCTATCCTGGGTTTTATCCTATCTCAACATGGGCTAAGCATTAGAATCAATTCATGACAATACCTGGGCCCCAAATCCAGACAAATTGTCAAAATATATAAGGATTGGGCCTAGAAATCTGTATTTTTTAAAGTTTTGTAAATGATTTGGATGTTCAGCCAAAGTGAAGCATCATTGTCCTAGACTGATTCTTGGACCAATAGATCCTAGGTCTGTCTTCAGCCACAGCAATCAGACAGTTGAGCTAGACTTTCATGGTTTCAAAATTATGTTTTCTCAGCCTAGTATCATCTTGCAGCCTAGTGACACTGTGGATTTGCATTGACCCTACTGTGACCAGCCTCGATTTTTTTCCATGAGAGTTATTGCTAATTCAGTTCTCAACCTGTGTTTGTATGGGTGGACTTTTGAACTCAAGTTTTGGTGGATCATGCATAAAGGACTACCCCAGAACACAAGGATAAGGTTCAAGTCCAAAGGGAAAAGTTAGACATGGGAGAGTTAGTTCAAGATCAGAATCCATAAGGATGGAAAGAAAATGGGTGACTTGGGTTCTGCAAAATGATGGAGGAAGATCATCTGACAGTTGTCAAGCTAACAATTCTTAGGAATACTGGATAATAAAATACTCTTAACTGAATAAAGCAAGTCACATATTCTGTTTGGCTAAAGAAACAAACACACTACTGCATTTGTGGAGATGCATTTGTATACCTTCTCTCACAGGGAGAACTGCAAGAAGAAATGTTCAGCAGGCTGGCAACACTGGTTATCTTGGTGGGGCGGGGGATGCAGAAGCTTGGAGAATGCAGGGAATAATTAGCTTTTCCTTTACACAGCCAGCATGTGTTCTGTAATTTGAATAACATAAAATAAATTGAATAAATCAATATATAAATTCACAACCAGTCAAAAAAATAAGAATTAAAAATTTGGTAATTTGTAGTTTACATTTTATAGTGATATAAGTATTGGGAGGAAGGCTCTGATATATTCTATAAACCTGAAATGGAGTTATCATTCTATACATATTTGTATTTCCTGTTTCTTCTGATAAAAAACTCTAAAATTATGTCTGATGTCCCTAGAGCTGTCCTGCTGAGTCCATTAAACACCTCTCTCCCCACAAATAAAAGAGGCAAATAAATATTTAAAATAAATAGTTGAGCTTAAAAGAAAGAAAGGAGAGACTCTTCAGATGTCAGAACTGAAGACTGAGCTACAAACTAGGTGGCAAGAGAGACGGTACCAAGCTGACCAGGAAGGAGAGGGTCTATGGCATGGGTCCTAGACACTTTAGAATCAGATTTCAATGCCCATGAGTGGGATGTTCTACCGAAGGAACTAACAAAAGGTGCAATCCGAGGGAAAAAATTATAGCAAAATATAGAAGGGAAATTCAAGAAGCAAGAGTGAGACAGAAATTGGTAAACACATGGGCAAAACGAAACAATGATTAAAAGTAACCATAGTAATGATGATGATGGAGAGGATGAATTTGAGGGCATTGAAAAGTGAAACTAATATTCTAAACAATAATTATTTGCAAGATTAAAGGATGATTAGAGTAAAGCATTTCTGAGACTTTGTGTCATAAAGAAAAACGGATTACTTTTAGTCTTAATATCAATAATAAATATTGAAATTTTAAGGGTAACCCCAAAAAAGGGAAAAATTCAGGATACTTAGTAAAAGTAGAAAAAAAGAAAGACAATATGTTGTAGTAAACTGAGGGAAGGGAGGAAGCAAGAAAGCAAAGCAGCACAGTAAATCGAAGGACCCAAAATAATAAACACAAATATGTCAGTAAGGACAATAAGTGTTCTTAGGCAAAATAGAACAGCTCAAAGACTCAAACTGAATTTTAAAATTAACCTAGTTATATGATACGTATAACTGATATTCCCAAAACACAAGGTCACAGAAAGGTTGAAAATAAAGGCATAGAAAAAGATACTTCCAACAATTGCAAAAGAAAAGAGAGCCAGTATGGCTCTATGAATATCAGATTAAATCATTCTTAAGATAAAAATCATTAAGAAAAAGAATCATTACAAAAAAGATAAAAAGAAAAATGCCACCAAAAAAAAATTAGAAAACAAGATGCAAAGCAGAAACTATGAACAAAGTTAAAAGCCTGGGAGAATATATTTGCAATGTGTATAACTGATAAGTAGAATCCAGAATCAATAAGAAAAATACAGATAGATAACACCAGTGTAAGAAAAGACTAATACAGTATATTGGTACCAAGCAGTGGGGTGCTGCTGTAAAGATACCCAAAAATGTGGAAGTGATTTGGAACTGGGTAACAAGCAGAGGTTGAAACAGTTTAAAAGGCTCAGAAGAAGACAGGAAAATGTCAGAAAGTTTGGAACTTCCTAGAGACTTGGAGGGCTCAGAAGACAGGAAGATGTGGGAAAGTTTGGAATTTCCTAGAGACTTGTTGAATGGCTTTGACCAAAATGCTGACAGTGATAATGGCAATAAAGTCCAGGCTGAGGTGGTCTCAGATAGAGATAAGGGACTTGTTGGGAACTGGAGTAAAGGTCACTCTTGCTATGCAAAGAGACTGGCAGTATTTTGCCCCTGGCCTAGAGATCTGTGGAACTTTGAACTTGAGGGAGATGATTTAGGGTATCTGGCAGAAGAAATTTCTAAGTAGTAAAGCATTCAAGAGGAAGCAGAGCATAAAAGTTTGAAAAGTTTGCATCCTGATGATGCAGTAGAAAAGAAAAACCCATTATTTTCTGGGGATAAATTCACTGGCAGCAGAAATTTGCATAAGTAACGAGGAGCCACATGCTAATCACCAAGACAATGGGGAAAATTTCTCCAGGACATGTCAGAGAACATGGCAGCCCCTCCAATCACAGGACCAGAGGCCTAGGAGGGAAAAATGATTTCCTGGGCCTGGTCCAGGGCCCCCCTGCTGTGTGCAGCCCCAGGACTTGGTACCCTGCATTCCAGCCATTCCCAAGGTACAGCTCAGACAGTAGCTCCAGAGGGTGCAAGCCCCAAGCTTTGGCAGCTTCCACGTGGTGCTGCGCCTGTGGATGCACACAAGTCAAGAATTGAGGTTTGGGAATCTCTGCCTAGATTTCAGAGGATGTATGGAATTGCCTGGATGTCCAGGTAGAAGTCTGCTCCAGGGGTGGAGCCCCCGTGGAGAACCTCTGCTAGGGCAGTGCCGAAGAGAAATGTGGGGTTGGAGCCCCCACATTGAGTCCCCACTGGGGCACTGCCTAGTGGAGCTGTGAGAAGGCCACCACCCTCCAGATGCCAGCAGATCCACCAACAGCTTGCACCATGTGCCTGGAAAAGCCACAGACACTCAATGCCAGCCCATGAAAGCAGCTTGGAGTGGGGCTGTATCCTGCAAAGCCACAGGAGCGGAGCTGCCCAAGACTGTGGGAGTCCACCTCTTGTACTGTCATGACCTGGATGGGGGACATGGAGTCAAACAAGATCATTTTGGAACTTTAAGGTTTAATGACTGCCCTACTGGATTTTGGACTTGGATGGGACCTTTAACATGGAATTAAAGGAGATCATTTTGTAACTTTAAGGTTAAATGACTGCCCTATTGGATTTTGGACTTGCATGGGACCAGCAATCCCTTTGTTTTGGCCAATTTCTCCCATTTGGAATGGGTGTATTTACCCAATGCCTGTACCCCCATTGTATCTAGGAAGTAACTGACTTGCTTTTGATTTTACAGGCTCATAGGTGGAAGGGACCTGTCTTGTCTCAGATAAGACTTTGGACTTTGACGTTTGAGTCAATGCTGGAATTAGTTAAGATTTTGGGAGACTGTTGGGAAGGCATCATTGTGTTTTGAAATGTGAGGACATAAGATCTGGGAGGGGCCGGGGTGGAATGATATGGTTTGGCTGTGTCCCCACTCAAACCTCATCTTGAACTGTAGTTCCCATAATCTCCATGTGTCATGGGAGGGACCCTGTGGAAGATAAGTGAATCATGGGGGACAGTTACTTCTATGCTGTTCTCATGATAGTGAGAGTTCTCACAAAATCAGATGGTTTTATAAGGGCTTTCCCCCTATTTCACTCTGCACTTCTCCTTGCTGTCACCATGTGAAGAAGGATATGTCTGCTTCCCCTTATGCCATGATTGTAAGTTTCCTGAGGCTTCCCCAGCCCTGCAGAACTGTGAGTTAATTAAACCTCTTTCCTTTATAAATTACCCAGTCTTGGGTAGGTCTTTATTAGCAGCATGAGAATGGACTAATACAATCTGCCTCACAACAGAGCAATTCTACTTCCAGACGTCCAGACTGAAGCTATTCTCACAGCTGTGACCAAAAAGATACATTGAGTGTTTATTGCTGCAATTTATATAATAGAGAAAAGTAGAACAACCTAAATATTTCTCAGTAGAATAAACTGTGGTTTATTCACACAACATTTAAAGTAAAAGGAATAGCGCATATGAATCAAAATGGATAAATCTGGAAAACATAATGTTGGGTGAGGAAAAAAAGGAAGTTGCAATTGATATGTACAGTAGGATAATAAACAGGAAAATTTTTGAAACACAAATAACAGTAGTTTATACTGTTAAGGAACTCATACATATGAATAGAAGTACAGGCTCAGGGGAAGAAATGATACGAAGTAACTGCAGAGTTCTGGTGACCTCTGAGTAGGAACAGGCAGGGAAAGGATGAGCAGGATAACTTTGTCAGCAATGTTCTACTTCCTTTTTAAATAAACATTCTGAAGTAAATATGTACAAGTTCTGAAACAAAATGTGCAGGATTCTTGTACCCAGATGTCTTATTTGTGTGTGTGTGTGTGTGTGTGTGTGTGTGTGTGTGTGTGTGTACACAAACATATATATATTATGTTTGAAATATTTCTTAAAAGTTAAAAATGTACAGTTGAACCTCAGGGAGGCATTAAGAAAGGGAGAGAGAGGGAAGGGTGAAGAAACAGGCAAACCCTTAAAGATGATAGGTAGGCAGATTGTTTTGTTTTTGTTGTTTTGGTTTTTGTTTTAAGACAGGAGATCTCACTTTGTCACCCAGGCTGGAGTGCAGTAGTGCGATCATAGCTCACTGCAGCCTTGAACTCCCAGGCTCAAGCAATCCTCCCATCTCAACCTTGCAAATTGTTGGGATTACAAGCATTAGCCCCTGGCCTGGTAGCCAGATTCTAATAGGTCACAGAACAAGCAAGGAGAGGGGTGAAGCAGATGTTAGGAAAGCTATAGTTTCCATCAAAGGAGAACTAGGAGCTGGGAAGGTATGGGAGACTGTTCAATGGCTTCAGAAGAAAAGCTGAAGGGAGGCTGCCTGTGGAGAGATGAACCCTGATCATCTATACAACCTTCAGTTCTCTCATTTCGGCTGAGCACAATTATTTTCACCATGGTCTTTACTACCACTAAACATGCTGGACAGGATCTAAAAGCAGTCAAGTTCAACACTTCAGAACTGTTAAGTTGCAGAACATGCCACTCCTGGGAACATTATTGCTCTATACAATAGAATAACTGCAATAGAATAAGAACAGCCTCGGAGAGGTTAAGTAACTTGCTTGAGGTCACACAGGAGGGACCTCCAGCATCCCTGCTTTGATTCCAAAGCCTGTGCTCTTTATACTACATGTTTCCTCTCAGGATTCAAATAAGCCTTTTACAAGTTTCCTACTTCCCGCAACAAATCCCAAGCAGCTTAAACATGTCTGTTGATACCTTTTCGTTTTGTAGTTTCCCTCCTGTGGCCAGAATAAAGCATGATTTAGAAATAAAGCATAAGGCATCATTAATGCCGAGGTGCTGAGTCAACATTTCAGGTCATAGGGAAGTGATGATGGAGTTTCCAGGGCTTGGAGGTCATTGGTTTCAGCTGTCTTCAGAACACAACACTCTGGTAGGGACAGATGTCCTCTTGGTCCCCATTGAGGACCTCCTGCTTCCGAACTGGCAAGAAATCTCAAGCACTAAACCATCTCCATGAAAACAGCATATTTTAGAGTTGATCTGGGTTTTATGGGCTGGGAGAGCAGCTCCTGAAGGCTAAGGAAGGCAAGCAGGAGGCTCTGCCACCACCTCAGGACATCATCTCTGGGTTTTATTCAAAGGTAGAAGCTGTTCTGCTTGCACCGTTAGAGGTACATGCAGTTCAGCGACTCTCTCCTTTGCCTCTCCTTGATTTTCAGTCTTGTCTAACGAGATGGGTTCCAGTTTCCACTGGAGCTTCAGTGATTTTAATTGCACCATTAGGAAGGAAATTGGGGCTTAAATTAGAAAACTAAAAGTAAAAAATAGACATACAACAGCAGCAACAGAAAAATTCTTCTGCATCTTTTCTCTTGTCAACCAGCTCTAAAACTCAACTGAGACATAAATAATCCTACTGTTGATATGTTTTTTTTATTTTGTCTTGGTATTCAGTGTCCAAGCAGGGCAAAAAGTCAAGCACAGTGGACTGAAGAGATGAGCATGGAATCTAGCCATGTCTCTGACACAGGCAAGAAGCCACTTGAGCCTGGACCTCAGTATCTCCACTCTACAGACTTGATGATTTATTTCTCTCCTTCCCTCTTTCGTTCTATTTCTCTTTAACTTGATGATTTCCAAGGTCCCTTCAAGTTCTGATTTTTACAGTTGTGGGCACCTACTATGTGTTAAAGTTATGCAGGCAACCTCAGAGATGCTTATGAGCTAACAACCTGAGGCATACAATAAATCAGGAGCTAAAATCATGAGAGTGAAAAAGAGAGGACAATCTCTAAGGGGTGGAGGAGCAGGATGGGCAGGTGAGTAGTGGGTATTCCAGATGACAGAAATGACAGTAGCAATAATCCTAGCAACAGACTTTGTATTAGTTGTGCTGTATTGGTTGCAACTCACAAAAACCCAACTAAAACCAGCTCAAGAAAAAGAAAAAAATCTTTGCTAGAAAAATGGCTGCAAAGGCAAAGACTTGAAGACCCAGAACAGAGCCATAAAGTGGGGGCTTGGCCACCAGGACTCCTACTGCTGCTTTCTTTGTTGTGCTAAATTCAGAAAGACATTCTCCAGGTAGCATGCAAAATAGCTGCTGACAGTCCTACCTTACAGTCATAAAACTCATGACCCAAGGAAAAGAGAACTTGCTCTCCAAATTAGAAAAATCTGGAGAAAATTCTGATCATATGTGAGTCTGGGTTAGACACTCACCACTGTGGAGGTTACTGTGATTCTAATGAACAGCTGGAGCACAGCAGCAGCATGTGGAGTAAGGCAGGAGCAGTTTTCCAAACAAGCAAGGGATGATACATCAGGAAAAGGGGGGAACAGATTCTGGGCAAACAAAAAATATCTAACATTATGTGTCACATCTGTCAAACCCATTTTACAGATAAGAAAGCTGAGGCTGAGACAGGATAGGTAACCAGCCCAAGTAACCCACACGTTAGAAGTTAGCAAAGCCAGATCCTAACTCTGATCCATCTGCTGAAATGTACTATCCAGATCTGTTGCTATTCTATTTTCTGGTGTTAAGTCATGCGCATATTTTTCAGAATATGGACAACATTTTAAAGAATAAGAACAAAATTAAAATCACCATCATTAAGAAATACTCACCGTCAAAATTTTCGTGGGTTTCCTCCTAGGCTCTTTTTCTGTATCTATGGTATATATTTAGCATGTACCACTTTATTATTCATTTTCTTGACATGAATCCACAAGGCATACCCAAGGACCATGACTGCAATAAATGCCACTAGTGCCCTGCCCAGACTCCTTTTATATTTTATAGACTGGATCACCCATCCCCCAGCTGCTGTGAGTCATGGCTGCTAATGGCTCACAGCTGCTCCCTCCTGAGATGCTTGGGAGATTTTGCCTCTTTGGGGGTCCCATAGTCAATGACTGACTGCCAGAGAGTTATAAAAGTCCAGCCTGCCTCCCTCAAGGAAGGAAAACATGAGGGTCCTGTGGAATGAGGTGGGAGTTAGGTTCAGTTGAAAGCCATCTTTGTCTCTTTCCACTTCCCTGACTTGTTTCTACACCTCCTTAGAGGTTTTCTACAACTTATCACTTGCATGTGAGTTCTTGTCTCAGACTTAGCTTTGTAGATAACCCAACTTGGCAAGGACCCAATAAGTTTCCGTTGTCCTAAAGCATGGCTTCTAATCAACTGCTCATTGAAGATGGGGTGGACCATTTAACTGGTGGCCAAGCCCAGCCAACTACCAGCATTTACATCTCAACATGCTTTTGTATTTTTCTCTTCCTTTTCACCCTTGTAATAACTCTTATGAAGTGCTAAAAAGCTGTGTTTCGTGGTTTAAAAAGCCAATTACTTTATTCATTTCTTTAGTCATGTATTTATAGAATCATTAAGGCTCTGAAGAAAAACATGCATTATTCAGTTAAATTTTACTGCATTTTATGGGAGGAAAGTATATGCTGTAGTAGAAGTCTTAATTTAAGAATTCATGAAGGTTTAAACTTATTGATTATCATATTCGCTCCATCCTAACACATATAATTTCATATTTTTGAAAATCTTAGAACCAATGAATACATTGAGTGAATGTTTTTACTCCCATCCCATTCTCTAAAAACCTATTACACATTTTTTTATTCATCCACGTGAAGTCTAGAATCACTTCACTGGATCTTAAGACACCCCCTCATGAATAAAATTTAGAATAAAATTAAGTCAAACCTATAAATTAATTTTGAAGAAAAATGACATCTTTATAATATGAGTGTCCTTAACCAGTACAATGGTGTGTCAGCCCCCTGATTTATTCAAGTTTTTATTTATTTCTCCCAATTGATCACTGTCATCTTCTCCATGTATATACTGCACAATTCTTATTAAAAAGTTAGTATTTTGGCTGGGCACGGTGCTCACACCTGTAATTCCAGCACTTTGGGAGGCCAAGGCGGGCGGATCACAAGGTCAGGAGATCGAAACCAGCCTGGCCAACATAGTGAAACCCTGTCTCTACTAAAAATACAAAAATTAGCCGGGTGTGGGGGTACATGCCTGTAATCCCAGCTACTCGGGAGGCTGAGGCAGGAGAATCGCTTGAACCAGGGAGTCGGAAGTTGCAGTGAGCCAAGATTGCGCCACTGCACTCCAGTCTGGCGACAGAGCTAGACTCAGTCTCAAAAAAAAAAAAAAAAAAAAATTAGTATTTTGTACTTGCATTGCTAATGGGAATCTGAGGTCTGAGTTGTTTCCATTATCTCTTCTAACTGGTATTGTTAGCATATATAAAAGCTATTTTCAATATTCATTAAATATGTGATTATCTTGCATATCTATCTTATTATCATTTTAGTTGATCATTTGGGGCAAGCAGTACAGATAATTGTATCACTTGCAAATAAAGACAATGTCTCTTCTTTCCATTATTATAAATTTATTTCTGAACCATGTCTTATTACACTGACCAGAACATCTATAAATTTTTTAAATAGAGATAAAAGAAATTATTAGGAATGGCCCTGATATTTCACCACTAAGCATGAAATTGAGTGCTTACTACAGATACTTTTCAACATATTATAGAAAAATGTGTCTACTCTAAGTAATTGAAGAATTTTCATCAATGATGGGGTTGAGAATTATCAAATGCAACTTTAGGAGTTTATTAAATCAGATTCAGGATGACATAATGGAAAGTACTTTCACACTTTAGAGTAAGTGAGACTGTACCGGAATGTCAGCTGTAGTGCTTACTTTGGCCTTTATCAACTTGTCTGACCTCACTCAGCTATCATTTCTTTAGCTATAAGATGATGATGATAACTCATAAGGTTCTGTGATCACTAATTAATCTAGTTTTTATGAAGTGTCTAATATACGGATTATCACACATTAAATGTTCAATTACCATTTCCAAAATAAACTCTACTCTGCTATGGCATTTCATTCTTTTAATATACAAATGGATTTAATTTGTCATCATTTTACTTAGAATTGTTGCATCTATCTTTATAATTGTGTACCAAATGCAAAAACATCGTATTTTCTCTGTGTTTGGATCACCTAGAAGAAAACTATGCCTTAAAATTTGGAAGGGATACATTTAAATTATATTTTAATGACATATACATGCAGAAAATTGCATGAAAGAATGCATTCATAAATCCATCTGGACCCACAGTACTTGATAACTTATTCCAGTTTCTGCTCAATGTAAATGGCCATCATGTATTGTACACTAGTGACGGACCAGCACTGTGCTAAGCATTTCACGTGCATCATTTAATATGATTGTCACAAAACACCATGTAAGGGAAATAACTCTTCCCCCTTCTTGTAGATGAGGGAAATGAGGCTGAAAGAGGTGAGTATCCTGGCCAAGGTCACATAGTAACTGATAGAACAAGGTAAGGCTGAATCCAAAATAAATCCTACTATACACTATGAGGATTTAGTGGGTTTCCTCCTAGGCTGTTTTTCTCAATAAAGATATCTGAATTGATCTAATTCTTTGTTAATTTCTGGTAATTCATATTTGCTTCTAACAAAATTTCAAATATATAGAATTAAGTTGTTTTTGATATTTTCTTAGACTACATCATCTGCCCAGTATCTATCTGACTCCTTTTAGTTCTGTCCTAATTTTAAGTATTTATGCTAGCTTTCTCTTTTTCTCATTTATAATTGCCAGAAGTTGATTTATTATACTGTCATTTTCAAAATCCAGCTCTTGGGTTTACTTATCAATTTTATTTTTTGCTTTATAATTAATTTCTGATTTTATCTTTACTATTTCTTCCCTTCTAATGTATCTGAGTTATCTTTGAACTTCTTTAATAATTCATTCCTTTTATTCTCTAATTTAAATTGGAAATACTAAAACTTACAGAGGAAAGACTTCAAGATGGCTGATGAGAAGAATTTCACGCTTTCCTTGTCCACTTAGGGGAACAAAAATAGTGTATACACAGTCACACTTTGAATACATTATCCAAGACAGAACACTGGAATTCAAGAGAGAAGTGACAGAAAACACCAAAAGTGAGGAAGGAGAAGAAAGCAAGGCAGCCCGCTTGGCCAGGATTGGCTGGGAGCCGGGAGTAACTTCCCAATGTGGGGAAGAGTGAGTGAGAGACTTCCAGCAACACACAGCCCCACCATGCAATCATGCAATCCTGGTCACGTAAGAGAACCTCCACCCTCCCAATCTCTGAAACTGACACAAGAAGCTGCTGGGAGATGATTGGATGGAATTGCTGTGGGGCGAGGGAGCTCACACTGAGTCCCACACTCTTCTGAGACCTAAGAAACTATAGCAAGTCATCATTTTCAAACTTAGCTTCTGCACACTGTCCTGGGGCCCAGCAGCACTGGGACTGAGGCACTCAGGAAAATGGGGTTGTCACTGCTGAGACTGCAGCATGAGCTGGGAGTACTCCCACAGCCCGAGCTGAGAAGTGAGCAATGTGCAGGCTGCAGTTTGCCAGTGCCAGGAAGGAAGTACTGCTGGGACTTGAGACTGGGACACAAGTGAAGTGTGAGTTGCTGCTGGGACTTGGTCACGATCTGGGCAGGGCCTCCTGCAGCCAGGGCTAGAGTGCAAGCTAGGCACACGCTAACACTGCCAGGGATGTGGGGCGAGCCCCATCAGAACTAGGATGAAGCAGGGATATGTATTGTCCACCTGCTGGCCCAGACTGTGGCCACTGAAGCTGGCCCCATCTTCTCCAGTGGGATATCCTCAGTGCAACTGCTACTTCCTTCATTGGAACACTCCACCTGGAGCCAAAGGATTGCCATGCCCTCACTCACAGTGCCTAGTGCCCTCTCTCACCAGTGGCAAGCACAGGCCCATCCATCCTGACTATGCCATTCTCCCTCTCGACACAGAGCACACAGTCCAGGTGATTGCCCAACCTAATCCACCACCTCGGGCACCTGACCACTCCTTCCATGGGCCTGAAATTGAGACTAAACTCCCAGCCACTACCACCTTAGCTGGCACTTACCTGCAAGCATAACATGTGGGTCTGAAGACTGTTCAACCTAGCCATTTACAAGCACTGCCAACATCAATATGCACACCACTTGGGCCCCAGAAAATTGCTCCAGTACTGCTATTGTCATCGCCCATGCCACACCAGCTTCCCAGGGGCCCAGGAACCCACTCACCCATCTGATCCACTGCTGCCACTACTGATATTCAAGTAAGCCACCTGGAGGCCAAAGAATCAGCCCACCAGTAACTGCCAACACAGGTGCCAGTGTACACCATCATGGGACACAGAGGCAGACTCAGCTCACTGCTGCCATGACTGTGGCCTGAAGACTGACCCAATTGCCATCTCAGTCTCCATCACAACTTTACCACAACCTTCACTAATAACCACAATGTAACCCAATGAGGAAATCACAGATTCCACTAACACTGTCTACAGACAAAGAAATCGTGCAGAGACTACACTACTGTATGCACCCAGAATCAAAGTAATGTGTCCTACCCACTCAACACCATACATAGAGCTTCAGGAAAAAGTTCTCCCTACAAAAGTAAATCAAAAATAGAAAAAAAAAAAATGACTGTTACACCAGATGTGCAGATATCGATTGTAAGGACACAGAAAACATAAAAATGCAGGGAAATATGACACCTCCATAGGAGCACAATAATTATCCAGCAATAGATCTTAATCAAAAAGAAATTTAAAATTCCATATAGAGAATTCAAAATATTGATTTTAAAGAAGCTCAATGTGATACAAGAGAATTCTGAAAAACAATTCAAGGAAATAAGAAAAGCAATTCAAAATAAACATAAGAAATTTACCAAAGAGATAGATACTTCTTAAAATAACTAAATATAAATTCTGGAACTGAAGAATTTATTGATGCAAATACAAAATACATTTGAATGCTCCAACAATAGACTAGATCAAGCAGAAGAAAGAATGTCAGAACTCGAATATAGGTCTTTTAAGATAATCTAGTCAGACAAAAATAAAGGAAAAAAAAGAGTAAAAACAATAAGCAAAGCCTTTATGACATTTGGGACAACACGAAGTTATTAAATATTTGAATTGTCAGTATTCCCAAGGGTGAAGAGAGAAAGAAAGAATTGGAAAACCTATTTAATTAAATAATAGACAAAAACTTCCCAAGTCTAGCAAGATATTTAAACATTTAGATACAAGAGGCTCAATCTTCCAGCAATTCCCAGGAAAATACAACACAAAAGGTCTTCTCCATGGCGTATTATAGTCAAACCGTCTTAAGTCAAAGAAAAAGAATGAATCCTAAAAACAAGAGAAAAGCATTTCATCACCTATAAAGGAAACTTCAACACACTAACAGATTTCTCAGCAGAAATCGTACAGACCAGAAGATAATAAGATGATATATGCAAACTGCTAAAAGAAAAAAAAATGTCAAACAAGAATACAACATTCGGCAAAATTATCCTCCGTAAATGAAGGAGAAATAAAGTTTTTCTCAGACAACCAAATGCTGAAGGAATTCATTAGCACTAGACTGGTCCTACAAGAAATGCTCAAGAGAGTCCTAAAAATGGAAATGAAAAAACAACATTTACCATCATGAAAATACATGAAAGTATAAAATTCACTGGAAAAGTTATTACAAAATGGAGAAAGAAAAAACTCAAGTGGTACCACTACAGAAACCCATCAAACAATAAAAGAGAAAGAAAAGAACAAACAACATATAAAAGAACCAAAAAGCAATTAACAATATGACAGGAACAAAGCCTGACATATCAATAACTTTGGATGTAAACGGATTAAATTCTCCACTTAAAAGATAGAGAGGCAGTGTGTCCCGCCCCGTCCCGGCCCGGCCCCGCGCACCTGCTCCAGCCATGATGAGCTTCCGAAGCGCGGACGCGTTGCTGGGCGCCCTGTTCCTGCCGTTGCACGGCGGTGGCAGCCTCCACTACGCTCTGGCCCCAAAGAGCGGCACAGGCGGGACGCGCTCGGCCGCTGGCTCCTCCAGCGGCTTCCACTCGTGGACGTGGACGTCCGTGAGCTCCGTGTCCGCCTCGCCCAGCCGCCGCCTCGAGCACCGACTCGCTGGACACGCTGAGCAACCAGCCAGAGGGATGCGTGGTGGCGGCTGCTACAACGAGCAGTGAGGAGGAGCAGCTGCAGGCGCCGACGGACCGCTTTGCGGGCTACATCGACAAGGAGCGGCAGCTGGAGGTGCACAACCGCAGCCTGGAGGGCGAGGCAGCGGCCCTGCAGCAGCAGCAGGCGGGCCGCGAGGTCCGTGAGACGCGCGGTGCGATGCTGCGCCTGGGCAGCTGCGCCTGGAACAGGAGCACCTGCTCGAGGACATCGCGCACGTGTGCCAGCGCCTCGACAACGAGCTCTGGCAGCGCGAGGAGGCCGAGGCGGCAGCCCGCGCACTCACGCGCTGCACGCAGGAGGCCGAGGCGGCGCGCGTGGAACTGCAGAAGCAGGTGCAAGCGCTGCAGGAGGAGTGCGGCTACCTGTCGCGCCACTACCAGGAGGAGCAGGTGGTCGAGCTGCTCGGCCAGACCCAGGGCTGCGGCGCCGCGCAGGTGCAGGCTGAGTTGCGCAACGCTCTCAAGGGCGAAGTGACATCGGCGCTGAGCGAGATCGGCGCGGCGTGCAGCTTGAAGGCCATGCGGTGCAGAGCACGCTGCAGTCCGAGGAGTGGTTCTGAGTAAGGCTGGACTGACGTTAGAGGCAGCGAAGGTGAACATAGATGCCATGTGCTCAGCGTAGGAGGAGATAACTGAGTACCGGCGTCAGCTGCAGGCCAGGACCACAGAGCTGGAGGCACTGAAAAGCACCAAGGGCTCACTGGAGAGGCAGCGCTCTGAGCTGGAGGACCGTCATCAGGCCAACATTGCCTCCTACGAGGAAGTCATTCAGCAACTGGATGCCGAGCTGAGGACCACCAAGTGGGAGATGATAGCCCAGCTGCGAGAATACTGGGACCTGCTTAATGTCGAGATGGCTTTGGATATAGAGATAGCCGCTTACAGAAAACTCCTGGAAGGCGAAGAGTGTCGGACTAGCTTCGGCCCAATTCCTTTCTCGCTTCCAGAAGGACTCCCCAAAATTCCCTCCGTGTCCACTCACATAAAGGTCAAAAGTGAAGAGAAGATCAAAGTGGTAGAGAAGTCAGAGAAACTGTGATTGTGGGGGAACAGATGGAGGAGACCCAAGTGACTGAAGAAGTGACTGAAGAAGAGGAGAAAGAGGCCAGAGAGGAGGAGGGCAAGGAGGAAGAAGAGGGTGAAGAGGAGGGGGCAGAAGGGGGAGAAGAAGCAAAGTCTCCCCCAACAGAAGAGGCCACATCCCCAGAAAAGGAAGCCAAGTCCCCAGTGAATGAAGAGGCAAAGTCACCAGCTGAGGCCAAGTCCCCAGAGAAAGAGGAAGCAAAATCCCCAGCCGAGGTCAAGTTCCCCGAGAAGGCCAAGTCCCCAGCAAAGGAAAAGGCAAAATCACCAGCTGAGGCCAAGTCTCCAGAGAAGGCCAAGTCCCCAGTGAAGGAAGAAGCAAAGTCACCAGCTGAGGCCAAGTCCCCAGTGAAGGAAGAAGCAAAGTCTCCAGCTGAGGTCAAGTCCCCTGAAAAGGCCTGAAAAGGCCAAGTCCCCAACAAAGGAGGAAGCGAAGTCCTCTGAGAAGGAAGAGGCAAAATCTTCAGCTGAAGTCAAGTTTGGGCTCGAAAAGCCCAAAGAATCCAAAGTTGAAGCCAAGAAGGAAGAGACTAAAGATAAGAAAAAAGCAGCCACCCCAGAGAAGGAGGCTCCTGCCAATGTGGAGGTGAAGGAAGACGCTAAACCCAAAGAGATGACAGGTGGCCAAGAAGGAACCAGATGATGCCAAAGCCAAGGGACCTACCAAACCAGCAGAGAAGGAGGAGGCAGCAGCAGCACCAGAGAAAAAAGACACCAAGGAGGAGAAGGCCACCGAGGCCAAGAAGCCTGAGGAGAAACCCAAGACAGAGGCCAAAACCAAGGAGGATGACAAGACCCTCTCAAGGGACCCAAGCAAACATAAAGCAGAAAAGGCTGAAAAATCCTCCAGCACAGACCAAAAAGACAGCAGGCCTCCAGAGAAAGCCACAGAAGACAAGGCTGCCAAGGGGAAGTAAGGCACGGAGAAAGGAATGTCTGGAGCAGCCAAAGAAACTCAGAAGGGGCCCAGAGCTCAAGGATCGGAGTAATGCAATTTTCACTTTTTCTCTCTTAATGTAAGAAGAAACTGCTTAGATGATGGGGCCTTCTTCTTCAAACAGGAATTTCTGTTAGCAATATGTTAGCAAGAGAGGGCACTCCCAGCCCCCTGCCCCCACACCCTCCCCAAGCGATGGACAATTGTTATGAAAGCTTATGTAGCTGAATGTGGTACATGCTGAATGCCACACGTAAACTCTTGACTATAAAAAACTGCCTCCCTCCTTTCCAAATAAGTGCATTTATTTCCTCCATGTGCAACTGACAGATGACCACAATAATGAATGAGCAGTTACAAACACATTATGCTTGACATGTCTTAAACTATTTCTACATGCCTTCTGTTTTCCAAAGGAGTGGTCAAGCCCTTGCCCAGAGCTCTCTATTCTAGAAGAGCTGCCCAGGTGGGGCTGGGCACTGGCCACTGAATTATGCCAGTGCGCACTTTCCACTGGAGTCCACTTTCAACTTCTTCTGTGCAATAAAACCAAGTGTTTATAAAATGAAAAAAAGAGAGAATAGCTGAATAGAGTCTTTTAAAAATGTGATCGAACTATTTGCTTCTTACAAGAAACTCAAATTATTAGTAAAGACACAGAGACTGGAAGTAAAAAGATGGAAAAAGATATTCCATGCAGATGGAAACCAAAAATGAGCAGGAATAGTTGTACTTCTATCACATAAAACAGACTTCAACTCAAAAACAGTAAAAAAAAAAAAACAAAAAAACAAAACAAAAAAAAACAAAACACACACACACACACACACACACACACACACAAAGAACATTATTACATAAAGATAAAAAGATCAACCCAGCAAGAGGATCTAACAATTCTAAATATATATGCACTCAATACTAGAGCATCCAGATTCATAAAGCAAATATTACTAGGTCCAAAGAGAGAGATAGATGCAATGCAGTAGTGGTGGGGAACTTCAACATTCCACTCTCAGCATTGAGCAGGTCACCTAGACATAAAATCAACAAAGAACATTGGATTTAAACTGGACTTTAGGCCAAATGGGCCTAACATTTACAGATCGTTCTATACAACCACAG
The DNA here is from genome assembly GCF_000001405.40 of Homo sapiens. Classification (NCBI taxonomy): domain Eukaryota; kingdom Metazoa; phylum Chordata; class Mammalia; order Primates; family Hominidae; genus Homo; species Homo sapiens. The sequence goes on along the minus strand of NC_000020.11, from coordinate 41,995,985 downwards.
AATATGCATTTTTTCATCAGCACATAGAATATTCTCCAGGATAGACCATATGTTAAGCTACAAAGCAAGTCTCAACAAATTTTAAAAATCAAAATTATATTAAGTATCTTCTTAGACCACAATAGAATAAAACAAATAAATCAATACCAGGAGGAACTCTGGAAACTATACAAATTCATTTAAAAAATGCTCCTGAATGACTATTACATCAACAAAGAAATTAAGATGAAAATAAAAAAATTTCTTGAAACAAATTAAAATGGGAATACAACAACCAAAACCTGTGGGATATAGCAAAAGCAGTGCTAAGAGGGAAGTTTATATCAATAAATGCCTACATCAAAATGTGGAAATATTATAAATTAACAGTCTAACAATGTACCTAAAGAAACTAAAAAAGGAAAAAACAACAAAACCCCAAATTAGCAGAAAAATAGTAAAGATTAGAATGAACTAAATGAAATAGAGACTAAAAAAATACAAAAGTCAATAAAAGAAAAAAGTCAATTCTTTGAAAAGATAAACAAAGTCAATAAACCACTAGCCAGACTAAACAAGAAAAGGGAAGACTTAAATCAACAAAATCAGAAATGAAAAAGGAGACATTACAACTGATGCTACAGAAAAACAAAAGATGATTATGAACAACTATATGCTAACAAACTGAAAAACCTAGAGGAAATGGATAAATTCCTGGAAACACACAACCAACCAAGATTGAATCAGGAAGAAATAGAAAACTTAAATTGGCCAAAAATGAGTAGTGAGTTTGAATCAGTAATAAAAACTCTCCCAACAGAGAAAAGCCCAGGACCAGATGCATTCACAGCTGAATTCTACAAAACTTACAAAGATAAGCTAATACCAATCCTTCTGAAATTACTCCCAAAAATCTAAGAGGAGAGAATTCTCCCTAATTCATTCTACAAGGCCAGCATTACCCTCATAGTAAAACCAGATAAGGACACACATGTAAAAGAGAAAAACTACAGGCCAGTATCCCTAATGCACAGAGATGCAAAAATCCTCAACAGAACATTAGCCAATCAAATCCAACAGCATTCAAAAACGTAATTATAATAACCAAAACAGCATGGTATTGGTATAAAGCTGGACACATAAACCAATGGGACAGCATAGAAAATCCAGAAATAAAGCCACATGTTAACAGCCAACTGATGTTTGGAATTTTTCATTGACACTTTATAAAATTAAACTAATTTTAATTTTATTTCATTCTTATCAGAGATTTTATCCAGAATCATTTCCAATATCTTGATCATCAATTTTCTTTATAAACTAGTATAGATTGTGATAAATGTTCCATGTTTTATTGCATAAAAACAATGAAAATTTTCTTGCCATTTTCAGAACACAAAATTTAATCCAAATCTATTAAATCAAAGTCAATATTACTAATCATACATTTATTTTAAACCAAAGGCTACATGATGGTTTTTTGGTTTTTTGTTTTGTTTTGTTTTGGGTTTGTTTAGGGTTTTTTTGGTTGGTTGGTTGGTTGTTTGCCACAACATCTGAAGGCTGCAATGTATGCCCATCAGTAGTAATTCTGGGTCAGTGGAAATGGGATTACTTGCCCCCTCCCGCTGAATATCAGAATATGTGTGTATGTGAGTTTTTATAAAATGACTTCTTAGACTCTGATATGATCTTTGGGGCATCTTTTACCAACTTAGTTGAGAATCACTGAGATAAATGGAAATTAGGATCATAGCATTCATGTGAATTTTCTTTCATTGGCATAAAATGACTTCTAATAATTATATTTACCTTGTACTATACTTTTTTACTGATGTTAATATTGTCACTCCTAGTCTCAGTTTTTATTTTTAGCATTTTTTTTTTTTTGCCTCTTTTAGGTGAAGCTTTGACAAATAGCTATAATTGGCTTTGGTGGATTCTAAACCAAATCTAAGACAGATCTTCTTTTAATGGAGGAATTTAATCCATTTACTGTCATGTTTGGCCTTCACGTATTTAACTGATACATTTAATTTGTGTCAGTCAAATCAACTTTTGACTCAGGCAGTTTTTGTTGTAAAAAGTGTCTTCTAAGTTGTATAGACCAGTCCTTCACCTGTTTTTGCCCTCATGCCCATCCCTGCCCTTTCCGTTGCTTATTTGGTATCACAGTAGGGCTGACCCATACAGGCTGCATTTTCCAGGTTCCCTCATCCGCTCCCTTCAGGATAGGTTTGGCCAGAGATACAGACTGGCAGAAGATTGCAGTGTGGAAAGCAAGAAGAAGGGTATTTCCCCCTCTTCCTTGCCTTGACTGCATCCCTTCTGTGACTCCAACTTGGGCTGGACAAGGCTCCCTCTTTTTCCAGTTTCTACTTGGTGATCCCTGCCCCTGGGCGCAGTGACACTGCTTCCATCTTTTGTCCCTACAGCCCAGAATTTCCATTCTCTGTCCTCCATATATCCTCCCCATTGATAACTACCTTCTTTCCCTGGGCTTTTTCTCTACATTCCAGGAGATCTTCTTAACTGCATCTTCCTTAACACCAACTCCATTTTCTGCAATATTATTTATTTTCTTTACTGCTTCTAATCCCAATACAAGTTTTATTAAGCTATTGGATTTTACAGGTATTTACAATCTTTATCTCAATTTCTGCTTGCATCTTAGCAACTCTTTTAATCTTACTATGTCATCTGTCGTTTCTTGTATCTCAGCGTTCAAATTTACTGAGAACACAAAAAGACGCATCCTAGTAAATGCCTTTATTAACTATTTTATATTTTTTCAAGACATTTTTCTTCTGAATCTAGTATTCTCCTTTTTATGTCTCAGAAAAATCTTCAAGGTCTCTTGTTTTGTTTTTCCTATTATTCATGCTTGATAAAGGAGAAAGCTGGTCAGGCATGTTGCCAGTACATAGTTTGGATGGATCTTCTTTGGTCCTTGTTATTAACTACATGACTATAATTAGAATCCACATCTAGACCTTAAGCTGAGGGCTGATTAATATGCACAGATTCCAAATTCCTAGTGGTACAGTCCTTATTCTCATGTGTATTCTAGACCAGAATGGGCTGACTTCGGAACATGTGGAGGGAATATTCTGGGATAATTGTATGCAGCCGTCTCTGCTTTAGGAAAAGCAATGCATGGACATTTACATTCACCAGCATATAACTGTCTCACAGGTCTCTCTAGCTCTACTCTTTCATAGATTTCACAGTCAATTTCGTTGATTTCACAGTCTGGTATTGGTATGGCCTGAATGTGCACCCCAAAATTCATATGTTGAAACTTAATCACCCAAATGATAGTGTTAACAGGTGGGGCCTTTAAAAGGTGATTAAGTCATGAAAGCAAAACCTTCATGCATGGGATTACGGCATTTTAAAAGGGCTTGAGGGAGTGGGTGTTTTCTCTTCCACTCTTCTGCCATGAGAGGACACAGTGTCCATCCCATCTGGAAGATGCAGCAAGAAGGAGCCATCCTGGAAGCAGAGAGCAGCCGTCACCAGACACCAGATGTTAGCGCCTTGATATTAGACTTCCAGATCCTCAGAACCATGAAAAAATCCATTTATCTTCCTTATAAATTACCTAGTCTATGGCATTTTGTTTTAGCAGCACAAACAGACTAAGACACATATGCAAAGATCCATATCCTGTTTTCATCTGCCACGATCCCTTCCTGCTTTTTTAATTTCTAGAAAGTTTAAATTAGTCCCACAAATGGTAAATCAATAGAAGTGATAATAGGGAGTGCTGGAGGTTAAATGGCCTCAGAAACAGCTTCTGTGTAGTAAGTGCGGGTTTCTCTCCTTTTGTTCAGTGGAGACACTGCCTTTAAGGCAGGAAGTAGATAGGAGTAATAACTGAAAATCTCCTATCATGTATTTTTCTGTTCTTTTGCCCAAGAGTATCATCCTTGCTTTACTAAGTAAAAACTCCACCCAAGGCCCAGAATCCATGTTACCAAAAAGTAGTAGTGGTTTCTGTGTCTTCATGAGAAGTGCCACGGGTGAGGAGAAAAGGGAACCCAAGTGCCACAGCCAGATGCCACCTGAATCTGGAAGTCCCACCTATGTTATCTGAACAACCACTTCCTTCTCCCTCTCTAGCTTTCCCACTTAATCCATAGGGTCCCTGTCCAAAGGGAATGTCAAAATGTTATCCCATCTAAACTCCTTCCTCCTAAGAGGTCAGTGTTGACCTGCCCCACGTCTGGAGTTCTCAAACCATCCATTCCACATTCATAACTTTCCAGCCTAGCCCTTTATTCACTTAAGGGTATGGGGGGCTACCCAAACCCACTCCCCATATTGGTATCCTGCTATCCCTACAACATATCATATTCAAATTCTTGTACTCAAGCAGATTATTGTGGAATTGCCTGCTGATTCAGCATTCTATGATGTTGACCCAGACTGAATAAACAATAAATAAAAATACCAAAATAATGTTACTGTTTCAACTAATTCATTTGTCAGGAACTAAGAATTCACATAGTAATGGGAATAGAGGAAATAGATGTTAACAGATATTTTGAAATTTATTATGACTTAAGGAACAACACATTATTATTTACTCCCCTACCCACCAACTTCCTAAAATTTCTGTATGCACTTTACTCTAGCATTTGTTCAATTATAGCTTATTTTTTAATTATTCAGGTGTGTATTTACCTCCCAGTTAGGTTCCATGTTCATCCAGGGCATGAATGACAACTTACTTGTCTTTATGTCCACAGTATAGTGTGCTCAATTCTCACCAGAAGGACAAGCTAGGAACTGATGGGTTGGGTCCTGTAGAGGCAGGACTAGCAGGTGCATCTCTGACCTGGAGCCGCAGGTGTCCCTGAATAGTACAAGGGGCAAAATAAGAATCGGATGAGGCAGGACAAGGGGTATTAGAAGAGGAACTAAATGTAGTTTTCAAAATAAGAATGAAGATCTTAGGGCAGATATTATGAACTAGAACACAAACCAGGATGTCTAAAAACTAAGAAGAAGAAAAAGGAGCAGAAGCAGAGGACAGGACTACTATCTCTATTTAGCATGAATGATGGACACACAAGTTATGCCTAAAAATCAGAGCCACAGTGGATCAGAGTCTCAGTGAATGTTAATTAAATTGACACAACCAAAATGAATTATGAAAAGTAATAACCTTCAGTTCCCTCAAACTTCTCCCAGAAATCCCCCCAAAATTATATAAAAGTTATTTTATATCTAATAACTGCAAAAAAAAAAAAAAAGGCTTGGGGTATAGGATTTGAAATTGCACAGATATGTCGCTTCATGATTCCCTACTCATTTTATCCGTCCATGATCTTGGGCTGACCTTTCTGAGCTCAGTTTCCTTAGCTGTAAAATAAGGATAATAGTGCCCATGTCACGGGGCTTTTTAGAGGAGTGAATCACGTAGAAAGTATCTAGCACACCAGAATCATTCAATAAATGCTGGCTTCCATCCCCCTTCATCAGCGGCCTTGGGAGTCTAATGAGGCTAAAGCAGGGATGCTTACTTAACAATTTGGAGCAAAGAAGCCCTGGTGAGCAGACATGCATTCCTGATTTCATTACGTGCCAGAAGATGAAAATGAACAGCCCTGCGGATTGTGCCCCATCCCTCGCAGCTGCCTCTCTGCTGAGGGATTTACATTCTGTGTGATTAAGCCTGAAATGGACAGGAAGCTTTATTGTGCTAGGCTGGCATGGCCTGGAGGAGCAAATTGATAAAGATGCCTGGGTCAGTGGCAAGCTGGGTGGTTCCTAATTTATAAAAACACCTCGAGTTCCATTACTCAGCCCCTTCTTTTCTGCTCCTACCTCCCCACCCTTCCTGTTCAACGCTTCTCTTCCCCTCCTTGCAAAATGGTGACTTATTTATGAAAGGAAAAGGGATTTACTCATAAAGATAAGGCATCAGCCAAACCCACAGCAAGGACATTTCTAGAGAAGCAACATCTGGTGAACAGCAAACATTTGCTGAACTCTTTGTACCCGGTGCTGGGATGTCGGTGATATGACCAGTGACCAGGTTAGGTCCTGCCTCAGCTTTCTGAACACTTAACTTCTTTGTTTCCTCTTTAAAAAATAAATAAATAAATAAAAATAAAAAATATATTAAAAATTTTTTTTAAAAATTAAAAAATGGGATAGTGCTAGTTCCTGTCTTACGGATAGTGGATGCTCAATAAAAAGTAGCATTTAGGCTGGGCGCGGTGGCTCACGCCTGCAATCCCAGCACTTTGGGAGGCTGAGGCAAGTGGATCAGTTGAGATCAGAAGTTCAAAACCAGCCTGACCAACATGGTGAAACCCCGTCTCTACTAAAAATTAAAAAAAAAACTAGCCTGGTGTGGTGGTGTGTGCCTGTAATCCCAGCTACTGGGGAGGCTGAGGCAGGAGGATCACTTGAACTCAGAAGGCAGAGGTTGCAGTGAGCCGAGATTGTGCCATTGCACTCCAGCCTGGGTAACAGAGTGAGACTCTGTCTTAAATAAATAAATAAATAAATAAATAAATAAATAAATAAATATTTAAAGTAGCATTTATCATCATCATTGTCCACCCAGGCTTCCAGATTCCAAACCTTGGCATCTTCCTTAAGATAACCCTCCCCAATGACCCCAGATTGGCAGAAAATATCTCACCCCCTCTCAGGGCAACTCTGTTAGTTCATTTCTCCACTGGGTTTTTGCTTCAGAGGAGGAGGGAAGGGGAGAGAAAGGAAGATCAGGGGAGTGGGGTGTAGGGGAGGGGAGAGTGCTAATATTCACTGGGAAACTCCTTTGGATCAGGCAGCATGGCAGTCATTTCAGACCATTCCAGTTAGCAGCCTCCTGGTCAGGGTCCCTGCCTTGGGTCTCACCCTTTCCTTCAATCCTACACATCAGCCAAGATCTATTTCTCACACACAGTTCTGATCTTATTAGTTCCTGAACTGAAATCTTCGAGAGTTTCTTATGGGCTGTCAGATGAAGGGCATGGTCCTCAGTCTAGCAGCCTAGGCTCTTCATAGTCTGGTCCCAGGAGAACACCTCATACTCTCACCACCAATGCTTCAGTCAGTCCGCCTAGATTGCTTACGTTCTGAGGAATCAGCTTTCACGTCCCCTATGCTTTTGCTCACGCAAATTTTCACTGAGATTGCTTTGAGCTTACTCATAAGTTTGGGAAGGACTGACATCTTTACACTTTTGATTGACTCTTCCAATCCAGGACCATGATATGTCTCTTCATTGATTCCAGCCATTCTTCATGGCTTTCAGTAAAGTATTGTATTTGCTTTCATATAAATCTGGACTATTTTTAGTTAATTACCCAGAGTTTTATATTGTTTTTATTGCTGCTATTATAAATGGGATCCTTTTATATGTATTTTCTAATTACATATTTCTAATCAATGGAAATGCTATTTTTCTTCATGTTCATCTTACATCCCACTACCTTACTGAACACTCCTATTAGCATCAACTACTTTTAGCTGAGTCTCTTGAATTTTTTATATAGACAGACATGTCACTTATAAATCATGGTATTTTTTAGGCTAAACAAGTATGGTAAATTTATCATGAGGATATTGAGGCACCTCACTAAACCCAAAGGCTCAGGAAAAACTAGAATTAGAGTCTCAAATGCCATGAGGATTCTCTCCATATCTCCTATAAACCCAAATTTAACACTTTTATGTTAATTTATTTTTATATGAGTTAAAGTTTACAATTCTTTCCTTGTTTATTTCAACTAGTTTATGCATTAATGCAAAAGATCTTCATGTTATAAAAATACGTATGTATACAAACTGAGCTAAGGATTACTTTTTAAAGACATGCTTTTCAAAATTGTCTGAAAATTCAAACAATGTAAAATAAATTTGTGGGTTTTATTCGACACTGAGATGCATAGATGTTGGTCCATACATAAGCTGTAATCCATTTTTTCTTCTTTCATTTTTTAAAATAACATGCAGGAAAACTGGCATACGGTTCTACGAGTTTCAACACATACACAGATTTGTATAACCACCACCACAATAAGGATGCAGAACAATTCCAAACAATTCCTTTGTGCTGCCCTTTTTTAGTCAATACCTCTTCCCATCCCCAAACCCCGGCAAGCCCTGATCTGTCCTCCATTACTATAATTTTGCCTTTTCCAAGATGTCATATAAATGGAATCATACAAACTGTGGCATTTTGGATCTTCCTAATATTTAGATCTCCTTTTGTATTTTTCTTATCTTACTGCTTTGGCTAGGATGCCACTGGATCCTTTCGGTTTATTTTTGCCTCCCAACTAGACTTTGGGATTCCACATAGTGAAAGTAGTGTCTCCTTCACTACTTCGACCAATTCTTCGCCAATGTAGGTGCTCACTATGTGTTTCTGGAATACATAAAGGCATTATTATCAATAGATGGGCTTCCTCTGGGGGCACCACGTAAGCTTCCCCAAAACCAAAACCCTTTCCCAAGAAAAGATATGTTCTAGCACCTAGCTGGCCCATGGGCCTGTAAAGAAATCCCCCAACCCATCTTCATTAATTTGTCAAGACACATACAAAAACATCTGCCTATTACATGCTCACTGTGCCACATGGAACTGTCAGCCTCTAATTAGAACTAATTAGCTAATGTGGGCTTCAAATTTGGAAGACAAGAAGTTTTGCCTGTGTTCTCAATTGGTGTTAATTATCCTGGAAACCTATTTCAACCCAAAGTCTCCCTCAAAGCATTGAGATGCTCTTTCCCACAGAGGCTCCAGGAGGTAACCAGTGTGATACTGGCTGACAGTTAACAAGACTCTCTTGTATCAAGACCTTAGGGAGAGAAGGACTCATGGCTCTCTACGGAGCTCTATTAATGCTTCCCCCTCAAGAAGACTTTTGTGAAGAATTCAGGATATTCTGGCAATTCCAGAATAGGAGTTTCAAGCTCAACAGCAAATGGAAATCAAATTAGGAGGGGCTGGGTCTAGAACCAGATGTCCCCATTAATGGGGCAGCAGGAAGAGTACCCCAAATCACTTGAGGAGTCCATTTGAGGGGTTGCAATCCAAAAGATATATCCCCTTTCCTAGACTTTGTGGGATGACTGCCTCTTGTACTTGCCAAAAAATGAATGTAACAACTTCTTGTCTTGGGAGAAATTTGTAGTATTTCACACAGAAGGATATATTATGAGAGCATATACATCAAGGCTTCCTGTTCATCTGGTGGTCAGTGCTGGCCTCCCATAGTGTGTGGGGTTTTCCCTTTGTTTCAGAGCCATTGATAAATCTGGATCTATCTACCTACCCAGGTCATGGCCAGAGCAAGGCTCAGAGTTTATGCTGATTCTGGTTGAGCAGCGTGCAAATCGAATTTCCACCATTGAGACACATCCTACTTTATCACCCCTGTGAAATACCCCTACCTCTCACTCAGTGGTTATTCAGGGCCAGTAATGCAGGGAGTCCCCAACAAATGTGATGGGGATAGGACAACGATTGGCTTATGGTAACAGCTTCAGAATCTAAAATTTACTTCTACCCTAACCTCAGCACCAGGAAAAAATAATAAGGCATTAAAGACATAAGTAAATTTTTAAAAATAATTCTTAAAAATCTGGTCCTTTATTAGCTATACTTAGATAAAAGTGAGGTGAGGGAAAAAAAAGGTAGAGGGGGTGGTCATTTTTTCTTCTCATAACAAATCTATTTCTTTCATTGGACTGGATCCTTTCTAATTTGAATTGGTTCAAATTGGAGCTAAATATCTGCAGGTAGGGGTCCTGGGGAAGACAAAAGCATACCAATTAATATGCATTGGAATCACCTGGATATGGTATTAAACTACAGATCCTGGGTGAGCAGGTCCAGGGTGAGGATGAAGGTTCTTCATTTCTAAGAAGCTACTAGGTAATGGTGATGCCACAGACCAGCCGTCCCCAACCTTTTTAGCACCAAGGACCAGTTTTGTGAAAATTTTTCCACAGTCAGGGGGATGGTTTCAGGATGATTCAAGTGCACTACATTTAGTGTGCACTTTATTTTTATTACACTGTAATATATAATGAAATAATCATACAACTTACCATAAAGTAGAATCAGTTGGAGCCCTGAGCTTGTTTTCCTAAAACTAGCTGGTCCCATCTGGAAGTGATGGGAAACAGTGACATCATCAGGCATTAAATCCTTTTTTTTTTTTTTGGTTTTGGTGTTGTTTTGTTTTGAGACTGAGTCTCGCTCTCTTGCCCAGGCTGGAGTACAGTGGCATGATCTCGGCTCACCACAACCTCTCCTCCTGGGTTCAAGTGATTCTCCTGCCTCAGCCTCCCATGTAGCTGGGACTATAGGCGTGCGCCACCATGCCCGGCTAATTTTTGTATTTTTAGTAGAGACAGGGTTTCACTGTGCTGGCCAGGCTGGTCTTGAACTCCTGACCTCGTGATCCACCCGCCTCGGCCTCCCAAAGTGCTAAGATTACAGGTGTGAGCCACTGTACCCGGCCAGGCATTAGATTCTTGTAAGGAGTGCACAACCTAGATCTCTCGCTTTAGCAGTTCACAATAGGGTTCTCACTTCTATGAGAATCTAATGCCACTGCTGATCTGACAGGAGGCAGAGCTCAGGCAGTAATGCTCGCTGGCCTGCCACTCACCTCCTGCTGGTGTGGCCTACTTCCTAACAGGCCACAGACTGGTATTGGTCCATGGCCCAGGGGTTGGGGACCCCTGCTGTAGACCACACTTCTTGAGTAGCAGGTTGTATTCATTTCCTATTGCTGCTGTAACAAATTACCACAAGCTTAATGGCTTAAAATAACATAAATTTATTCTCCTACAGTTGCATAAATCAGAAAGCTGAAAACAGGTCTTACTGGGCTAAAATAAAGGGGTCAGCTGGGCTCTGCTCCTTCTGGAGGCTCCAGGGAGAATACTTTCCTTGCCTTTTCCAGTTTCTAGGGATGCCCACATTCCTTGGCTCATGGCCCCTTCCAGAAATGACAGCACTCCATCCTCTGCTTCTATCACATCACCTTCTTTAAATCTGACCCCTGCCTCCCTCTTATGAAGACCCTTGTCATTACATTGACTCCCACATGGATAATCCAGGATAATCTTCGCATCTCAGGAACCTTAATTTAATCACATCTGCAAAGTCTTTTTTGCCATATAAGATGATATGTTCAGAGATTCTGGGGATTCAGTCATGAACATTTTGAGGGGAAAGGTGATTACTATTCTGTCTACCACCCAAGGGATCAGTTCATCTGAAGAAGATTGAGAAGGGCACAGTGGTAATTGGGTAGATAGATGGTGGGTATTTGGAGTAGGTTGGGATCATACAATGACGAGGGGCTGCAATGAGGCACTATTTCTAGTTCCTTGCATTTGGGCAGATGAGGGAGCAGGCCACAATAGCTACCAGAGAGTCTGAGAGTAGGTACTGGGCCCTGGGATGAAATTAAGACAGGTCTTTAGGGACTGCAAGGGGGCATAGTTAGGGGCCTGGGACTGACCAACTCTAAAAGTGATGGAAGGCTTAACCTGCCACATGGCTATTCCAAGTCTCATTTGACTAAAGACATGAATCTAAAAAGTTCTTGGCTTCTCTCCCTCACTACCTCAACTCCCAGTGGGACCTGCTTCTCCGGCCCTAATGATGACCAGCAAGGAGGAACTGGTTGGCAAACTGTAAGTGACAGATGCCTTGAGGGAAAGTGACTGTATCAGCTCAGGGTTCCTAATGGCTGAGAAAAGGTTGGACACACATCCTGAAACTGAAAGCAGCTTTCAGAAAGTCCTAATAAAAACTGTCATCAGATGTGACAGAGATGACGACTCAGGGCAGCTCTCAAAGCCCCAGTTCTGAGCATTTGTGGCTCCAGGAAGAGAGGTGGAGCCTACACATAGAGATCTCCCCAGGGACTTGAGTTTTGAAAAGTCAGGTGAAGATGGAAAATTGACACATCACCAAGGGCTGGCTGGTATGAGTGTGACACTGATGGGTAAAATGGATAGGGAAGCTAAAGCCCCAAGGAACTGGGACTGAAAAATTGTTCAAAATATGATAGGGTTCTGTGGCTTGGTTTAGAAGATCAAGGAGATCTGCTTGCATGAGAGGAGGCCAGTGCCTGGGTCTTGGCTGGACATTCTCATTCACCCACCCTTGCCCCACCCTGCCCATCCCTACTCTCCTATGAATCCCAAGAGAATGACTTCTATGGCTCTATCACCAACCTCTCTTGCTCTCTGGTTTCAGCTAGGCTTAGCCAATAAAAAACACAAGGAGGAGATAGAAGAGTGGACGTAGAGGAAAGCCAAGACATTTATTTTCTTAAGTCCTGCTAAACCAGAGTAAGCCACGGCTGCATTCCCCTACCCAAGGCCACAGCTCCTACCACTTGGCCCTCTCCTAAAATTATAGGTCTCTTTTGGGTTCTGCTAATGCTACTCAGCAGGGTGGGGAAGGAGCCGGCTGGAAAACCTTTTCTCCTGACCCCAGAGCCAGTCCTTGGCTCTTCTATCAGCTACTATGGACCCTCCCTGGGCCCTGGGCTCCCCCGATGTTCACCAAGGAGCAATACTCAGGACTTTAGACACCACTTTTCAAGGCCATGCATATTGGCTTAGCAGACCATAGCAACAAGAGCCAACAATTGTCACATACGTACTCCATGCAGGTCGCTGCTCAATCATGTGCCTTGTACTCACCCATCTAATCCTTGCTACAATGCTACAGGGTTGTCCTTTGCTGTGCTAGGAGATGGATGCAGAGGTCAGCTATGGTCCCTTCCCTTCAGGAAACTCAAAGTCTAAAGGGGGAGACAGGCAAGCTCACAGAAATCTCAGTGTATTTATATATAATAAAAACAACAGTAAAGCTTTGATGAGTGTTTGCTACTTGTCAGGCCTTCATTTGGATCATTTGATTTTTCACAGCCGCACTATGAAGTAAAGGAGTGTTGTTACCATTTTTACAATGAGAAAACTCAGGCTTAGAGAGCTGGTGATTTACAAATGCAAGGGGTTTCAAAGAAGCTGAATGCAGGTCTTTCTGACTCTAGAGCTGGTACTTTTAACCCTCTCATTACATCATGCCACCTGCATGTGAATGTGTGTCTCCATGCTGCACAAAAGGGACCACCACTCCTGGCTTTTGGAGAAAATAGGTAATCAATATAAATCTATATGGAGAGATATATATGTTAGATGGATAATATGCAGAAATATGGTTTTAATAAAAGAGCAATTAGCAAAGTATCAATTGGCTACATAGCTATTCCCAAAGGATTAGGGTCCATCTGGTAGAGAGATCCCCAATGATACACAGTAGGGGCAGGCAACCCGTGTGTGTGTCAAAGTTAGGCACACACCCTGTGGCATCTTAGGGCAGAACAAGGCAGTGGCTGTTCCCTCCCTAGGCTGACAGCTCCATGGCACTTTGAGCAAGTAACTTGGTGGGGTGAATCTCTCTCTTGCCCCCTATTCTAATACCCTGGGCAAGAACATTGCAGTTCCTGAGGAGGGTTGCCTGTCCATCATAGGTTGGAACAGCAGGCCATGCAAGGGGCACATGGATTCATTCCCCAGCTTCTCCAATCAGGCCCCATCTTCATTTTGCAAACTTTGCAGAATGTGCTTGGCAAATTCTGTACCCTGATAGTGTGCCATGGAGCTTGAGCTTTGTTCTTGGATTTATTCTGTCCCAAACTATTGTTGGTGACTTGTAGAAAGATGTAATCTGCCTAGTGATACAGGTGTAAATGTCAGGGGAAAAAGAACAAAAACTAAGAGCCACAGAGAAACATTGTAAGGAGAGATTTCTGCTCATTCTCAGGAATCTCTCTCCACTCATCAGTGGGAGAATGGATTTTACCTACTAGAGGTCTAAGGGGATAGAACTTAAAAGTGCGTTCCCTTGTGACTGGAGATGTTCAAGCACAGAGGTTGGCATGGGTGCATTATGGCATTGACTCCCCCAGAGATGGGTGATTGAAGAGCTTGTGAGGTTGTGAGTTTCCATCTTGTTTGCCCAAGGCAGATATTTTGAGCTCTTCAAGAAAAAGCCTTTCTTTTCTCCTGGCTGGGTCTAACCCCTAGGTCTTGGCCTTCATGGCATCCCTGGTCCCCTTCCCTCAGCGCGCCCAGCACCAGTGCCTCTAACCTGCCTTATTCCCTATCTGTTAGTGCTGCCCTCTTCACACCACCTCTCAGGGAGCCCAGAGCACAATTTTCCCACATTCCCACCTCCCTTTCCCTCTCCCAAGGCACCCATGCTGTCTGCTCGACACCTCCTCCCCTCAATCATAGTTGTGGGTGATTCTGTGGGTGTCTATGTTCAGGCACTGATATGTCTACAAACTAGGACTCATTTAAAAGGAAACAAGATATATTCAAAGCTTGAAAAATTCCCCCAGAGTTTGGCAAAGTCTCATTTCTTTCTGGAAAACAATGTAGCCTGAAGCAGATTCTGTCTTTACATTTTGGGTGGGATAGGAAGAAGCTCTGATCTGAGGTGGTGAGGGACTCAGAAACCAGACCTGGTTCCTTAATAAAGGATGTGTGGTTTTCAAAAAGTCACTTCCCCTCTCTGAGCCTCAGTTTCCTCAATTATAAAATAATGGGACTGGATTAAGAGATCACTCAAGATCCTTCTGATTTTATACTTTCATTTTACTTGGCATGTTCTGTTCCCAAATAGTCCTGGAACTCAACAGCCATGCCAACCACTAGAATGAAGGCTTTGGCTCTACTTATATAACTCAGCCTTTCACCCCCAAAGCAGCTCTTTCTCCTGTATTCATCCTGGTTGGCTTCCTTCACCCAGTAACTTAAACCTAAAAAATCACCTAGACTTTTTGAGTCTCACTCTTTGTCATAGCCCATAGCTGATCAATCACCAAGTTCTATCTATGCTAATTTTTAAAAATCTCTTGTGTGTAAACTTTCTTCCCCAGCCCATTGGCCTTGCCCAGTTCAGGCCCCTATCAACTCTCATAGATTTTTGAAACAGTTTCCTACCTGATTTCCTGACACCAGTGGTTATATTCCCTCCTATACCAGCTGCTAGAGTTAAAAGCCCCAAAAACACAAAACTGTGCTCAACATCCCCGCCCCAAGAATCTTCAGTGGCTCCCCACAGTCTAGAAAATAATACCTAAATGTGTACCCTGCCCTTCAAGGCTTTGTGATCTAAAACCCTGTCTATGTATCTGTCAGAGACTCAAAAATGATAAGGACAATAATGTTACATTTTTTTGTGCCAAGCTCTGTGCAAGAACTTTACATGGAATATCTCAAGTCACAACTCAGCGAAGTCAGCCTGGCTGCAGGTGTTTCCAATCACTCCTTGACTTTAAGGAACTTGAAATATTTTGGATTCTGATGTGCCCTCTCAATTCCAGTATCCATATACCCTAAAGCTCAAATTAGACATGTTACATCATTCGCAGAAAAAAAAATCTAGGTCCCTATCAAGAGAACCATGAAAATGCAGAATAATATGGGGGCAGGTATCCTAAAGCAATTAGCTAAGAATAAAGATAAACCAGTATGTCATCACATAACCGTTTAGCTTCATGCAGATTGCGGTCAAGATACCAAGAATTAGGAGAGGGAATTGAATTCAAAATTTTTTGCAGCTTCTTCTTCCAGTTAATTCTAATTCTCTTTGAAAATTAGGCTTCCATATGGTTAATATTAGGGCTCTGTAACATTAGGAATCTGCAGCCTTAGCTCATTAATACTCATTAACAGGGAAGGCTCATAATAATAACCCTTCGCATCTGTGCGGCCCTTTATGGTTTTAAAGTGACGCCATATGCATTATCTCATTTAATTGCCTTTAATCCTTGGGATTTAGGGTTCAGCTAAATATGTTCACTGACTGAGGATAGGGATAACCCCACTCAGGGATCATAGGGGAAGATGAGAAGACAAGGGGTGCCTGTGATGTAATGAAGAGATGCAGGGGGTAAATTAGTGAAGTGTAACGCTCTGAATTACAGAATATTTTTAAAAGCAATGCTGTCAAGACTGCTTGCAGGGAAATAAAGGAACAGAAAAAGATCTATCTTTAATGAACAGCTAAGAGTTCACTTATAATTAGCACATCAGAGTGTGGCCCACTGAAGACTGGCCTTGGCTTCTTTTGCAGCAATGTGCTTGAAAAACCATAATCTCTACCTGGATAAATATCTTTCCTGCCCTTTGCCTTCATTTTTTTCATAAGCCAAGGGTGATGCTCCCCCTTGTGCAGTGTGGACACACACATTCACATACATGTGGTGTAATAAGAGGGTTAAAAGTGCTAGTTCTGGCATCAGAAAGACCTGCACTCAGCTCCTTTGAAACTTCTGGCATTTCCAAGTCACACTCACTCTGTAAGCTTGAGTTACCTCAGCTGTAAAAATGGTAATAATACTTCTTTACTTCATAGTTGGCTATAAAAAAATCAAATCAATTAACCCAAATGAAGACTTGACAAGTAGCAAATCTTCACCAAAGTGTTACTATTGTTTTGATATTATTATTATTATTTTGTATAGACAGGATCTCACTATGTTGCCCAGGCTGGTCTTAAACTCCTGACCTCAAGCAATCCTCCTACCTCAGCCTCTCAAAGTGCTAGGATTACAGGCATGAACCACTGTGCACAGCCTATTGTTATTTAAATACACTGAGATTTCTGTGAGCTTGCCTGTCTCCCCCTCTAGACTTTGAGTTTCCCCTAGGGCAGAGATCACAGCTGACCTCTGCATCCATCTCATAGCACAGCAAAGGACAACCCATAGCATTGCAGCAAGGATCAGGTGGGTCAATCCAAGGCACTTAACTGAAAAGTGACCAGCACCGAGTAAGTACGTGATAACTGTCGGCTCTTGTTGCTATGGTCTGTCAAGCCAATATGCGTGGCCTTGAAAAGTGTCTAAAGTCCTGAGCAATGCTCCTTGGTGAATATTTGGGGAGCCAAAGTCCATAGAGTTCCATAGTAGCTGATGGAAGAGCCAGTGACTAGCCCTGGGGTCAGAAGAGAGGGTTCCCCAGCTGGCAATCCCCTTATGTTGCTGTGGAACTCCAGGCAGCTCACTTGCTCTCCAGGCCTACATTTCCCCATCTTTTAACTGAAAGTAGAGTAGGAGGCTCCTTAATGACCTCCCAACTTGAGACTGTACACTACAAGGCTAGAGTTGTTAATGGGCTTGTATGGGCCTGCCTTCTAGTAAGTGTGTTACCACAAAAAAATACACTGAATCTTTCTGAGCACCAGTTGCAGCCTGTGTAAATGGGAAGTGATATTGTCTGCATTGAATAGTTGTAAGGAAAAAATGAAGTGAGCTATGAGAGCCAATAACCATCTCAGTCTTTGGAAACACATGGTGATAAGCAGCTATTCTTCCAACAAGCTTACCTGTAGATGACGTCAGTCTCACAGGTTAGGTTCTCAAGATGTGGCCTCCAGACCAGCAGCATCACCATCACCTGAGAACTTGTTATAAATGGAAATGCTCCAGCCCTTCTTGAGAGCTCCTGAATCAGAAACCCTGAGGGTGGGGCCCGCCATCTGTTTTAACCAGCCCTCCAGGTAATCCTAATGCACACTTAAGTTGGAAAACCACAGCTCTGCAAAGGTCGGTGATGGGGAAATGGGCTATATCTGTTAAACTGAGGCAACTGGAGCACTGGAGATCAGAAGTCTGTGTCAGATCCTGACCGTACTACTTACTATCTATGGAAAGTTGAACAAATAATTTACCACCTGTTAGCCTCAGTTCCCTGATCTTTGAATGAATATAATGACCATCCTTCCAAGTCCTTCTAGTTTCTCAGGGATTACAATACCTCCTAGAGTGGCTTTGTGGAATTAACATGCACAGAGTAATGTCTTGGCCTTGCATAGAGTTCCAGCTGTCAGATTTTTGTTTACTCTCCCCTCCCCTCTGGTCAAACAATTTTCTTCATATTTCACTGAAAATGCTCAATTCTTTTTGACCTTTGCAGTTTGCTCCTGCTGTTCACTTTATCTTGGTGCTCCTTAAATGTTAATATGGCACATGAAGTACTTGGATAGCCCATTAAAATGCAGATTCTGATTTCTCAGGTCTGGGGTGGAGTCTGAGATTCCGCATTTCTAACAAGTTCCCAAGCGTTGCTGATGCTACCAGTTTGTAGACCACACTTTGAGTAATAAAGATCTAGCCCACATGACCATCTCCCAATGTCCACCTAATAAGGTCCTGCACCTTCCACCAAGACACTGACAATAGGTTAAAGTATGAGTTGGAGAACAGAGAGAGTCCCTAGGGGAGAGAATACTTCGACAGTCCCTCCATGAGATGGTCTGTGCTCCAATTAGGGAAGATGGCAGGAAGAATCATTTGAGGAAGGACATGACTGAGAAATTAGAGCAAAGATCTTGGGCTGACTGATCACGGAGCTGTAAAGAGCACCAACTTCAGCAGATTTATCCATTGAGTCAGAGAATAATGGAGGAGGAGCCAGTGAGTAGGAGAGGAAGCCTGTAATCAATCTGGGCATGCATGGACACTCATGAACACTCTGGGTTTGGAGTACCCATAGGTCATCCAGCTGCAGACGTCAAATAGCCATTTGGATATTTGGGTGTGGCACTCAACAGAGAGCTTGGTGCTAAAGGCTGAAATTTGGAGGTCACCTGCATGCAGAAGTTGTCATAAATTTGGCTGAGATTGTCCAGAAGGGGATAGAGAAGGTACCAGAACTACCTATGTGGGTGCAGGGTGCACACATGCACTCTTCTATGCCTGTCCTATCTCATCCCCCAAAACCGAACCAACCCAGGGTGTCTGTGGGGATGGAGATCTAGATAGGAGCTTAGATATCTCCTTGATGGAAAAAAATGTGAGAATTTTGGAAGCAGTTAAATCTGGATTTGAACCTCAGCTCTGCTGTCTCCTAGCTGTGTTGACCTCAAGGATGTTGACTCACTTCTCAGAGCTTCCATTTTCTTATCTGTAAAAGGAGAACTGTAACACCTTCCCAGCTGAGTAGATGGAGACTCAATGTGATACATGCATGTTTATAGGGTGCTTCCTGACACCCAGGAGGCACTCAGGAAATGTGAGTGGACTTCTCCCTTCCCTCCCCATTGCTGCCTGAAGGTGAGTAATTAAATGGTTCTTGGTGGTGACACTCTTAGGTAGTGGCCGTTTTCAAACATGTGCTTCATGCGGTGCAGGATGTCTGACCTACCCAAAACAGAGATTTCTTTCACCATCTTTCTATGTTTCACCAAGGAATAGAGCCCCATGCACCTCTCTTTTGTTCCATCCCTAGGCCTGTACCTGGCCTTAAAACTACAGCTTCCCACATCCCCAGACATTATATCCCAGAGTAAAAGTTTGTTGAATGAATATCATTTACCTATGAGAAATCCCAGGCTCAGAGATGTCAAGAAACTTACCCCAGGTCACTGCTGCCTTAAATCCAGGGTCACACAGCTGAATGTAAAACCCATGAAATTTTCACTTTTCAAATGACACTAAGAGTGTTAATTGATTTTTATTTTTAATTCTACTTCTCTCAAGCCAAATTTGATGGTCTGAAAATGGATCCAAATGGCTTCTGCATTTGCCAAGGTCATTCCCTATCTATCCAAGGGCAGAATTCTGCCCAGGAGTCATTGTGTGTAGAGGCTGCCTCTAGTGACCTTGCTGTGGGAAAGTTTTCCCTGGGGTGTAATGGACCTAACGTGTCAATGCTGTTTTTCCTGGCTTTCTGCTGCCTCCTGTTCATGTGAAAACTCCCTCCCAAGGACAAAGCTCTAGTCAAAATGGTTGATATTGCATTATGCTCTTGAGAACTAGAAAGCAATTCACAGCAGCAAGAAAAAAAAAACAGATGATGTTAGGAAACAAGTGTAGCAGCTCCATCCCTCAGGTTTTCAACTGGGCTTCCTGGGAAAGGGCAAGCAGCAGACCCTTCTTTCTTCCTCACCCCTCTGGCTGTCTTCACCTATTACGAAGCTGAGTGGGACCTCCACCTGCCCATCAGACACTCCAGTATTATCATCATCAGCCAGCACTTCCCTAAGATTTCTTGGGCTCTCTTGATTTCAAAAACAATTGTGCTCCCCTGCTAACAGATCTGTACTTCCTAAAACCTTTCATTAAACAGGAAGACAAGGTGAACAATTTAGAGCTCGTGGTTCAAGCTTAACAGCATTCGGCCCAAGCAACTGTACGTAACTAGGAAGCAGAGACAGAATGTTTATTAATAATGCACCAGCTATAATTACCAAGCCTCCACAAGATCAGCACACTCACCCATCTGCTTTGGTCTCTACCATACACTGCTTTCCACCCTGAACCCACACAGAAGAATTTGCAAAGGCCTAGGAATTCTTCCCCAGATGTCAAGAAGCCAGCAGTCTGCAAATCTCCAAACCAACTTCATAATAGTTTGTAATTACATATATGTTTGGTTATTTGATTAAATGTTTGTCTTCTCCTCTAGACCGTGAACTCCATGAGGACAGGGCCAGGGCCTGGTTTGTTCATAGTAGGCACTCAATATTTACAGCATGAGTGAATGAATAAAGGATGCACATGGAAAGGGTGGAATGTCTCTTTTCCTTGTCTCTATATTCTGCCAGTCAGCCACAAGGCATGCTGGGAGCCAGTGAGGAGGAAGGGAGGAATACAAGGGCTTGGGAGCTAAACCAGCCGTAGTGATCTGGACCCTGTGAGGACTGGCACTGGAATTACGTCTGAAGGAGGTTATGAACCATCTCCCACTAAGGGCCCAAATGAGTGGTTCCTGAGTAGGTAGAAGGTATGTTTTACAATGGCACTGGATGGGACCAGGTGGTGAAATGGTCAATGAGGCCTGTGTCGATGCTGTCTTGTATTATCAAGACATGTGTCCATCACAGCAGGACACATATGTCCTGCCTTTGCACAAATAAGTGAACCTGATCTGTTTCCCAGGACCAGCGATGAGAACTGCCTAACCAAACTCACGTTTGACCTTGAGCAGGAGTGAATCAATGCTTTACTCATCACAACTCTTGAACCAGGAGCTGTTTATTCCTACATAGCAGCCAATGTGACCATGAAGTGGGATCAAAATCAAAACAGAAGAGTGGGGTGGGAGTTCCAAGCAGAAGGCAGCTTTCAGCACACATGGCTGGGTGCCCTACTCTTGGCCCCTCACCCTCAATCACATCAGTGCTGCACCTCCAACTGCCACACCTGCAGTTCTTTGCCTCAGGGCTTTCTCCTGTTTCCAAAGCTCACTTTTGCCCATGTAAGTGGCAGACCTGGAGGTGCTAGAAAATTAACATTCAACCCTCCTCCCCACACCTCCTCAACTAACGACTGATGGGAGTTGATGTATAAATACCCCAGTTCTCTCACTCTTCAGGGGAGGATGACTCTGTGATGTGATATACACTGGCTCCCAGACACTCCCCAGTGGGTTAAGCTCCAGTCAGCACAGCATTAGCAAAGGTGGGTTTGCTAATGTAACTTTTACTAGCTGCCTTTCCTTCCCAGTTTCCTGCTCCCTCTCCATGCTTCCTAGGATCAACTCTTAAACTACACCCACTTGGATCTTTGCCTCAGTTCTCCTTTTGGAGAAACCTAAACTAATACAACATCGTATGTGTAAAGGCCAGGAGAGGAGAAACAAGAGGGGAATGAGAAATGCCAAAATGTGTTCGTTGAAGGTGGTACAGATAACAGGAGATGGGAACAGGGCGATTGAAGCAGAAGGCTAGGGACAACCCTAAGGGGCCTCCTATACAAGTCAGGGGATTCTGGTTTTGTCTGGAGGGCAGTCACCATCTGTTGCTTGGGAAACAGTGTTGCAGACTGTTGTGCTGCAGTGCTGCATGTGAGAATGGCTCTTGGGGTCAAAAGTGACCCAACAGTATCTAATCCTGCCCCCTTCCAATATGTGAATCCCTTCCACAGCATCCCCATGGCTGTTTGAACGCTCCCAGTAGAGTGAGAGCTCACTCTCACCAAGGTCTACCTAACTTACAGAAAGTTCTAAAAATAGCCCTCTTATTTCTTAGAAAGATCTCATTGTTCTACCACATGAAAGTCCTGAAATATATAAACTGTCTCTTCCCTGACTCTTCTCTTCTCTAGGCTCAGTCTGTCCATTTCCTTCCACCATTCTCCATGTCACAAGGTCACCTGTCTCTGCCCCATCTCAGGCCCTGTCCTCTACATGCACTCTAGACCCTTAGCTTTGGGAATGATATTCCAGGTGTCATCCAACTAGCCCAGAACACAGGAGGCTTCCAGTATCTGCTTCCAGAGTGTCTTTAGCTCAGTAGGCCAATATAACTACACACATAATGACCCTGACCCACAGCAAGCTGTTGACTAAAACCACTTTTAGCCCCTCACTCATTCATTCAACATATGTTTTATTGCATACTTATTGTGTGCTAGGCACTGTTGCAAGTGCTGGTTATGGATCTACATTTTTTTTAAAATCCCTTATTTTATGGAGTTTATATTCTAGAGCAGAAGTTGGAAGACTACTTCAAATCTGGCCTGCTGCCTGTTTTTGTAAATAAAGTTTTATTGAGACATTACCATGCCCACTTGTTGGTTTCTATATTGTCTGTCAGTTTTCACACTACAGCAGCAGAATTGAGTAGTTGTGGCTGAGACCACCTGGCCCACAAAGCTGAAAATCTTTTCTCTCTATCCCTTTATAGGAAAAGCGTGCTAACCCTCACTCCAGAACAGCTACTGGAATGCTACATGCAAAGACCCTGCTCTCTTAAAGCTTGTGTTCTAGAAGCTTATGATGCACCAGGCAACATTTGGGACATCAGGATTCTGCAGTTTGCAATCAAAGAATCTTCCCTCATGAAATATTCTAAAACGCCAATTATGTATGTGCCCTGCTCTGTGCATGGCATGCATACAGAGGTGAACTTGACTGATAAAATCCTTACCTCCATGGGCTTCCCAATCTGGTTGAGGATAAGGTAATAAACAAACATGCAAAAACATAGCTTTGGGTGACAATAAATGCTATGAAAAAAGGAAGCAGGAGCTGGGATGTCCTTGTAGGGGCTGCCATCCTCTGTCTCCACAATCCTGTCCCTGTGCAGCTGTTTTGGATACACACAGAGACCCTGCTATGGATGTAGTCCTGCTACATTCCATCTGGTTGGGCTAGACTTTTGGTCCTGGGCTACTGAGATGTAAACTCAATCCCATTGGCCACTTCAGCAGGATCCCTAGAGGACTGGCCCGACCTCAAGCCCTAAGGAGGCGGTGCCTACAGATGCACAATACACCTTGTGTGTCCTCTCATCTCCTCCTTTCAAAAGGAGAACAGCTAGATGGGTGTGTGTGTGTCTAACACTTTAAAGGAATCTTTACTGCTTCTTTTAACTAAAGCATTTTTCCACGCAAGTTCCCCTGCTCAAGCGTTACTTCTAATTACCATTTTCCTTTTACGGTGTGTTGTGTGGAGCTGCACAGAAGTAAGCTCATGGTGAGCAAGGGCCCCAGGGTGGCAGAGAAAATAAGGCCTTGCTATTAGAGGACTCGGTGAAGCGGCAGCTTCTGCATCTTCCCGGCAGGGGAGAAAAACGGTCCAGAAACTGCACTGTACTGGGCCGGACACAGCTCAGTAGAACCTGGCTCTGAGAAGGCTTTGTAAAGTAAGGAAACACCATTGGCTTTGAGGGATTATGAAAGTTCTACCCAGAAGCTCTACCCAGGACCCACCAAGACCTGACTTCCTCATGCATGCTTTGTGTTCTTTCAACACATATGCAGGGATCGTCACAATGAGGCTTGGATATGTCAAGCTCTTATATGTGTGGAATGCACATATACCAAGCATTTAGAATGGTGCCTGGAAGACAGTATGTACTCGATAAATCCTTGATTGTTATTATGATGATGTGTAGGCACCATCTTCATTTATTCATTCATTCATACATTCAACTTTCTAGCAAACACTGGCGAGAATCAATGACATCCCAGACTACTGGAGATACAGAGATGAACACAGTAAGGATGGATACAACTTGTCCAGAAATGAGATATTGGGTCAGGGAGAGGGAGGGCTAAAGGATTGCAACACCATCTTGTAAATAAAGTTTTACAATACTCTCTTAGAAGGATGGTATTTGTAGGGGTGGGTTGCCCCTACACACCTGTGGGTGTTTCTCGTAAGGTGGGACGAGAGATTTGGAAAAGAAAAAGACACAGAGACAAAGTATAGAGAAAGAAATAAGGGGAACCGGGGAACCAGCGTTCAGCATATGGAGGATCCCGCCAGCCTCTGAGTTCCCTTAGTATTTATTGATCATCTGTGGGTGTTTCTCAAAGAGGGGGATGTGTCAGGGTCACAAGACAATTGTGGGGAGAGGGTCAGCAGACAAACACGTGAACAAAGGTCTTTGCATCATAGACAATGTAAAGGATTAAGTGCTGTGCTTTTAGATATGCATACACATAAACATCTCAATGCTTTACAAAGCAGTATTGCTGCCCGCAGGTCCCACCTCCAGCCCTAAGGCGGTTTTTCCCTATCTCAGTAGATGGAGCATACAATCGGGTTTTATACCGAGACATTCCATTGCCCAGGGACAGGCAGGAGACAGATGCCTTCCTCTTGTCTCAACTGCAAGAGGCATTCCTTCCTCTTTTACTAATCCTCCTCAGCACAGACCCTTTACGGGTGTCGGGCTGGGGGACGGTCAGGTCTTTCCCTTCCCACGAGGCCATATTTCAGACTATCACATGGGGAGAAACCTTGGACAATACCTGGCTTTCCTAGGCAGAGGTCCCTGCGGCCTTCCGCAGTTTTTGTGTCCCTGGGTACTTGAGATTAGGGAGTGGTGATGACTCTTAAGGAGCATGCTGCCTTCAAGCATCTGTTTAACAAAGCACATCTTGCACCGCCCTTAATCCATTTAACTCTGAGTTGACAGAGCACATGTTTCAGAGAGCACAGGGTTGGGGGTAAGGTTATAGATTAACAGAATCTCAAGGCAGAAGAATTTTTCTTAGTACAGAACAAAATGGAGTCTCCTATGTCTACTTCTTTCTACACAGACACAGTAACAATCTGATCTCTCTTGCTTTTCCCCACAGGTATTGTCATTCACTGAGACTGGAAACAAGGAAAGGTCTGCACTGGAAGGAATTGGGTCATGAGTAGGTTTGGGAGCATGATGAGTAGAGATGTCTGTGGATATCCCAGTAGAAACATTCACTGGGCAGTTGGGTATATGGGCCTGGAGCTCAGGGAGAAGTCTGGTCAGTCCTAAGCTGTGGCTTGGGGCTGCCTGAGCATCTCCTCCTGCAGATCTGGCCTAATGCTCAGAGGAGACCAGAGAGGGGTTACCGGGACCTTGAGGGTGTTAGCATAGATTAGCTTTCAGAGCTTCATTATTTACTTGAAGACCAAGGGCACTGATTAGCCTTGGACCTCTGCCCAAGAAACGGGTGGGCCCAACTCATAGGCCACATTTTATGCATCTATGTATACATATATATCCCTCTATTATATATATAATACATATATATAATGTCTATATTATATATGTATTACATATGTAATATATAATAGCTATATTATATATAATAAACATAAGATATTTTATATGTATATAAAATACACACAATCTCTAGTGTACTGTTTGCCCTGTCCCAAATCCTTTACAAAATTAACTTACATCCTTGCTGCAACCCTATGATTAGCTAATATTATTAAGTTTTATAGACAAGAAAAGATGACAGACAGAGAGGTTAAGTAACTTGTTTACAGTCTCACAGCTATTAAGTGATACAAGCCGGGATTCAAACTCGGTCTGGCTCTAGGTCTCCGCTCTTAACTGTTGTGTTGTTGCTTCTTCCCAGCACCGGTGCAGCTCCTGCATGCGCCTAGAGAAATGTACCCATCCCCCTACCATGCCTGGAGCTGGCTGGGGTCACAGGAAGGGCAGGGGTCTCCTCTGCCAAAGCCACAGGCAGCCCCTTCCCTGGGGCCCCTCTCCATGGGCCCCTTTCCTCAGACAGAAACCCAGCCCCTGCTTCTAGCCTCTGCTCCTTCCTACTGGCTCACATGCTGTGCCAAGGACAGTCCCAGGGCCCCGGGCACAGCAGCGGGGACTGGAGTCTTGGCAACAGGATGTTGGCTCAGACTGCTTCAGTGTGGGCCGCCTCCTCCAGCTTTATTAGTCGTCTTTTAAAATAGACTTTTCTATTTCAAACACCTCCACTTACCACTTGCTGCTCATCTTTCAGCACATCCACTGTGTTTCCCTGTCATCGGAATATGCTACACGGAATATCACAGACATGCTGACTGTTTGTGAAAGAGCAGCCTCTTGAGAAAGAGTTTTCTTTTCCTCTTTTAATTATGTCATTTTCCAGCTGGCCTTTTTCTTTTTGAAAGGTGAGCTTCTGATTACTGATTGTTCAACCACTAATTTCAACATCTTGATCACACTTACTGGATTGAGGCAGGAAGCATCTTCAGCTGATCATGCACGTCTACCTTCTTACTTTGCAAATGAAGCAGCTATATCTCAGAGATGGAGCTTGGCTTGTCTGAGATCACACAGCCAACTAGTGGCTGAGCTGGGGCTGAAACATGAACCAGTTAACATTGC
Organism: Homo sapiens; assembly: GCF_000001405.40. Classification (NCBI taxonomy): domain Eukaryota; kingdom Metazoa; phylum Chordata; class Mammalia; order Primates; family Hominidae; genus Homo; species Homo sapiens. The sequence goes on along the minus strand of NC_000020.11, from coordinate 41,969,371 downwards.
AGTGTGAGGATTTAATAATAGCAAGAATCATGTTGATAATAATTCATATTTATCACACTGTTACAGTTTGCAAAGCATAAACTTTAGTTCTCAGATCTCTGGACCCTCCGTGTTCTACGGATCATGTGCATGGCTGTCTCCCCTAAGGAGAAAGGACCTTCTCCTTCCAAAGCCAGATATCCACTCTACCAACTTCTGAGATTCCAAGAGCTACCATCCTGTAAGAACAGAGTGCCCATGATGACATTTGAGTTTCATCAAGGGGTAATGAGCCCTTACTGGAGAGCCTCGTGTTAATCCTATAGTCACCCCAGGGCTAACTCTGCAGTCAGACTCCTCCATCTCCCCAGACACCACCTCTCCCTCCTCTTTCTGGTGGCTGTGTTTCCCCATGGGGTGGCAGGAGGGCACTTGGCTTCCTCCACTAAACAATGAGATGTCTTCACAGTAAAGTCACAGCAATGACAAGTGTCAACACTGCAAGACACACAGAAAGTGTTTCATCCAACTCTCCTGCTTTGAAGATCAGGAAGCAGAGGCCCAGGGAAGGGAAGGAACTTGCTCAAGATTACACTGATTTGACACGAGAAACTACCTCAATCAGTTGTCTATTGTCCTCTGTATTCTAAACAGCCAGCACTAAATGTGCTGGGTACTCTCTGCCTCTGGCTAAATGCTAGCTTGAGCATGGTTTCTTTATTGTCTTGTTAAATAAAAATGGTCCTGAATTTGCTGGTAAGATGATCGAATACGAACAGCTCTGGTCTGCAGCTCTCAGCGAGATCGACGCAGAAGGTGGGTGATTTCTCCATCTCCAACTGAGGTACCCAGTTCATCTCATTGGGACTGGTTGGACAGTAGGTACAGCCCACAGAGGATGAGCCAAAGCAGGGTGGGGCGTTGCCTCACCTGAGAAGGGCAAGAGGTCGGGGAATTCCCTGCCCTACCCAAGGGAAGCCGTGAGGGACTGTCCCGTGAGGAAGCATGCACTCTGGCTCAGATACTGTGCTTTCCCCATGGTCTTCGCAATCCGCAGACCAGGAGATTCCCTCTGGTGCCTATGCCATCAGGGCCCTGGGTTTCAAGCACAAAACTGGGCGGCCATTTGGGCAGACACAGAGCTAGCTGCAGGAGGTTTTTTTCACACACCAGTGGCACCTGGAATGCCAGCGAGACAGCAAGACGGAACCATTCACTCCCCTGGAAAGGGGGTTGAAGCCAGGGAGCAAAGTGGTCTGGCTCAGGGGGTCCCATCACCACAGAGCCCTGTGAGCTAAGATCCACTGGCTTGAAATTCTCGCTGCCAGCACAACAGTCTGAGGCTGATCTGGAACACTGGAACTTGGTGGGGGTAGGGGCATCCACCATTGCTGAGGCTTGAGTAGGCGGTTTTACTCTCACAGTGTAAAGAGAGAGAAGAATCAAATAGACGCAATAAAAAATGATAAAGGGGATATCACCACTGATCCCACAGAAATACAAACTACCATCAGAGAATACTATAAACAACTCTACACAAATAAATTAGAAAATCTAGAAGAAATGGATAAATTCCTGGACACATACACCTTCCCAAGTCTAAACCAGGAAGAAGTTGAATCCCTGAATAGACCAATAACAAGTTCTGAAATTGAGCTAGTAATTAAGAGCCTACCAACCAAAAACAAAGCCCAGGACCAGATGGATTCACAGTCGAATTCTACCAGAGGTACAAACAGGGGCTGGTACCATTCTTTCTGAAACTATTCCAAACAATAGAAAAAGAGGGAATCCTCCCTAACTCATTTTATCAGGCCAGCATCATCATGATACCAAAACCTGGCAGAGACACAACAAAAAAAGAAAATTTCAGGCAAATATCCCTGAGGAACATTGATGTGAAAATCCTCAATAAAATACTGGCAAACCGAATCTGGCAGTCCATCAGAAAGCTTATCCACCATGATCTAGTCAGCTTCATCCCTGGGATGTAAGGCAGGTTCAACTTACGCAAGTCAATAAACGTAATCCATCACATAAACAGAACCAATGACAAAAACCACATGATTATCTCAATAGACGCAGAAAAGACCTTTGACAAAATTCAACACCCCTTTGTGCTAAAAACTCTCAATAAACTAAGTATCAATAGAATGTATTTCAAAATAATAAGAGTTATTTATGACAAACCCACAGCCAATATCATACTGAATGGGCAAAAACTGGAAGCACTCCCTTTGAAAACCAGCACAAGACAAGGATGCCTTCTCTCGCCACTCCTATTCAACATAGTATTGGAAATTCTGGCCAGGTCAGTCAGGCAAGAGAAAGAAATAAAGGTTATTCAAATAGCAAGAAGAGCAAGTTAAATTGTCTGTTTGCAGATGACATGATTGTATATTTAGAAAACCCTGTCGTCTCAGCCCAAAATCTCCTTAAGCTGATAAGCAACTTCAGCAAAGTCTCAGGATACAAAATCAATGTGCAAAAGTCACAAGCATTCCTATACACCAATAACAGACAGAGAGCCAAATCATGAGTGAACTCCCATTCACAATTGCTGCAAAGAGAATAAAATTCCTAGGAATACAACTTATAAGGGATGTGAAGGACCTTTCAGGGACAGCTACAAACCACTGCTCAAGGAAATAAGAGAGGGCACAAACACACGGAAAAACATTCCATGCTCATGGATAGGAAGAATCAATATCATGAAAATGGCCATACTGCCCAAAGTAATTTATAGATTCAATACTATCCCCATCAAGCTACCAATGACTTTCTTCACAGAATTGGAAAAAACTACTTTAAAATTCATACGGAACCAAAAAGAGCCCGCATAGCCAAGACAATCCTAAGCAAAAAGAACAAAGCTGGAGGCATCATGCTACCTGACTTCAAACTATACTACAAGGCTACAGTAACCAAAACAGCATGGTACTGGTATCACAACAGATATATAGACCAATGGAACAGAATAGAGGCCTCAGAAATAATACCACCCGTCTACAATCATCTGATCTTGGACAAACCTGACAAAAACAAGAAATGGGGAAAATATTCCCTATTTAATAAATGGTGATGGGAAAATTGGCTAGCCATATGCAGAAAACTGAAACTGGACCCCTTCCTTACACCTTATACAAAAATTAACTCAAGATGGATTAAGGACTTAAATGTAAGACCTAAAATCATAAAAACCCTAGAAGAAAACCTAGGCAATACCATTCAGGACATAGGCATGGGCAAAGACTTCATGACTAAAACACTGAAAGCAATGGCAACAAAAGCCAAAATTGACAAATGGGATCTAATTAAACTAAAGAGCTTCTGCACAGCAAAAGAAACTATCATCAGAGTGAACAGGCAACCTACTGAATGAGAGAAAATTTTGCAATCTATCCATCTGACAAAGGGCTAATATCTAGAATCTGCAAAGAACTTAGACAAATTTACAAGATAAAGACAACCCCGTCAAAAAGTGGGTGAAGGATATAAACAGCCATTTCTCAAAAGAAGACATTTATGCACCCAACAAACATGTGAAAAAAAGCTCATCATCACTGGTCATTAGAGAAATGCAAATCAAAACCACAATGAGATAACATCTTATGCCAGTTAGAATGGCAGTCATTAAAAAGTCAAGAAACAGATGCTGGAGAGGATGTGGAGAAATAGGAACACTTTTACACTGTTGGTGGGAGTGTAAATTAATTCAGCCATTGTGGAAGACAGTGTGGCAATTCCTCAAGGATCTAGAACTAGAAATACCATTTGACCCAGCAATCCCATTACTGGGTATATACCCAAAGATTATAAATCATTCTATTATAAAGACATATGCACACATACGTTTATTGCAGGACTGTTCACAATGGCAAAGACTTGGAACCAACCCAAATGCCCATCAATGATAGACTGGATAAAGAAAATGTGGCATATACACACCATGGAATATTATGCAGCCATAAAAAGGATGAGTTCATGTCCTTTGCAGGGACATGAAGCTGGAAACCATCATTCTCAGCAAACTAACACAAGAACAGAAAACCAAACACTGCATGTTGTCACTCATAAGTGGGAGTTGAACAATGAGAACACATGGACACAGGGAGGGGAACATCTCACACCAGGACCTGTCAGGGGGTGGGGGGCTAGGGGAGGGATAGCATTAGGAGAATTACCTAATGTCGATGACGGGTTGATGGGTGCAGCAAACCACCATGGCACGTGTATACCTATGTAACAAACCTGTACGTTCTGCACATGTACCCCAGAACTTAAAGTATAATAATAATAATTTAAAAATGATCTCATTGGGAATAGCAATAAAAGTGTAGGACAATAGCAACTCACCCACCTCACCCCTGCGTGGTCCAGCTCCATGATTCTCAATCCTGGCTACGTATCAGCATCCCCTGTGGTACTTTATAAATATTCTGATTCCCAGGCCCTGCCATAGATTGAATGGATCAAAGCCCCCAGGAAGTGAGGCCCTGGCATCTGTATTTCTTCAAAGCTGCACAGGTGATTCTAACAGGCCATCAACAGGTAGACCTGATGGCCAAGAATCACATCAGCAGGTTTAGTCATTATGATTGAAATGGAATGTAATAATTATATGTTTGAGCTTTAAAAGCTTAATTCTAAAACAATTAGAACATGAAGCTGAGAGACTGTGAAAGGTTTCTGACCAGAGGAACTCTTTCTGAGGCACACCTAATATGCAGCAGGCAAGCTTGAAATGTCTCCATTTACCCCTGCTTGCAAAAAGAACACATCAGACCCATGAAGTCATAATATGCCTCACTCATGAAAACTATGAATGCTCAGGTATGAATAGGACCATTTTTTTATTTGCAAATTAAGAACATAGGTGATGAATAATACAATTACCGATCAAAATTTATCTTAGTCTTCCCAGGTGGTCTTTGTCTTCATTATCTCTACTACTAACTCCCAAAATCCAATCTGTCCTCAGATCAAGCAGAAAGTCTAAGTCTCAAAATCAAAGCTCTTTTGAAGGACAATAGGTTCATATGGAAGCTAGAAGGGCAAAAGGAAAGGCATAAAATAAAATAGGAGTTCCTGTGACTCAGGATAACTGTACTCTGGACTCCATCCCCACCCCTACCCAGACATTCACTCTTAGTGCACAGCTGAGTAGGGACAAGGTGGCAAGGGTAAAAGAGCATCCTCAAAAGTGACAATTCAATAACAAAAAATGGGCCGGGCACAGTGGCTCATGCTTGGAATCCCGGCACTTTGGGAAGCCAAGGCAGGCAGATCACCTGAGGTCAGGAATTCGAGACCAGCCTGGCCAGAATGGCAAAACCCCATCTCTACTAAATATACAAAAATTAGCCGGGTGTGGAAGCGCAGGCCTGTAATCCCAGCTACTTGGCTGGCTGAGGCAGGAGAATCGCTTGAACCTGAGAGGTGGAAGTTGCAGTGAGCCAAGATCACGCCACTGCACTCCAGCCTGGGTGACAGAGCGAGACTCCGTCTCAAAAAATAAACAAACAAACAAAATGTACTACCTGATGAGAGAGAAGGAGGGTTAGAGGCATTTAGTCCTAAAGCTGAAGAAGGGTAAAAAAAAATCAAGGAATTTTTTCAGCTGTTTTAAGAAATACAAGACAGGAACTGTTCAGATTTCCCCTGAAATGAAAAAGGGCACCTGTTCTGCTACAGTGAGAGGAAAATAAAGGTGGAAATCAGCATTGGTTGAGGCTTGAATGCTTTTCTGGCTCTATATTATATTCATATCTTTTATATTCATCCTCTGCTCCTGATTCAACCATCATTCCAGCTACGCTCATGAGTAGTTACAAGGATCCCCATTTTGAGGATGAGGGAAATGATGTGTTTTTCTGTTTGTTTTGTTATTTTTTTAGAGATAGGGTCTTGCTCTGTTGCCCAGCTAGAGTACAGTGGCATGGGCATAGTTCACTGCAGCCTGGAACTCCTGGGCTCAGGCAATCCTCCCACCTCAGCCTCCTAAGTAGCTGGGACTACAGGCACGTGCCACCACATCTGGCGGAAATGATGTCTGAAGTGGTCAAGACCCTCCCAAGATCCAACAAGCAAGGAGAATATGCAGCTCAATTTCAACCCAGGCCCTTTTAACTCCAAGTGGGGAAGAGATATCTTCCCACTGGGGAGACAGAGCTTTGTTAGGATACAGTGAAAAGCAAGAGGGTCCTGGTGTGGTGGCTTATGCCTGTAATCTCAGCATTATGGGAGGCCAAAGTGGGTGGATCAGCTGAGGTCAGTTCAAGACCAGCCTGGCCAACATGGTGAAACCCCATCCCTACTGAAAATATAAAAAATTAGCCAGGCGTGGAGGCACACACCTGTAATCCCAGCTACTCTGGAGGCTGAGGCAGAAGAATCGCTTGAATCCAGGAGGCATAGGTTACAATGAGCCAAGGTCACACCACTGCACTCCAGACTGGGCAACAAGAGCGAAACTCCATCTCAAAAAAAAAAAGAAACACAAGATTAAGGTAAGGGGGGCTTTCTTTATCCATTTCTGTAGGAGCCATGGACATCTGGCCATTGGACTTGTATATTACTAGTATATTGGAACTTGCTCTAGCTAGGATATCAGAAACACTCCTTTTTAGCATTTCCAACTGGCACACTGGAGCTGTATGTGAAGAGGAGTATTAAATCACCCCTTTTACACTTCCATTTTGCAATTATTTACCCTTCTCCTGTGTCATTATTTCAAACCCTTGGACTGTCATTTTTGCTGTCCTCCAAGTTCCTCCCATTCCTCCTTTCATGGGGAGCCAAGAGTTGCTTCCTTCCTCTCTGCCATGTTCCCTTGGCCATATCTTGGGGCAGGACCCAGGGGGAACTGCTTAGCAAAATGGATAAGTGGTCTGGAGAATTACAGATCAAGAGAGCACGGGCAAAATGAGGGATGTTTAAACCGATGTTTATCTGCCAGACACTAAGCTATTATGTTGGTACAAAAGTAATTGCTTTTAATGGCATTACTTTTAATGGCAAAAGCTGCAATAACTTTTGCACCAAACTAATAAAAGTTTATATCCATTATGCCATTTGATTTTCATGATAAACTTGTGAAGTGATACTATCCTCCATTTCACAGATGAGAAATCTGAGGCATGGGAAAATCAAGTAACTTGCCCAAACTCATAGAGTACGTGTCAGAAGCAGGCTTTGAACCCAGCACTAATCCAGAAACCTGTGTTATTTCCACAGTACAATGGTTCTGCGAGAGCTAGGAAAGAGCACCAATACGGAATAGTTGGGGTGGGAGTAGTCAAGGGTGCAGGTAAAGGTTGTTCATCTGAAGGTTGGAAATGGCTCAAACTAAAGTTCAGGGATATCAGTAAGGGTGCTGATAATAACAAGGTGTTACCTTCAGATTGGATAATTTAAGGGAACTTTACTAAAAAAAACCATTTACCAAGGTATAGGCAGAATGTAGGAAAACCACAAAGAATAATGCAGAACTTCAGGAACAGTAACAGGGAATGCTCTTACCCACCCTAGCTGTATTAGTCTGTTCTCACACTGCTAATAAAGACATACCTGAGACTGGGTAATTTATAAAGAAAAGAGCTTTAATTGACTCACAATTCCACATGGCTGGGGAGGCCTCACAATCATGGCAGAAGGCAAAGGAGAAGCAAACACACACCTTACATGGCGACAGGCAACAGAGCTTACGCAGGGGAACTCCCATTTATAAAACCATCAGATCTTATGAGACTTATTCACTACCATGAGAACAGTATGGGGGAAACTGCCCCCATGATTCAATTATCTCCACCCAGACCCACCCTTGACACATGGGGATTATTACAACCCAAGATGAGATTTGGGTGGGAACACAGCCAAACCATATCTCTAGCCTATAAGGAGCAAGGGGAGGAAGTTACTGGAAACTGGAGAGGGAGTGCCATGCAGAGAGGGCCAGCTACCTGGAGCCTAGATCCTGTGGAGACACAGGGAGGCAGGCAGGGGAGCAAGGATCCCTACATCACTCCTCCCCTTCTCTTAGATCTGCTTCTGGTGCCAACCAGCTGAACCCATCTGGAAACCAGAAGGAAGGGAGCCCATGAGTGCTCCATACAGTCAGCCTCCCTGGCACAGAGCTGGGTGCAAAAGGGTAGAGAGTGGATCCAGAGGAGCAAACAGAAGAAATTCACCCTCCCACCTTCATGGAGAGGCAAAAAGCTGTAGAGATCCAGAGTCAGACCAATGCGAGCGGTAATGGGAGGTGGATTTCAGAACCCAGTCTGTTGCGGAGAGCCTCCTGGGATGAGATCTTCATGCCAAGATTCTCCTTTCAAGGGCTCAAGGCTCACACTCTGTGGTTATGACTTCACTCAGTTCACAGACCAAGCACATGATAGCTGCTCCTTGCTCCTCCTACCATCCTTGCTGCCTTCCTACCTTCCAAAATCATATTGGCTATAAGCAGTGGTTTTGATCTAGATTCAAATCCTGGCTCCACCTCTCACCAGTTGTCTGATATGGGAACAAGTTATTGAACCTCTCCCTTCCTCAGTTTCCTCATCAGTAAAATGGGTATAAGGACAGTGCCTCTTTTAATAGATTGCTATAAAGAATGAATAACATAGTACCTGCCACACACCAAGAGCTCAAAAATTAGTAGCAATTATAATTATTGTGATTCTCCCCACAAATATCTGTTGAGCTTCAGACTATGAGCTAGAAAGAGAGTTGTCTGTAATGTTCATGAGCTTCTGATAAATGCCTGTAGAGGAATGTACCAGTGACCCTTGCCAAATATAAAGAGAAGTGCTAATGGGCAAGTATAAGGAGCCTCTGACGAAGGACCCCAAGGCTCCAGCCATAAATCAGAAAGAAGCCAGAGGCTGAGAATAGTAAGTTAAAGTCAGCAATTACTAGGTTTATGTCAAAAATGTATGTGAACTTGGAGCAGCCAAACAGCAAAGAATGCATCCCCAGCCTCGCTCAACAGCTGTGAGTGAGGAATGTTGATCGACCACAAGCAGCAGCCATAGAATTCAGCCAACACTTCACCTGAAAATTTCTCGGTTGTGTTTTGCACCCTGGGGCCAAGAAACCCTTCCCAGAGCAGTGAGAGAAAGTGTTCCCGAGCATTTCACGGAGGCATCTTTGCAAACGGTATTAGTAGAGTCCATTGGCATAAAAGTTGCTGCATTTGGGTGAATCACTGCAGGAGCAAAGAGGAACAGAATCAGCTAAAACAATAAAAATAAGTTGGTAAGACTTTTAGGAGGCCAAACTGAAAGAAAAAATGTCACAAAGACTAAGGTGTCTCTGCAATTGGTTTATCCGTGGTCCTGCTATAAGGTAATAGGTTGTCAATATCCCCACCAGGCAAGCAAGGTAGGTGGGGGACACTTCTCTGGAGGACCGTGTCCTGGAGCTTCACTGGGAACAGAGTTGCTGCACTCAGAATTAGCCTTCTAGTCAGCAGAACCAAAAGTGGAGTGGGGCCAGGAGGGAGCTGGGTCCAAACCACATCACCTATATGAGTGGTCCAGGGATGACACCTAACAAGGTGGAGTGTAGGGGTACAGATGCAGAGCAGGTTCCAGACCACAGGCATGTGTGTCAAGGACTGGAGCAAACACCCAAGGTACAGGAGGCCAAAGAAAGGGCCTCCTAGTTCCTGCAACCATGGGCATGGAAATGCTAGGAGACCGTGAATGCAATGAGCAAACAGTGACCAAGCTGATATGTTCCAGCATGGACCACTCCAGGAGTTCATGCATTCATTCAGCAAATATGTATCAATCCCCTACACTGTACCAGCTATTTTAGGCAACTGGTATATAGCCATGAACAAAACCAACTGGATTCTCGCCCTCATGGAACTTATATTCTAGCAATGGGAGATGCATATAATCAAATAAACTAGTAAGTGTATGACTCCAGGTAAAGACAAGTACTATACAAATACATAAAGTAGGTTATGAGGAAAGAGATTGATGAGGAGGGAGAGTAAAGGTAGAAGATGCCAGACTTCCTCCTTCTCCTCCCTGACTTAGCTTCTCCTCCAGGGAAGGGGACCATAATATTGCAATATATAGGCTGCACACCAAGACACTGATTGGGTCTAACCCTCTAATGGAGGAGTTACCTTACTTTAATATGGGTATTTTTTCCTCTCTTTTCTCTCTTCTATCCAAGCAGCAGGAATAGCAAGTGACTCAAGGCACAGTCTCCCAGAGCAACACTCAACTAGCCTTGCCTCCTCTCTCTTCCATTTGTGTGTCTTGGGCAACAAGGTGCTCTGCTAGGCAGGGCTTAATTGGTCAGAACTTGTCATGTCTGCCAGTCTACTGGTCTCTTCTGCCTCTTTCCTGCATGCAACCCTCATGCAAAGAGATGTAAGGCTTAGTTTTGGGCATAAAACAAGATGGGTGGAGACTAAAAAACGATTGCCAATAAGGACAGCAGTGATGACCTACTTCAATGTAATTTAACTAGTTTAGGGAAAGGGATATTCTACACGGTTCAACCCAGTTCACCAACCATTCCTTGCTTTAGGTTTGGGGACCCAAGCCTAGTCAATAATAACATGGCTGTCTTAGTCCATTTTGCATTGCTACAAAGGAATATCTGAGACTGGTTAATTTGTTAAGAAAAAAGGTTTATTCGGTTCATGATTCTGCTGGCTGAAAGACTGGGCATCTTGTGAAAGCCTCAGGCTGCTTCTACTCATGATGGAAGGTGAAGAGGAGCAGGTATGTGCAGAGATCACATGACAAGAGAGGAAGCAAGAGAGAGAAAGAGGAAGTGTCAGGCTCTTTTAAACAGCCAGCTCTCACAGGAACTAATAGAGCAAGAATTCACTCACTACCACCCACCACCCAAAGAGGAAATTAATCTATTCATGAGGGGTGTGCCCCCCATGGCTCAAACACCTCCTACTAGGCCCTACCTCCAACACTGGGGATAGAATTTCAACATGAGATTTGGAGGAACAAACATCCAAACTGTAGCAATGGCAATTCTGTGCCACTCACCTTGTACATCTGTCAGCTACTGTTGCCTAACAACCAACCAAAAATCTCAGTAGAGTATAAGAATAAGCATTTATTCTGCTCATGTTCCTGTGGGCTGGGGATTCTGCCGATCTTGGCTGGGCCTAGGTGGGCATGAATGAGCAGCTCTAGGCTGAAGGTCTGGAGCAGTCTGCTCCATTGTCTTCAAGGTCTGTCATCTTCCTCAGACCAGCTGCCTAGCCAAGGCATGTCCTTTTCATGATGAAGGCAGAAGGACAAGAGGGCAAGCAAAAACACCGAAGACACCTTACAGCCTTAGGCTTAAACTGGCACATGGTTGCTTCTGCCCACACTCCTTTGTGCAAAAACAATTCACACAGCTAAGTTCCAACTCAAAGGGCAGGGACCTGCATCTACCTTTAATGGAACAATTGCAAAGGTGCCTGGCAAAATAAATGGAAACATGAAGGGGTGAAGAAATAAGAACAGCCATTCCTCATGCAGACACCTCTCTTGGAAACATCCTAAGGAGTAGAGGCATGGTCCAGGGATAAAGAAACCTTTCCCTGGGCACCCACCTCAGATTTGAGGTCACCTTTGACTAAGGTTTGCCAATAAGGAAGCAGTGACTCTTTATTAATAATTTTTAAAAGCCAACATTCGCTGTGTACTTACTGTCTGCTAGACCTCATTCTAGATGTTTTACATGAATAAATCCATCTTAATCCTCATATAAACCATTTGATATGGATTCAATGACTGTCTTTATTTTGGAGATGAATAAACTGAGGCACAAGAAGATGAAATAAATTGCTTAAATTCACAAAGCTAGTAGGCACTGGAGCCAGGATGGGAACCCAGGCAATCAGGCTCCAGCACATACTCCCCTAACTACACAAAATAAGGCCTTTGCCATAGAGGATGTGGCCTGATCACACACGTTCCTAGTCTGTTCTGTGCCCCTTCCACAAGCTCAGTGGATGCTCATGAATGGAAGAAGCTTTAGTCATTGGGAGGGAAAGGGGTAGGCCTAGGGATGGCACCCAGCTTGACATACGAAAGGTGCTGGTTAATAGGGGCAGGAGCTCAGACCAGGGTAGCTAAGCTAGGGCCAGGGAAGCAGGGGGAAGACATAGAAAAAGCCTTATCAGAGACTCTGGAAGGAAATGATGCTGCTAAGAGAAAGGCTGGATGGACTCCAGTAGCTAGAAAGAGGCCTTGGAACTAAAAGATGACTTGATATTGAGACTTTACACAGCTCATCTTAGCATCATTTGTCTCTCCAAATGGGCAGGACCTGGAGTTCTTTGTCCAAGCCACACTAAGAGTGAGGGCACGGGGGCAGAAGAAGACATGGGGGAAAGCAGGTGCCCTGAGGCCTCATCTCAGGCAGCCCAAGGATTTGAGTGGTAAATTTAAAGAGAGAGAGACAGGGAGTCCCCTGAGGCACATTGCTGGCTCATATTCAACTTGTCACTCACTTCAGTTACTCTCCTTATTTTCTGTTATGATAAACAGTGATAACAGCTTATTCGGTGAGCATTTTGTGAGACAAGCCATTTTCAGACACAGGGATTGCATTTGACACACATGACAACTCACATGGAAAGCAACTCATTTCAAGTGTGTTACTGGGGCTCAGAGAGGTTTAAATGGCTTGTCTAGGACTATGCAATTAATTAGAATTAGAATCAGCTTCTTCATCTTCTTACTTTTGCACCATCCCCACATCTTTCCTTATAAGGAAGGAAAGCGGAATTAATCAGGCTTTGGTCTCTTAAGAGAAGGTAGTAGTTTAAGTCTGTATCAATCATTCACACTTTAGTATGATGTATTTCCAGTCCAGTCTAGAGTAGAATGCCTGGATGCAGTAGAAAGGTGCAACAACGGCTCCACCAAGGGGTGGAAAGGAAGCAATGCAGTGAACATCAAAACTCCGCAATTCCACCCAGTCTCAATTTCTCCCTCCTTTGGGACTCAGTTGTTGGAACGAAACTCACAGAAGTCCAGGACAAGGAAAAAGGTGTAGGATGAAGACATTTAACAAGTAATATTAATTATTGAGACCTGTCCAGGTGCAGGGTGTTGTGCTGAGAACCTAGGAGAAGGCAATGAAGCTCACCTTCTAGGATAAAGAGAGAGGCAATAAATAAGTACTCAAAGAATGTGACACAGTGATAGATGCTATAAAGACAATGACATGTCATAATATGATAGAGAGTTTTGAGAGTTACAGGGTGGGGTTACAGGTTTGGGAGTCAGGTAAGACCTCCTAACAACATGCCATTGGTGTGAGACTTGAATAAAAAGGTGTTAAGCTTGTCCATATCTAGTTGATTGGAAGAACAATGTCAACACTCAGTGTAAAAAATTATAATGGCAACAGCAATAATGACAGTAGAGTAATAGCAGTAATTACTAACACTTATGTAGCTCCTATTTATGTGATGGTAGGATTCTAAGTAATTTACATATAGCATATCATTTTATTTTCACTACAATCCTGTGAGGTAGGTATTATATTATCACAATCCCCATTTTACAGATGAAGGAACTGAGGAACAGAGATTAAGAGATTTGTCTGAGAACAGATAAGAACCAGAAGGAAAGAAAATTGCTGGGTAGTCAGCGATTAGGTCCCAGGGTCCCAACACTAGCTCCCAAGAGGCAAGAAGGCCAAAGAGCGAACGGCTGAAATTGGGGGTAACTGGCAGCATTTTCCAGACTCTGTGCAGGACCTTAACTTCCATCCTAGACTCAATGCCAGGAATCTAAATGGGCTGTAGCAAAAGAATGATGATGTCACTGAATGAGAGGGTTTAGCACCCAGCTCTTCAGAGATTTCCCAGTCAGGAACCAGCAGAGGGGAGAGTGTGAGGCCAGTGCCACACCACTCGCTACTGGTCTCACCTTGGCTATAAATAACATAGTTAAGGTGAAAAAAAACACATGGCAGAGGGGCTTTATTGCTAAACTCACTTTCTTGTCTGCTCACCCCATAAGAGGGATGCAATGGTCTGAACCCAAACTCAGACACTGCGAAACACAGTGTGTCAGGAAATCAAATGGTTCATGTCAAAAGATCCAGGCTGAAGGTCTCACCTAATCACAAACAAAAAGGGTTGTTTGCTCTCTTAAAGACTACATATTTCTCTTCCTGATCTCAGCTAAGGATACCATCAGCCAAGCCAGAGCCCACCACCCCTGATCCCCGATCCTTTAGTCTCTCTTCATTGTGGTTCTGGTCATTAATAGAGCACTTGCCACCTTATGGCATTACAGGAGTTAAATACATACTGGAGGGAAAGGAAGGTAAGCAGGGAGGAGAGGAACAGAGAGGTCCAGGCTGAAGGGGAGGAAGAAGGGAGAAAGAAAGACATTGCAAAGCCTGCTCCTAAAAATCTCATAGCTGATGGGGCAAATGGGCACACAGACATGTTGGGGTGATGGCATCCCAACATGGCACATGGTATAGAAAAGATCTGACCAAAATTTGTTGGCAGCCCAGAGCCAGCAATAACCTCCACTGGAAAGGACAGAGAAGTCCGTTGAGCTGGGTCATCAAGGGCCAGTAGGAGTTTTCCAGAGAGAGAAAGGAGAGAAAGGACAGAACAACACAAAGAAAACAACATATGCAAATCCACAGACATGTAGAAGGGCCCATCACATGCAGGGAGATAAGGCTGGGATGGCCATCAAGGCTACAGATTTCAATGGCACCATGCTTTATTCTTCCTCTGAAGTTGAAATCTTAACACTGCTGATGGCAGCCCACATCCATCTGCTCCCCTCATCCAGATACCAGGTCCCACCATTTCTGCCCTATACCATTTTTTAGCTTTGTCTATAACTCTGATCCCTAATACCACCACTGTCACTGAGGGTCATCCATCCATGGCCTCTTTGCCAAGCCTTTATTATTACAACAGCCTAGTCTCCCTGCCTCCTGGTTCTCCTTACTCCAACCTATTCATTCTCAATGACCCCCTGTTTCTAAGCCATTTTCAGAGTCTATCTAGCTAATAGTGACCCAAGGAGAATGACACTTGCTCTAGTAAGAACCCAGAGGGCATACCAAAACAGAAGTTAGAAATAAAGTTGACTTGCAAAGACCAGAGAAGTGCAAAGCAGGACATAGCTAGACTAGTGATAAAGGCAGGGCTCATGCATTCATTCAACAATATTTAGACTACTGACTCTGAGCCAGTCTCCTTGCTGTGGGCACGGCACAAGAAGGCACACAACAGAAACCCAGTTTCTGTCATTCCTACCCACATGCAACTTGAGGAGAAAGCTATCAATCAAATAATTGTGAAAATAAATCTAAAATTACACATTGTGATAAGCACTATGAAGAAAACTTAAAGGGAATTCTGTGTGCTTACAACGGTGATGAAGGCAGTTATGGAAGACTTCCAAGGATGGGACATTTAAGCTGAGATTTGACGGGTGAGTTAACTACATAAGGAGTGAGGAGAAGCCATTTCATTTATTAGTTAAGAGAGCTAGCCTAGGAGTGATATGACCTGGGTTTGAATTATGTCTCCACCAATGGTTAATTTTGGGCTAATTATTTCACACTCACGTGCCTTGGTTGCATTGTCTGCAAAATGGAGACACTAACTGTACTTACCTTAAGAGATTTCTTATAAAGATTTCATAAGACAAAGTATTTCATCAGCTAGTATAGTACAATGTAAGGGCTCAGTAAGTGGTGGGAGTGCCAGCAATAGTTACTGTGGTAGTAGTGATGATGATTACAACAATGCTACTGGTGATGATGATAGAAGTAGTGGTGATTATGGTGATGATCATGATATTGATGGTGGTCATTATGAGAACTATAGTGTTAATTGTAATGATATTGATAATGATTGCAATGATGGTGATGATAATAATGATGGACTTTTGCACTCACAGCATATGCAAATGCCATTGGGTTGAAGGAAGCATGGCAGGTATGCAGAATAAGAAGTGCCAAGAAGAGAAGCTAGTCATGCCTCTTAAGGCAAACAGAGCCCAGCTCTGCAAATTCCAATTTATAGAGTCTAGACCCTGAGCTTTCTCAAAATGTAATCAGGGAACTCTAAAAAGGATTTAACAGTGTACTAATGCAGTGACCACTCAGATTCAGTTAATATTTCTTGAGCTCCCTGTCTTAAAAAGCTTTGCCTTTATGCCAACAGTATCACTACAGAAACCAGTGTTAACTAAGTGCCTACTATATGCTAGATAATTATTTATGCATCATTTCACTTGATTCTCATGACACTGGGTGGCAGGCACCATGCTAAGTGCTGATAATATGTTGGTAAACAGGATACAAATATTATGCCAATTTTATAGAAAGGAAAATAAATAAGGCATAGAAAGTTTAATTACCCAAGTCACAAAGCTAATAAATAATAAAGATAGGAGTTCAACCCAGCTTCAAATATCTCCTAGTTTAAGCTCTATTGTGCTTAAATGCTTTTTAGTGCTGAGACAGAGGGTTGTAGACTTGAAGATGCAGAACTGCAGGATCCATGTCCTGACTGACAAATGAGCTCTCTCTCCTGCTTCGTCCGCTGGGTGGAAGCAGCTTCCAGATGCCAGCAGAATTCACAGAAGTCCTCAAGTTGGACAATCTTCAATTGGTAGTCACTGTTTATAAGAGATGACAAGACAGGGAAAGGCTGCAAATGTTCTTGGAGCCCTACAAGGTGGTAGGTGCTTTATATACTTGACTTTGTGGCAGCCAATCCCATTCCTTACTCAAGTATTACGGCCTCCCATTTATAGGATAAAGGATCCAAGACTCAGAGGAATTGTCAGACTTATTCAGGGTCACACAAGGGGGTTTTCATTTAAATCCAGGATGTCTAGCTCCAAAGCCCAGCCTCTTTAGCCCACACTATCTTCCAATGATGTTGTTTCAACACACACCCACACGCATACACAGACACACGATGTCAACACAGTGATAGACATTTAAAAATATTTTCCCCCAATTAAATGCACAAAAATGTGCATAAATTCATTACGCTTCAAAGATGCCCCACCTCTGAGGCCAAGACAGAGAGAGTGAAGCAGGGCACTGCCTGGTTTCCTTGTGTATTTGAGCCGCAACATGGTTTTTCTACACTGCCAACACCTGTCTCTCTTCTGCGCACCTTGGAGGATAATATCTAAAATCAGCTGAGGTTTCAAGGTTGATGCTTTAGACACTAGAAAACAGGTTTTCATTGGTTATTTATTTCTTGTAGTGGTCTTGGCTCTTCCAGGAACTAAAGTTTCTCCAGATTTATAGGCCAGGGACTGAGCAGCATTGCTGGAAACACACTTAGGCCTGTGAGAGATGTATTTGTGCATGTGCTTTTCTGGAGATAATGGTTATAAGTGATTTCCTGAGTTCCAAGCAGACTGTCCCTTACTAGCTATGATCTGAACAGTTAATTTAACTTTTCTATGCTTCATTTTCACCATCTGGAAAATGAAAATAATAGTGTTACCCAACTACTTTATCTTAGTGAGCTATTGCTGTGATGGTGCCAGATAACAAACAACTCCAAAACCTCAGTGGTTTACCACGACAAGCATTTACCTCTCACTCACAGGCCTGTATGTGCTGAGGCAGCTCTGCTTCAGGCTGCAGGTTAAATTCACGTCATTTCCATGTGTCCCTCATTTTAGGATTAAGGAAAGCAGTTATTGGGACAGCCAGTTCCATGGCTAGTCCCAGAAGAGCAAGAGGGCTGGCCAAATCATCTGAGCACATTTCCAGCTTTGGGTTGGATCTAGGGCACATGGCATCCAATCACATCCCAACAGCTGAAATCGATCGCATGGCCAAATTCAAAGTCAAAGGGGTGAGGAAGTATATTCCACCACACAGAAGCCATGAAAAGAGTGGGGAGGGGTTCCAGTTATTATCAATGTGTGAAATTTTACCCCAAAACTTAGAGGCCCAAACCAACCATAGTTTCACTCTTGATTGCATTGATTGGCTTGCCAGCCTGCCTCCCATGAGCCTGGACAAGCACAGTGAGCCCTCTCCAGGCCCCTGCAGTCCTCCACCCCACAACCAGATGAGTGCATCAGGCTCCCTCACCCAAGGAAACCTCCCAAAGCATAACCTGTCAGGGGGTGTGATAAGCATCCTGTCTACTCACAGGCATGGCTGATCTCCTGCCCTTACTCAAATCCCTTTAATGACTCCCCTTTGCCCTAAAGCCCACATGCTGCCTGAGCTGTACTTGAGCTCCCACCTACCCATTCCAGACTGAATCAGGGTCTCCTGTTCTGCACTCCCAAAGCACCCTGAACTCTCCTTCCTAGCTCTTGTCACATTTGCAAGTATTCAGTCACTTGTATACTCATCTATATTCTATGCTCCATCATAGTGTTCCTGTTAAAACCTAAGCGAGATCATGAAGTCAAATTAGGTCCTCCTTTGGCTCAGACTCTCTGCTGGCTTCCCCGGTCACTCCAGTAAAGCTGGCCTTCACAGTGGTCCACAAGGCCCTGAACAAGAACACCGCTATCCGTGACTTTCCCCTTACCTTTCAGTTATATTCCAACATTACCTCTGAGGTAGACCTTTTCTGGCTACCCCATTTAAAAAGCCCCTACCCTCTCTACCTCTGGAATTCCTTAGCCCCTTTCCCTGACATATTTTCTTCTTGGTATCTATTCCCAACCAAGCTACTTTAAATATTATTTCTCTTGTTTATTTTCTGTCTTCTCCCACCCAACATCCGGCCTTGGGCAGAGATTCCTGTATCTTTATACACAGCAATATCCCCAGGGCCTAGATTAGGTCCTATCGTAAGTAACTGCTTAATAAATATTCATTGAAAGGATAAATAAATGTCTCCACCTACTACACTGTCAGCTTCATGAAGGGGCCATGGAAAGGATTTAAGCTGGGAAAGAACATATATTTATGCTTCAGAACATGCATAATTCTGTGTCCTCCTGGAAGGTGGGCTGCAGGCAGGAAGTCCAGTGAGGAGGCTGCGGTAAATCCCATACAAAGAAGGCTGAGACCAGAATCACAGCAGAGGCAGTGGGCATGGAGAGGAAAGGACAACTGGAGAGCTGCTCAGGAGGTTGAATCCACAGGGATCCATGAACAATCAGGAAAGAGAGGCATGAATGCTGTCCCCCACCACCCAGATGCCTGGTTTGGCTGATTTGGTAGACAGTGGTAAAATCATTGGTTCAGTCACAGGAAGAGACCAGTCAGGGGCTAGGCCTGGGTAAAAGGATGGGTTTGAAGGAAGCTTGAAAGCAGGGATCCAACGTCACTCTTTGCAACTGAAGCTTGTCTTAAAGTAATGCCATGCTCAGAATGTCTGTGCCTCCTCACTAGGGTCCATATCCCCATTTTTGCCAAACCCAACAGATTTCCTATGAGCAAACAATAAATTATCAGAAAACAAGAGGGATTGTCTCTATCAATCTATACATTTGTTAAAGTAAGAAACCTCAATGATATTGACATGGATTTTGATTTAAATGATTTTGGATTTGATTGAGGGGAGATACATAAGAATAGACCAAATTTTTTCTTTTAAAAAAATAAGCGGGGGTGGGGGCAAGACAAAGAGGCAGGGAAGAGGAGAAATTGGATATACTAGAATGTCAACGTGTTGTAATTAAAACAGTCCATTGCTGATGTAGTGAAAGATTAGAGTTCAGAAACAAACCTAAGTACACATGAAAATAGGAAAACAATGGGCTTCTCAATAAATAGTGTCATGACAACTAGCCAGAAAGTGAGGGAGATTAATGCTGAGTCCCTGCCTCCACAGCACAGCAAAACCAACTCCAAATAGATCAGAAAGCTTAATGTTAAAAATAAATAAATAAATAAAAGCACTAGAAGAAAACAAGACTAAATGCTTTTTTTTTTAACTCTTAGGAAAGAAGATGTCTTCTAAACATAATACCAGAGACAATGCATGGAAAAGTAGAGAAACATAGCTACATAAAAATTTAAAACCTCTTCATGACAATGAACACCATGTATAAAGCCAAAAAAAAAATTAAAACCTGGCAAAAAGTATTGGTAATATATATTATAAAGGGTTAATAGTCTCACTACAAAAACAATTTTTGTAAATTAGACTTTTAGCAACATTGGTAGACTGATCCGTGACAGAGGTCCCTGTCTACCACCGAAAACCCACAAGAGTGTGGGAATTAAAATAATTAATATTTAAAATATATAGGTTCACTCGAAAGACAGGAAAATCTCTAGAGTGAAAATAAATGAAAAGAAAACTCAAAGCCAGAATGGAAAGTGTTTGAACCATGACATCTCCCCCCCAGGAGGTGGGTGCATGGCCCCAATGGTTAGGGACTGGGATTTTAATGCCAACTTTGGGATAGGACATGTGGCCTTAGGTCCCAGTTAGCAAAGTAATGGAACTGAGACCGCTGTAAAATCAGGACCCTAAAAAAATCCCCTCCATGGAAAGGGCTAGAACAACTCTGCCCACTGTTCTGGAAACTGCAAAGAAGCTTGCACCTGCACAGGGACGTGGCTGAAAGCAGAAAGTTTCCCTAAGAAGTCGAAGCCCAAAGCCTATACCATGCAGTGTAGAGTGTAGAGTCGAGGCTTATATATTTGTGTGATGAGAGATTTCAACACTAATAAATTATTATAGGAGGTCATCCCAGGTTGGTGAAGTCCCGAGGGCCCCAGTAAACACAAAAACTTTTTTGAAAGAAGCTTCCACAACCCAGGCACATGGCACTCTGTGGGAGTGGGAAGAGACAGGGGATTCCTGGAGGTAAACTCCGTATCTAAAATTAAATCTATAAGAATAAAATCAACAGGCAATTCAAACACACAATGCACATGGCATTGTGTGTTTGATCTTCACCCTTCATGAAAAGATCTTCACCCTCCACAGTAATGAAAGAAATGCAAATAAAAATGGCCTTTATTCACTTCTCAGACTGATAAAGATTTGAGACATTTACCATGAGCAAAGACACAGGACACATGAGCATTACTTTTTCCCAAAGGTAAACACATAATAACTTTATAGCAGAAAACAGCAAGCTAGAGGTATGGCATGTGGGCACTAGTTTTCTGGCGCAAAGTTACCCCTGCTGGGCTGCCGATTTTTCTGGTTCTTTGTTGGGTCATATTGCTACTCCTCTTCCAGTGGAGAGCACAGGGGTAAGACATTTCCAGTCAATGAGGTTCCCTTTTATGACTGATGGCATCTAACAGACTGCATTTTCTGTTTGTTTGTTGGTTGGTTTGTTGGTTGGTTTTAATAATTTATTGAGGTAAAATTCACATAACATAAAATTAGCCATTTTAAAGTGAACAATTTAGTGGCATTTAGTACATTTACAATGTTGTGCAACCACCACCTCTATCTAGTTCCAAAACATTTCTGTCACTCCAAAATCAAATCCCATACCCACTGAGCAGTCACTCTCCATTTCCACATTCCCCTTCTGTCCCTAGAAATCACCAATTGCTTTGTGTCTCTATGGACTTGTCTATTCTGGGTATTTCGTAAAAATGGAATCATACAATACATGATCTTTGTGTCTGGTTTCTTTGACCTTAGAGTAATGTTTTGGAGGTTCATCCACACTGTAATATGTATCATTTTTTTATTCCTATTATGGCTGAGTAATATTCCATTGTATGGATATGCTACAATTTGTTTATTTGTTCATCTCTTGATGGACATTAAGGCTCTTTCCACCTCTTGGTATTGCAAATAGTCCTGCTATTAACATTTGTGTACAAGTACTTGTATGATACCTGTTTTCAATTCTTTTGAGTACACATCTGGGACTGAAATTGTGGGGTCATATAATAAACCTATGTTTAACTTTTCAAGGAGCCACCAAACTGTTTTCTACAGTGACTGAGTCATTTTATATTCCCACTATCAAAGTACAAAGGTTCTAATTTGTCCACATCCTCAACAACATTTATTATTTTCCATCTTTTGTTTTAAAATTATAGCCATCCCAGTGGGTGTAAAGTGTTACCTCATTATAATTCTAGATGCTATTGTAAATGTCATTGTTTTCCTAATTTCTTTTACAGATTTATATGAACATTTTTAAACGCTGCAGGTGGAAGACAATTTGATACAACCTTTCTGAGGTCTAGCTTTGTAATATCTCTAAAAATACATGCATGACCTAAACTTTCCAAATCAAGGAATTTATTCTAAAAAGATAACCAGACAAAGTGAAACAATCTAGGCACAGAAAGATAAATACTACATGTTCTCACTCCTATCTGGGAACTAAAAAAGTTGATCTCACGGAGGGAGAGAGTAGAATGATGATTACAAGAGGCTGGGAAGAAACTGGGGGGATGAGGAGAGGTTGGTTAATGGGTATAAACATACAGTTAGATAGAAGGAACACATTCTAGTGTTTGATAGGACAGTCAGAATAAATTATTCTTAACTATAGTCACCTAATTTATTTATTTATTTATTTTTTTACCCAATTTATTGTATATTTCAAAATAGCTAGACTTGAAATGTTTCCAATATGAAGAAATAAGTGTTTGAGATGGTATCCTAAAAACCCCAATTTGATAATTACACATTATATGTATGTATCAAAATATCACATGCACCCCATATATATGTACAATTATTATGTAGCAATAAAAATATGTATTACAGATCATAATGTTTAACCTTAAAGTTTTTTTAAAGCATCCTTGAATGAACACAGAGGACATTATGCTAAGTAAAATAAGCCAGACAGAGAAAGACAAATACTATGTGATCTTATGTATATATGGAATTTGAAAAAGTCAAACGCATAGAAGCAGAGAGTAGAATAGTGTTTGCCAGGGGCTAGGGTGTGGGGAAAATAGGGAGATATTGGCCAAAGGGTACAAACCGTCAGTTACAAGGTGAATAAGGACCAGGTGTGATGGCTCATACCTGTAATCCCAGCACTTTGAGATGCTAAGGTGGGAGAATCACTTGAAGTCAGAAGTTCAAGGCCAGCCTGAGCAGCATAGCAAGACCCCATCTCCACAAAAAGTAAATTAGCCAGGGACAGTGGCACACCTATAGTCCCAGCTACTCAGGAGGCTGAGGTGGGAAGATCACTTGAGCCCAGGAGGTCGAGGCTGCAGTGAGCTATGATCCCGCCACTACACTCCAGCCTGGGTGGGTGAGAGAGCAAGACCCTGTGTGAAAAAAAGAAAAAAAAAAGATAAATAAGTCCTAGGGAATGAAATGTACAGCATGGTGACTATACTTAATAATGCTACACTAGGCTGGGCACGGTGGCTCACGCCTGTAATCCCAGCACTTTGGGAGGCCGAGGCAGGCGGATCACTTGAGGTCAGGAGTTTGGGACCAGCCTGACCAACATGGCGAAACCCCGTCTCTACTAAAAATATAAAAATTAGCTGGGTGTGGTGGCACATGCCTGTAATCCCAGCTACATGAGAGGCTGAGGTAGGAGAATCTCTTTAATTTGGGAGGTGGAGGTTGCAGTGAGCCAGGATCGTGCCACTGCACTCCAGACTGGGTGACAGAGCAAGACTCAGTCTCAAAACATAAAAATAAAAGCAAAAAATAATAGAGTGGATCTGAAGTATTCTTACCACACACACACAAAAAAATGGTAACTATGTGAGGTGATGGTAACTGATTGATTGTGGTAATCATTTTGCAATGTATACATGTATCAAATCATCATGTGGCATGCCTTAAATATACACAATTTCTATGTAAGTTGATAAAAACAGCACGGGCATCTCACTGAGGCAAAATTATATATTTATGTCAATACATATGCCTTCAAAAATCTAATAAGATGTTTTAGCCAAATGTTAATATTGTTTATTTTGAGTAGTCAGATTTGAGAGATTGTTTTAAGAAATACTTTAGAAACATTAAAGGAAACTCATGTTGTGCTTTTGGGTGGGAGGACTCAATATGGTGAAGATTTATTTCTTTTTAAATCTATAAATTTCATGCACTTCAAATCAGAGTCACTAAAGAGTTTTTTTAAAAGGTATTTGACAAAATAACTGTAATGCTTATCGAGAAGAATAAACACATAATAGTAACCAAGAAGGTGTTTTACAGAAAAAAAAAAAAAGAAAGAGAGAGAGAGGAGGTTTTCCCTACTGTATTTTAAATTATTGTTCTGCAACAATGTGCTACTGGCCATAGAATACGTTCATTTTGCTAGTAATATGGAGTGAGCTCTCAATAAGTATCTGTAGTGTAGAATGAATGAACAAATATTCCTAGTTATCAGAGAAAGGCAACTTTGAACTATGACTGTTAAATTGACAATAATAATAATAGTGTAGAGATGGGTGTGTTAAAAAAAAAAGACAGCTTCGCTGATGAAAATACATATAAGTTGGTGCAACCTTTTTGGTCAGGCAAATTAGTTACATGTTTCACACGAATGTCAATGACAACACTGTTTTCAACAATACATTTAGAAGCAACCTTAGTCTAGCAATAGGAAATCAATTAAATTAATTATGGTACATCCATACCATGGAATATGTGATGTCACTAAAAATGATAATGTAGCTAGCTAATACAGTTCTTGACATGGAAAATGCTCACAATATGCTCGAAAGTGAATTTTTAAAAGAACAGAATTGTCATCTGCTACTTAGCAAGTATTTATAAAGGGCTCTCCGACAGCCTGACACTGATGGCAGTTGGAAACTGGTCAGGACCCCCAGAGTCCCTTGAGGCTCACTGTCCGGCAGGGGAGAGATATTTTTTAAAAGGCCTGAATATTCTGATAGAAAAAAATGCAGGCTGCTGAGGGATGCCTGACAGAGGACTCAATTTCAGATGAAGAATTCCTGAGTAAAGATGAATAAGGGTTGTCCAGGCACAGTGGGGGAGAATGAGGGGTGCAAACCGAGGGATCAAATGGTTGGACAGTGTTCTCTGAGGCTGCGGAAGAAGTGAGTATGTACAGGAGGGTCAGAAAAACAGACCTTCACAGAAGAAGTTAAGGATTTTGGTCTTTATCGAAAATACAATAGGGAAAGGTGATGTATAAATTTAAGAAAGTATGTGATCAGTCTGGAATTTTCATAACACCTCTCTGGCTTTGCTGGAGAGAAAAGAATGGCTGCTCAGAAATCAATATGATTCCATATAAAATATGTATACTATATATATGTATAGCATATATACTTAGGCATATAAATACATCTGCATGTATTATACATGCATACTTATGTATATTATATAAACATTTATATATTATGCACATATATACTTAACTATATTATATATACATATGGCTATGTGTATATCCATATATAATATTTTACACATATATATCTATACATTAGATTTATATGTCTACCTGTATTATGTAGACTATTGGTATTTATATGTATACCTATGTTATAAATATGTCTATATATTATATATGCCTATGTAGTACATAGATATATAATCTACTTAATGCTTATTATACTTACATACTTAGATGTGTATGATACATATCTATATATTGTATATTATACATACATACTTAAGTGTATATTATATCCTTATGAATAGTATACACAGATATCTGTAAATTATATGTGTTATATATACTCATGTGTAATATTGCCTATTTACATTACAAATATACTATTTATAGTGTATATTATTTATAATCTATATTTTATATACCAATGTATATTGTATGTGTGATATATATACACCTATACATTATACATATATCATGCATATGTACCTATGTGTATATATGCATATGTATATTATGTACATGCTCTTGTATAGTACATATGTGTGCATGTGTGAATACCTACATGCATGGATACCTACATCAAAATGTCAATAGTGGTTAACTTTGGGTTGTGAAACTATAGAAAATTACTTTTCTTTCTTGTTTTTTCTATTTTTTTTAATTACTATACTTTAAGTTCTGGGATACATGTGCAGAACGTATAGGTTTGTTACATAGCTATACATGTGCCATGGGGGTTTGCTGCACCCATCAACCCATCATCTTCATTAGGTTTCTGCCTTCCCTCCTACCCTTGTCAGTTAATAGATATTGTATGTTTATCAAAAAGAAGAGACGAGAAATAAAAGACAGTTGGAGGTTGGAAGTGTACCCATACAGTTCATTTCCCCCTTGGCCAGAACACATCCTCAGCTCTGCAACTATACTCATCTCCTAGAAAGATCCCTGGGTGGGCTGCCATGTGGTCCCAGACCCCTCCCCTAAAGGACCGTTTAGTGATACATCTGTGTTCTTAGAGGGAAGGTGCCCTTGCAGCCCAGCCTCCAGCTCTACTAGCAGCCTGGCTCCCCTGGGAAACAGCAGCCCAGAGAGTCTCAGGAGTTCATTAAAGCACCACAGGAGCCTCAGCCTGCAGCAACAGCTGTGACTCTGAGCCAGGGGAAGGGCTCTCCATGGAGACTGAAGCCAGGTCATGAGACACAAACAGGGGACTCGTGGGCTTCAAATCCAGAGGAGAAAACAGGACTCTCAACCCTCGTGCTCTCTAAAGAGCCAAGTTCGAAGTCTTGGGGTTATGAATGGAGCCAGGAGGGTCCTCAACAGGTCCAGAGCGAGGATGCAGGCCAGGGGTAGCCCTATGATTTGCTCACCTCAGCCCCTGTGAGTGCCTGGCAACCAGAAGCCCCAGGAAACAAAGGTTCTGTCCAGGTCTGAGAAAAGCAGAATTTTATGCACACATATATTGCCCTCCTGGCAATTTCCAATGCACTGTCAGTAGGAAACTGTTTCCCGGACACTAAGACTAATCAAAAGCCTGTTCAAAACGCATTATGCAGGTACCTAACATAACCACTTACATTAGTTTCTTATGGTTTTATATTCAATTCAGCAAAAATTTATTGAGCAAAGATTCCATGCGAGACACTATGCCAGAGCTGTGGGAGCACATGACAGATAACACACTGTCCCTGTTTGTCCCCATCCCTCAGCAGGCATGTTCAAGTTAGGGGCTGGGGGTGAGGAGCAACTCACACTGATGATCCCAATGGAAGGACCACTGCACTCAGTGCTACAGGAGAGACATAGCAAGATAGGAAAGTGGGAGTGTGTGACTGCTTCTGGCTGGGGGATCAAAAATGGTTTAATGTAGATCTAATTTTTCCTGAGCACCACTTCTATTATCTCATTTAATCTTTATAACAACCATATGGGATAGATATTATCCCCATTTTACAGATGAGAAAACTGGGGCTCCAGAGTAGCTAAGTAGATGGCACACAGGGAGTCAAGTTTGACTACATCACTTGAGCTCCCTGGATGATATGAGTATTTCTTCCCCAAGGGCATGAATCAGCGTAAATAAAGTTTTTCAAAACATACATGCCTGTACCTCAACACAGATCTACTGAATCGGAAGTTTTGAGGGTAAGTTTAAGGTGTATGTTTTGAAAAAGCTCTCCTGGTGAATCTGGTATGCATCTTGATTTATACCACACTATGAAAGATTGAGTGGAATTTCAGAGGATGAGGTTGGGAAAGATAAAAGACTTCCAGGTAGACGGAACTAGGTAAGCAAAAGAGCAGAGCTGGGAAAGGGTAGAGCTTCTTTGGGAAATGTTGAGTGGCCTTAAGCATAGGAGTCAAAAAGAAGAGAGAGGTAGGGTCTGCCAATATGGGGAGAAGAAGGTGGCTACCATATCACCAGTCCCATTCCTGGACTGTTCAAACCCGTACTCAGAGCTCAGCCATGCCCTATACTGTGTCCAAGCTGCCTTCAGTGAGGAGTATGATCTGCTTGCACCACGGCTGAAAGAAACCAGCCTCTGTTCAGAGAGAGATGAAGGCCTGACATTATTGAACACCTACTAATTGCCAAGCACTGCATTTGAGCCCTTTGCATACATTATCATATTGATTCTTCCAAACAACTTCGAAAGTTATGTATCACTAGCTGCATTGTTTAAAAGATTAATGAGATTGAGTAATTTGCTTAAGGTCGCACAGTCAATAAGTGACCTATCCAAGATTCAGCCCCACATCTGTCTGGCTTCAATGCTTGTGCTCTTCCCTCTGGGATTGAGTGCTTCCCAAAGTTATCAAAAGGGGCTCAGATAAGAGGAAGGTGAGGCTGGGCCATGTGGTGAACAAGGAATTGATGGAAACGGTTCTTGGGTAAAGACTGAAGGTAGCTGTTTTGTCTGGGTTTCCTTAAAAGCAGAGCCTGAGACAAGGATGCAAGTAGTTTATTTGAGAGGTGATTTTAGGAAGTACTAGGAGGGAGTAGGGAAGTGAGACAGGGAGGGGAAGGGAGCCAATGAAGGAGGCAGGTTGCCACTGTGGTCAACTGGGGCTCATTCCCACTGGGGGCCTCTGAGAGATTATGGAGCACACCTTGCCGCTGCCCCACTGAAGAACAAGAAGGCTGAGATCTTCATGCCCTTATTGTTTGATGGCTGTTCCTGGAGAACAAACTTCCCAGCACTTCCATGCTGCCCTGTTTGAGTGCTGAACATATTCCCTGGACCAAAGAACACCTTAAGGCCGAGAAATAGCTGGAAGCCTTTGGTGTACATGGGGACTGTCTGCAGGTGACCTCCAGGACTGGCTGATAGGATATGTGTAGGGCGTCAACAGCATCTTCTGCAATGAATGTGTTCAGTACTTGAGGACTAGAACAAAGCATAGCATCCCTCAGGACTTGGAAAGTAGGAGAATAAGATCTCCATGTATGAAATAAATTTTTAAGATTAGCAAGAACTGAATCAAAAAAACTGAGCAGAGGCAGGTGAATAGAAGGATATGCATCCTAGATCTGAGGGCCAAGGCTATAATCTGATCAGATGTATTATTAAGATCTCTAAAGAAGCAGGTATGGAGTGGAAGAGGGTTGGTCAACTGCAGAAGCACTGACCAAGTTTTCCCAGAAGCAGGGGTTGGCTGGGCCTGTTTCAGGCCTGTCCACAGAAGAGCCAGTGGTCAGTAGGTTGTGAGGATGTCCAGTCCCACTGGCTAGACAAGCCCCACTATAAGATGGACATATTTCAGCCTGTGCCCTTAAACATCATAGCACCATCTACCCTGGTTTGAGGCTAGACATTTCCAGTACATTCCCATGTGAATCTAGTTCCAGAAAAAACTCCTAGGAGGATGAGTTTGTACAGCAGGATCATAGCTCAGTATCTTAACCTCAGTTAATATGAATCTGCCCAAGGGATGAGCCTGTTCCTGATGCAGAAATAAATAAGCATCCAACTCTGCAGTCCAAAGTCCAGGGCCCAAACCAAACTTTATTTTGACTGGGCTCACAGAACGTAGCCCTCCAGCCTTTCCTAGGCAACACCCCAAATTTAAACGGGCCTGCCAATGTCTTTTTTTCTATTTACGTTTCTACAGTAAACAAAGTGAGGAAGCTTCAAGGAGAAGAAAGCTAGGAATCCAGGCTTTTGTTCTAATTAACAATCACAAGACTCAATCACTAGTTCTTTGCTGAACATTCTCCTTGAGTGAGTGTCTGTGTGTGTGCACACACATGTTTTAATCTGAATGTTTATGCATGTGCATCTCTGCATGCATATGTATTTGTGTAAATGGACGTTTGTGTAAATACGTACATGGAAGCAGCCAACATAAGCTCTGTGGTCCCTTGCTAGTTCTGTGATCTCGAACAAGCCATTGATAACCTCTCCAGGCATCACTTCCCTCACTTGTAAAATGAGTGCAATAGTAGCGTCAACTTCACAGAACAGTTTGGGGGATAAAATGAGATAATACTTATAAAGCAGCTTAGCATAAGCCAAAGTGAGAATTCAGCCACTGCTAGCATTTGACATTTCAGGTTACTATTTTTTTTTTTTTTTTTTTTTGGTAAGACAGTTTCACTTTGTAGCCCAGGCTGGAGTGCAGTAGCGCTATCTCGGCTAGCTGCAACATCTGCCTCCCAGGTTGAAGAGATTCTCATGCTTCAGCCTCCTGAGTAGCTGGGATTACAGTCATCCACCACCACACCCAGCTAATTTTTGTATTTTTTTGAGTAGACAGGGTTTCACCATGTTGGCCAGGCTGGTCTCGAACTCCTGACCTCAAGCAATCCATGCACCTCGGCCTCCCAAAGTGCTGGGATTACAGGCACGAGCCACCACTCCCAGCCTCAGGTTACTATTTAAGGTGATTCTGTGTGTACTTGTGTAAGCTGTGGCCCCTTAGGATTCCACAGGCATATATATCTGTGACTTTTGCTCCATGAGCCCCACATTATAATACTGTCACCAGTGGGATTGGTCACAAAGTCAAGGGAACACCTAGAGAATGACCACAAAACCAGTATAGTGTTCTCTGTGGGAATGATTGCTAGACCCCTGCAGAACAACCAAAGAGGAACCAAGAGCCAGAATAACGGAGAGAGAAATGGCCAAGTCATGGAGAAGTGTGTCCCTGCAATCAGTTCACAGGACACAGTGAATCAGCATGCAATTCCAAGGACCTTTTACACAGCATCCCCAAGTAGACCAGAAACCTCAAACCAGCTGTGTTCATGGACACAAAATCCAAGCCTGTGCCTTGGGCAAATACAGACTGATGCTTTTCACTGGACTGCAGTTTGATGATAACATGTTCCCTACCCCCATCCAAAGATACCTAGGAAAAGAGACTTCAGAAAGACATCTCTCCCTCTTACCACATAGTGGGACTCTGGATTTGGCTGTTTATCTCCTGTCTCAGAACTAAGATGATTATTCTGATAAGCTGGAATGAAACTTGCAGCAGAAGGGGAGCTAGCAATAGCCCTGCTGATTTATCACCCTTTTCAACCCAGTTGGGTTCCAAGAAAATAAATCTTGCTTCCCTCTGGCTAGGTACCCACAATCATGCCATGGACCATGACTTTCATATCCCATTAACTCTGAATTACTCAGTCTGGGGCTGAGCTAAGAGGTAATTTAAAATGGCAAAAGGGGAAAAACGTTCTGATTTAGATCTGATAGAGACTGGATTAAGTCCTCTCATTTTTCAGGACTTAAATGTGAGCTTTGTGGAGGGGGAGCACCCATGGGAAGGGACTCCCGTGAAGAATCTGTGCTGCAGATTAAATGAGAGGAGTGGAGGCAAACACGTGTTCCACAGGGTCTGTGGCTCCCTCATCCTTGACCAAGAAGCAGGGGCTGAGTTCCTCAGGAGAATTATTCTATCAAAATCACCAATCTCTGGAGCATAAATGATCACAGCCCTTTAAGGTAGCAACTTGGCAGTACCTATCAAGACAAAAAGGGCTCATACCTTCCAACCCAGATGTCTCACTACAGAAACACTGGACATGTGTTCAGGGGATGTGTACAAGAGTGTTTACTGTAGCCTCATTTATAATATTGAGGAATCAGAGACAAAAATAAAAAGGTCCCTCAATAGGGGAATGTCTTCAGAAAGGGTGGTATGCCTATTCTGAGAGAATAAGCACCCATTGAAGAGAATGAGGGGAAAGGTGGTCTGCGATAGGCACTGAGTGAAAAACATCAAGGTGCAGAGTAGTTTCATGTGACATGCTTTTATTTAAAAAAAAAAAAAAACACTATTTGGAGATTAAATTGAAACCACTGCTTTTCTCCATCCTCAGTGTCTTAACACAAAAGAGATGCCTCTCTATCAGCAATCACGCAGACTCTGCAGTCTGAGCCACTTTGAACATCCCAAAATAAATTTCACAACCAGCCTGACCTCATTTTTAGTCTTTCTGATCAGGCCTTCTTGCCAGGACCACTTCTGATGCCCACCTAACATACTTGGACTGCCACAAAGACCATCAGGTCAGAGGAAAAGAAGAGAAGGCCTTTCTCAACGAGAACTTACCTGGTACTCATCTTTTGAGTGCATGTAGAGAGTCATGCTCTCTTGGCATTGAATCACTTGCCCCAACAGCAGGGATAAGCCCTCAGGTTCCCCCACACATGTGGACCTACTCTAGATGAGTATGTAGGAGGACTGCTGGCAACAGCAATTGCACTTTTTGCTCTCTAAGAGCAGAAAGCCCTTAGCCTGGCATTTAAGGCCCCCAGAAATCTGGTCATGCATTAGTCAAGATAGAATAAGATATACTACAGTAACATATAAACCCCAAAATCTCAGTGGCTTAACGTAACAAAGATATATTTGTCCCTCACTAAAAGTCTAGTGCTAGTTAAGTAGCCATCTTCCAAGCAGTGACTCAGAGATCCAGGCTGCTACCCCTGTGGCTCTGCCATCATGGTAGGTGACCTTCATGGTCACCACAACAGGAGAACAGAGAAGTGGAGGTGGCCTGTGTGCTCTTAACTGCCTCAGCCCAGAAGTCACCTCCACTCAGGCCATTGGTCAGAATTGTCACATGGCACCAGTCTAACCCCAAGGGAAGCTGGGAAATACAGTCTTCTTATGTCTCCAGGAAACAGAAACTGTGTCCTCATAACATTGTCTCCACTCCAGGTCCCAATCTACCTTTCCAACTTTACCCCACACACTTTCTCACTCACCTCAGACTCCAAGCTTCATCTACTCTGATATCCCCAGCAGGGAAGAGAGATCAGACTCCAGACTCCAGACACATGGAATTCTACACATGCCTAGTCTCCTGCCTCTGTGCTTTCGCTAGTACTACTCATTCATTCATCCATTCATTCATTCAACAAATATTTATTGCACATTGATAATAGCCTTGCACTGTGCTAAATCCTGAGGAAAAAAAAATACAGTCCCTATCCTCATGAAGCTTACAGTCCAGCGGCCCATTTTCACCATCTCTGCCTTCTAAACCCCACTGGGCTCTGCTCAGCTGATAGCCTACCTCTCTACTTCTCTAAAATTGTTGGGGAGGGATGTGCCAGGCTAAAGAATGGAAAGGTCAAGCCCAGTACCAGGCACAGGCAAATACTCAGCGACACGTAAATACTCAACAAGTGTGAGTTGTTAGTAGTAGTAGCCACCTTATTTCAGTGGGAACACTAGGAGGTTGCTCTCTCATTCCAGAGTCAATTCTTACCATTCCTCTGTACTTATTCCCTTGGGTGAATTTCCAACCCCTTTTCATCACCTACTCGTAGGAGAGGACCCTGACTATAAACTTAGCATAAGGCAACTGACAGACTTAACAGGGGCTAAAGTTTCTTTTGAGCAGTATTTGAAATTTATTTCTTTTGGGCTTTGAGAAAAAACTGGTCTCTTTTAGTATTTGGGGGTAGGGAGGAGGTCTGAGCCTCCTTGAAGGAATTCAGGGACCTTATACCAGATATATTTACACAACTAATCAAGAATGAAGAATGAAATGGATTGTAAGACCCTATGGACTCACTCTGCTCAGATGTCATCTCCCCAGAGAGGCCTTCCCAGACCACCCTGAATAAAAACATCATCCACATCATTCTGTACTCTTTTAGCCATTTTTAGTTTTCCTCAAGCTATTTGTTGCAACAACAAACAATACACCTCTTCCAAGATTTCAGAACCTCTCAGCCTGGTGAGCAGCCCATTGCCATATCACCAAGGGCACTGACTGGCCCTAAATACCAGAACTAGGTTCCTGGAGGACAGAGAATGGGTGAAGCTATTCTTTGCACTTTCTCTGGTGCTGAAATCTGGAAGCATACATGCCCCCTGAACATGCTCCTTGACTGAATAAATTTTTAAAGACAGGATGGCAGGAAGATCATTAAGAAGCATGCTTTTGCATCTCAACTTTCTAAATTATGTTAAACTTCAGAATTTCTGTAGGCGCCTGTTTATAAATAAGATTAGATTCATCCAAAATTGAGTTATTCTTCATGCTTGGTTAGTTATTACTGGGAATTTAAAAGCACTTAGTTGGATAATATCCAGGTCATTTGGAGTTGGCATCTTCTAAAAGTTGGGCCTGTTACAGATAAACATCCATGCTGTGCTCCAGGCACAGAAAGTAGCAAAAATAGTTCATTTCCTAGAATATCAGATGAAAGGACAACTCCTCCCCCACTCCCTAAATATAGCCTTTCTCTAAACAAAATATTCAATACCTAGCACGAGACTGCATTTGTGTCCCAATATGGGTTTCTGTTAACATACCTCATGCTGCTTTTAAAAATCAGATAGATTGGTTAAATCCTTTTAAGAAAATTAGGCAAGCGAAGATGTCGTTAGTGCTAGAAATCCATCACATACATAACAGAAGCATAGTAATTATTTTTAAGGCCATTCTTTTTTATAATGCTTGTCATTTCTGGGTATTAGCTCAAACAGACAAAACTTGGAACCTCTTCAGGAGATGCCCTAAGTATCAAACATAATATACTTTGTCACAAAATGTGCTGGTGGTTTTTGATCTTCCTTTCAATTCAATTCATTTGTCAGTTATATGTAGGATGACAATATAATTTACTTCCCAAAGACACTTAGGAGAGTGAAAAGGGCTCTATTAATATGAATAATGATGCCAGGACAACAAACCAGGCATATAATTGTCCTAGCTTTGTAAGGTACTAAGCCAGGCTCTGTAGGGTAAATGTGCTGGAATCCTAAAAGTTAAATGTGGAAGGAAATAATGGAGCTAGATCAGGAATCAGTACACTTTCTCTTAAAGGGCCAGATAGTAAATATGAAGCTTTGCAGGCCAAGAGGCCAAATGGGGGATAATGTATCATGTAAGTATTTACAAAATCATTTAAAATGTAACTATTTAAAAATGCAAAAATCCTTCTTAGCCATGGGTTGGATTTGGCCCATGGGCCTAAAATGGCCAACCTCTAACATAGAGCATCGAGGACATTAAATGCTAAGCTCAGAAGCTTGGATTTAATTCTGCGGCCAGTAGCTTCCCAAATGATTTTTATTTTAGGAGTAGAAACTTGTTCTCAAATGAAATCTTATGTGGAAGCCCAATATATATGCAAAACAGATAAAAAATGGTTCTGCTGTGTTTGCAATGGGAATGAGAGAAGCAGCGAGCACAACCTCTCTCACCCTCAGCAGCAGGCTCAGAGCACCCGAGGGGGCCTGCCCATCACGATTTTCAAACCACAGCCACAGTCAGTGGGGTGCTATTAAAGACTTCTGAGGACAGAGGTAAAGTGATCACAGCTGTGTTTTACAACAATCATTCTATGCGCAGTATGAAGGGTGCATTGGAAGGCAGAATGCCTGGGGGCAGAGGGGCCAGTGAGGAGGGTCCAGCCTGGCAGAGCAAAGATTGCAAGGATGTTTCTAAAGCAAACATCGGGGGCATAAATGTGGGTCTGAGGGAGATTCAGATATTTAGGTAGGACCAACTCCATGGGCATGGGCCCTGTGCAGTCTCACATGGCCCATGCACAGAGGGACCCACACTTGGTTTAATGCTCTGCTATCACCATATTGAAATTCCCAATTATTTTTCAATCAGGTCCCTGCATTTTCACTTTTCACCGGGCCCCACAAGTTGTGTCACCAGTCCTGCATGCAGGGATGACTGAATCTACAGGTGCCTGACCACACATATCTGTACCTTCCTCCCACTGTCCTATTGTGTTAGTCCATTTTGCATTACTATAAAGGAATGCCTGAAGCTGCATAGTTTATAAAGAGATTGATTTGGCTTGTGGTTCTACAGGCTGTACAAGCATGGTACCAGCACCTGCTCAGCTTCTGTGAAGCCTCAGGAAGCTTACAATCATGGTGGAAGGCTAAGGAGTAGCAGGCATGTCACATGGAAAGAGAAGGAGAAAGACAGACAGAGGGAGGAAGTGCCACACTCTTTTAAATAATCAGATCTTGTGTGAACTAATATAGCCAGAACTTACTCTAAGAACTAATATAGCAAGAACTTACCATGAGGGTAGCACAAAACTGACATCTGAGCAGAGACACACAGTCCATAAGGTTTTACAATCCATTTCATCCTTTATTCTTAATTAGTTGTGTAAATGTATTTGATATAAGGGATCCACCTGCATGACTCAAATACCTCCCATAGGCCCACCTCCAACATTGGGGATCACATTTTGACATAAGATTTGGAAGGGACAAACATCCAAACTATATTGTTTTGTCTTTGACCCCCTCCCCCGCCCCAAATCTCATATCCTTCTCTTATTGTAAAATACAATCATCCTTTAGTTCCCTAAAGTATTAACTCCTTCCAGCCCCAACTGAAAAATCCAAAGTCCAAATCTCTTCTGAAACTCAAGATATAGCTGTGAGCCTGTAAAATGAAAAACAAGTTATTTACTTCCAAGATACAGTGGTGATACAGGCATTGGGTAAACATTCCTATTCTGAAAGGGAGAAATCAGCTGAAAGAAAGGGAAAACAGGCCCCACACAAGTCCAAAACCCAGCAAGGCAGACATTGAACCTTAAAGCTCCAAAATTATCCTTGACTCCATGTCCCACATCCAGAGCACAATGGTTCAAGGGGTGGGATCCCAGGGCCTTGGCAGCTCTGCCTCTGTGGCTTTGCAGGGTGCTGCCCCCAAGGCTGCTCTCATGGGTCGGAGTTGAATACCTGTGGCTTTTCCAGGCTGAGGTTGCAAGCTGCTGGTGGCTGTAGCTTTCTCAGGTCTGGAGGATGGCAGCCTCCTTCCCACAGTTCCACTAGGCGGTTCCCTGGTGGAGATTCTGTGTGGGGGGACCAATCCCACATTTCCCCTCCACACTGCCCTAGTAGAGGCTCTCTGTGGGGGTTCCACCCATGTGGCAGGCTTCTGCCCAGGCACTCAGTCTTTCTGACACATCCTCTGCAATCTAGGTGGAAGCTTCCAAGCTTTTTTCGCTTTTGCATTCTGCCAGCCTGAAGACTTAACACCACATGGAAACCACCAAAGCTTTCGGCTCGCACCTTTCAGAGCAGCAGCCCCGAGCTATATGTGGGACCCTTTGAGCTGAGATTGGAGCCACAGCTGCCAAGATGTGAAGAGCAGTGTCATGAGGAAGCACAGGGCAGTGGCACTCTGGGTCTGACTCCCAAAACCATTCTTTCCTTCGGACCTGTGATTGGAGGGGCTGCCTCGAAGATTTCCGAAATGAGTTTGAGGCCTTTTTTCCATTGTCTTCGTTTTCAGCACTTGGCTCCCTTTTACTCTTGCAAATATCTCTAGCAAGTGGTTGCTGCACAGCCAACTTGTATTTCTCTTCTGAAAATACTCTTTCCTACTCTACCTCATGGCCAGCTTGCAAATTTTCCAAATTTTACGCTCTTCTTCCCTTTTAAATATAAGTTCCAATTTTAAGTCATTTCTTTGTTTCCACATCTAATCACAGGTTGTCAGAAGCAGCCATGCTACATTTTGAAGGCTTTGCTGCTTAGAAATTTCTTCCATTAGTCTTCCATCATCAGTCTTAAGTTCACCCTTCCACAAATTGCTTGGACCTGGGCACAATGCAGCCAAGTTCTTCACTAGGGCATAACAAGGGCAAACTTTGC
Source organism: Homo sapiens (assembly GCF_000001405.40). Taxonomy (NCBI): domain Eukaryota; kingdom Metazoa; phylum Chordata; class Mammalia; order Primates; family Hominidae; genus Homo; species Homo sapiens. Next base: position 41,932,028 of record NC_000020.11, on the reverse strand, counting down.
TCCAGTTTCCAATAATTCTTCATTTCCATCTGAGACTGCCTCAGCTTAGCCTTCACCATCCATATTTCTATCAGCATGTTGGTCACAACTACTTAACCGGTCTCTAAGAAGTTCCAAACTTTCCCTCATTTTATTTTCTTCTTATGAGCTCTCCAAAATCTTCCAACCTTTGCCATTTCCCAGTTCTAAAGCTGCTTTCATATTTTCAGGTATCTTTATATAAATGCCTCACTCCTGGTACCAATTTTTTCTCTCTAATTAAAAGGAAGCATGGCACAAACATTTGGAAAGTCTTCAGCCTGGCCATGTCATAGAGAAACAGCATTTTCAGGAGAGGAATACAAGTAGGCTGTGGTGCAACCACTTGCTAGAGAGATTGCCATGACTAAAAGGGATCCAGGTACTAATATCCAAGACAATAGGAAAAAAGCCTTGAAGGCATTTCAGAAATCTTGGAAACAGCCCCTCCCATCACGAGTCCAGAGAAAGAATGATTTCAGGGCCCAGGCCTGGGACACTACTGCCCTGTGTCACCTTGGGAGACTGCTACTCCCATCACAGCTGCCCCAGCTCCAGCTGTGGCTCAAAGGGTACCTGGAACAGCTTGGGCTGCCACTTTGAAGAGCACAAGCCACCATAAGCCTTGGCAGCTTCTGTGTGGTGTTAAGTCTATAGGCTGGCACAATGCAAGAGTGAAGGAGGCTTGGTTCCTTTCACCTAGATTTCAGCAGATGGAACAGAAAGCTTGGGTGCCCAGGCAGAAGCCTGCCACAAGGGTGAAGTCCTCACAGAGAGCCTCTACTAGGGCAGTGTGGAGGGAAAATGTGGGGTTGAAGCCCCCACACAGAGTCCTCACCAGGGAACTGCCTAGTGGAGCTGTGGAGAAGGAGCTGCCATCCTCCAGACCCAAGAACAATAGAGCCGCCAGCAGCTTGCAACTTCAGCCTGGAAAAGCTACAGACACTCAACTTCAACCCATGACAGCAGCCTTGGGGGCTGCACCTTGCAAAGCCACAAGGGCGGAGCTACCCAGGGCCCTGGGATCTCACCCCTTCCACCAATGTGCTCTGGGTGCAGGACATGGAGTCAAGGGAGATAATTATGGAGCTTTAAGGTTTCATGTTTGCCCTACTCGGTTTGGGGCTTGCACAGGGCCTGTTGCCCTTTCTTTTGGCCAATCTCTCCCTTTTAGAATGGGGATGTCTTCCCATTGCCTGTACCACCATTGAATCTTGGAAGTAAATAACTTGTTTTTAACTTTAGAGATTCATAGGTGGAAAGAACTTCCCTTGATTATAAAATGAGACTTTGAACTTTCGATTTTTCAATTTATGATGGAACAAGTTAAGACTTTGGGGGACTATTGGGAAGGGATGATTGTATTTTGCAATGTTTGAAGGACATGAGATCTGGGGGCCCAAAGGCAGAGTGATATGGTTGGGATATTTGTCCCCTCCAAATTTCATGTTGAAATGTGATCCCAAATGTTGGAGGTGATCCTTAGTTGGAAGTGAGCCTTTGGGTCATGGAGGTGGATCCCTCATGACTGGCTTGGTGCTCTCACCTTTGTAATGAGTTCATGCAAGAGCTAAAGAGTTAGAGTCTAGAACCTCCTCCTCTCTCTCTTACCATGTGACATGGCTGCTATCCCTTCCCTTCCACCATGACTGTAAGCTTCCTGAGGTTTCCCCAGAAGCTGAGCAGATGCTGACACCATGCTTTTACAGCCTGCAGAGCCATGAGCCAAATAAACCTCTTTTCTTTATAAATTACCCAGCCTCAAGTATTCCTTTACAGCAATGCAAAACAAACTAATACTCCTGGTGAGGGACACTCTGCATAATCCCTGAGTCTCAGATTGTCCCTCCCACATGCTGCCTCACCCCCTCACAAGCACTCATAATACCATCTGTCCTCCCTCTAGTTCCTGCTTCCTGGAATCGCCAGTCACAGCTGATTAGTCCCAATTCCAAATCTCTGACATGCAAATTCAAATCAAATCTTTACTCACTGCCAGATGCCCAGCAGGACTACCACAGACCAGGAGCTGCTTTCTGCTGACCAGCCAGGTAGTCCATGAATACAAAATCCTAAGGGTTGCCTTGGGTTGGGCTTCATCAGGAGTAGACGCTAAGACAAGGATTCAGGTGACAGTCATGTATTTGTGATGTTATCCCAATAGCCCCAAGAGGGAGTGGGGAATGGGACAGGAAGTAAAAGTAAGCCAGAAAAGAGGGCTGGTTCCCACTTTGGGCCACTGGGCCCAATCCCAGTAGGGATCCTGAGACTGTGGTTACATCCAAGGATTTTTCCTCAACTGGCTGGCAAGTAAGCTGGGGTATTTATCACCAACTTCCAGCCCTCATTGATTGAGTTGTTCCTGGGGTCCCCAGAAATTGTGGCTGCTCCAAATGCATGGTGAACAACCATCTGTGACCAAAAAATGCCCTCAGACAGAGACTCAGAGCTGCCACCACATACCGGAAGAGTTTGCAGGTAACCTCTGGTGTGGGCTGAAGGTAGGGGGATCTGAGCATGGCACCAACAATGTTTGCTCTACCCTCATCACTATAAGGAACAACAAATATTTGAGGAAGTAAGTCGATTTTGAGCACTCCCAACATCTGAGAGTACACCTGCCATGATTACTTCAGCCAGTTATTTAAAACATAATAACTGAACACCTGTTATGTCCAAGTTCCACTTTTATGTACAGCACTGTTCTACACGTTGTGGAAAAAGACTACAGAATCACAATTTACAACCAGGCCCTGTTATTTATAAGGGCCACACTGCACAAAAGTGCTCAGCCACCAGAGGCCAGGACCACCTCACTTTAGTTTAATACATCAGTTTCAAAGGCATCCTTGTATCCCTGCGAATTCCCAAGACTTCTTTCACAATGTTTCTAGGGAATGGGAGTCTGAAACACACAGAGAAGGGAGAAGGGAGAAAAGTCATCTCAAAAATACCTATTTGAAAGAAACACAGTGACATGTGTTTGAATGACATCAGAATATTTTATTCAGCAAAACATTTAGGATCTCTTTGTTGACTGAGGTGTTTAACTTTTAAAACACATAACATGACCCTCATATAATGCTGGTAAGATTATAAAATGGTGCAGCCATTAAAAAAAATCTGGGAGTTCCTCAAAAGGTTAAATAGAGAGTTACCAGATGACCCAGTAATTCCACTCCTAGGTATATACCCAAGATAATAGAAAACATATGTCCACACACAAACTTATATGTGAATGTTCATAGCAGCAATATTTATAAGTCAAAAAGTAGAAATAACCCTAGTATCTATGAGCTAATGAATATATCAATAAAATGCAATATACTCACACAATGGAATATTATTCAGCTCTAAAATGAAAGTGCTAGTATACACTACAACATGGTTAAAGCTTCAAAATATACTGCATGGTTCCATTTATATAACACGTTCAAAGAGGCAAATCTATAGAGACAGAAAGTGGATTAGTGGCTGCCTCTCCTAACAGGAGGTTAGAGAGAAATGAAAAATGGCTACAGGGTACAGGGTTTCTTTTGAGGGTGGTGACAATGTTCAATTTGTGGTGATGGTTGCATAGCCCTGCAAACATCCTAAAAAACATTAAATTGCACACTTTAAATAGGTGAATTGCATGGTATGTGAATTATACCTCACTAAAGCTGTCATTAAAAAAAGATGCCACGAAGTTTTATTGGAGATTAATTTGCACTCTTCGTGAGCACTTAGGATGTATCAGTAAACAAATAGGCACTTTCACTGCCCTCGAGGAGCTGATATCCCCAGGAGAAAAGTGGACAATGAATCCTAAATGGGATATGTAAATTATATGATATGTTGTTGTGGAAGATAATCAGCAATGTGGGAAAAAATTAAGCAGAGTAAGGAGATAAGGAACTGGGGGTGGCTGATAGAGCCTGGTAGTCGGGGTAGACATCATTGAAAGGGTGACATTTGGCCAAAGGCTTGCAGGAGCTGGCCATGAAGATGTCTGAGGAAAGAGCATCTCAGGTAGAGGGCACGGCCAGTGCAAACATGTGGAGGCAGGAGTGTGCTGACACTTTGGAGGAATAGCCAGGTTAGTCAATCATCGTGAGCAGGGAGAGATTAAGGTTAGAGTGAGGGTGATGAGGTCAGAGAGGTAACTGGAGGCCTTGCAAGCCCTTGTCAGGCCAAGCAAGTGGGGAGCCCTGATGATGACTCAGATCAGATGCACAGCTTCAAAGGGATGCAATGTGATAGAACCTGATGGGACAAGTAGAGGCTTTTCTCTCCTCTGCTTAGTGGCTCACCCAGCTGGGTATCAGGGTTCTTGTTCTTTTTCCCCTGAGCAGGGGAAACAGGTAGCCTGGAGCACATTCAGGCAAGGGAGGGGGTGTATCATGAGGATTTGCCAAGCTCTAGCCCCCAAAAGCAAAACTGAGAATTCAGGAAGCAGCAGGCTGATGGGAAGCTGCAATTTCACCATCTAATAACCTCACATGTTTGTAATTTTCAGCTTCCAATTTTTATATCGTCATGGTCAATTACAGGTCACAAATGGTTTCCAAAGTGGGCTGCCCAGGGAGGCAGTTGTGCAAATCCATTTTCCACAGTCATTCCACTCCCAGGCTGCTCAGTTCCCAAGATATGCTTTGGAGCAAACCATGTCAGAGCATTCAGAGGGATAGTGAGAAGGAAGGGAGCTCCCCCAATCCCGGTTGCATGAAAAGAAATGGAATCAGCCTAGTGTCTCAGTGCCAGATGGTATTTCCATCCCTGCTCTGCTAGGTACATGCTGTGTGACCTTGGCTCAGTCACCTTATCCCTCTGAGCCTTTTCCTTATACAGAGTAGCCAGACCTGACTTAACTCAAAAGGGATGTTGTGAGATACCTCATCAAAGGCATCATGGAAAACTCCATATACCAGACCTCATCCATGTGTCTAGTCTTGAGCTCTTTCATTTTGTTTAATAGTTTTATTGAGGCACAATTTATATACCATAAAATGCACTCATTGTAAGTGTTCAAATTAATGACTTTTAGTGAATTTACAGAGTTGTGTAACCATCACCACAATCCCAATTTTTAGAATATTTCTATCACCCCAAAAATGATATCTCTGGAACAATTCTTTGCAGTTAGAGTCCCATATAGAATAACATCAATTTAATGCTGTATAAGGCAAAAGAGAAAAATAGTTATTTATTGGGTTGGATCAGGTGAAATTATAATTTGTATAGGTTAAAAATGTTCAAATATTAGTAATTTCATAGTTTAGCCATTTTTAAAAATTTACAAATACAGTACAAAATTAAAATTTGCATATCAACTCAAATACTATATATGATTGCCCATGAATTGCTTAAATTATGAATTTATACATTGTAATGTATACAGAAAACTATGTATATGTTGGACTTTGTGAGTGATTGAAAGGATTTGTAATTGTTTTTAAGGGGGAAATTTTGACTACGCTCAGTTTTCACCTTAGGCACAGTCCTTAGAAAGAAACCTCCACAAGTGGTACCAGCTATGATTCAATTCAAGCTAGGACCTTAAATTTGTAGTTGAAAATACAAAATAAAGCTTAGAAAATGTAGATAAGCTATTCATGCACTGCCAACCACACCACACTGTCTCAAGAAATGTGAATACAACTTTGTAAGTAGAAACCTCTTGTATCTATAGCATAAAACGATCATGGTTTGTATTTTCATGCTTACTTTCTTTTTTTTTTTTACTTTTTCGAGACAAAGTCTCACTGTGTCACCCAGGCTGGAGTGCAGTGGTGCAATCTTGGCTCACTGCAACACCTGCCTCCTGGGTTCAAGTGATTCTCGTGCCTCAGCCCCTCAAGTAGCTGAAATTACAGGCATGTGCTACCACACCTGGCTAATTTTTGTATTTTTTGTAGAGACAGGGTTTTACCATGTTGGCCAGGCTGGTCTCAAATTCCTGGCTTCAAGTAATCTGCCAGCATCGGCCTCCCAAAGTGCTGAGATTACAGGCATGAGCCACGGCACCCAGCCGCATGTTTACTTTTTTGTCTCTATTCTCCGCTAGTGTCTAAGACATGTGAGGAAAGACATGAGACTTTGTTTGCACCTCTATATGTCCAGCACGTAGGTACACAGCATTTGCCATGTGGTGGATGCTCAGTAAATTCTGAATGAATGAAATAAATTTCGTGGAGAAGAAAGATCCTGATTCATATATGTAAACAACCCACCCCTACTTGGCCACATACACACACAGGAACTGGCATCACCATAGACACTACAAGATAGTTTGTGAGCGATAACTGCATGAACAGATCCAAAAGGCTTTTCTATCAATGTATGGCAGATCCATTTTAAGCCAGCTCAAGCCTGGCAGAGACACTTCCTACTCGAGAACACAGAACAGCCTGTCTTCCAGCACCAAAGTCAGGAGTTTCCGATCCCAAACCTGGGAGGAAAATGAAGGCTGAGAGAAGAGGCATTTCAAAGAGCACCACACCACACTGGGTGGGTACCTGGGGTCTTTAAAGAGTCAGAAGCCAGACTGTGGCCAGGAAAGGTCTAGAGGGAAACTGCCCAGAGAAGCCGGGAGATAAGATGCTGGAGCTGGTGCAAATGCTGCTGGCCAGGCTTTCTATGGCTTGCAGTCAAGAGAGAACTGTGGGGATGTAGGAAGACCTGGGCTGCAGGGTAGGAACAGTGCTACTACTCCAGTCCAGGCTAGTTTATACAATCCTATGGAAAAAAAGATGCTACAAGCCACCCTACCGCCACCACAGCTCTCCCCTACCTTCCCCAAAGGGAAGAGGTATCTCCAGTCTAACTGACCAAAACCTAAGACACTGATTAAACAAGGGTGCTAATGGGCCGGGTCACTGCATTAAAAACATGGGTGGTTCTTTGCTTCCTGCCTCCAAGTGGGAGTGCAGACTTCTGCACTGGTAGATATCAGTCACTGTCTCTGCTACTAATAAGGCAGTTTTGTATCTCCCACTGGGTGTCTGCTTTTAGCACATAACTCCCCCAGGAAGCCCATCAGACTGGAAGAAGTGGTTGGCATTTCTAGGTTCATCACATTATCGAATGTTTCAAAATTCTGGCAGAATCTCCAGTCTACCTAAGGTGTCCAAAATAGTGAAGAGTGATCATCTGTGGAGGATGGGATACAGGAGAGAAATGGGTGCAGGGGTTTTCACATTTTCACTTTTCATATGTACTTTGGGGTTTTATTGTGTTTACAATAACCTATGGTACGTCATAATTTAAAAATAATTATAGGGGTTAGAAAGTGGCATATAATGATATAAATCCAAATTTAAAAGTCAACAACCAGCATTCTGCCCCAAATAATTGTATAGCACTTATGAAAATCATATGCATCCCCCATTTGAGAAAACCAGGGAGATAAACTTCCTACATGCTGCTGCTAATTCAGATTCAATGTTAATTAACCTCTCAAGTCCTCAGTTTTCTCATCTATAACATGGACATAATCATTCCTGTGTTTATGACAATGTATAGCAAAATATTCCTTAGACATAAAGGGATATAATGTATGTCTTCATGGTGAGCATTTCTGGCATTGTCTAGGAAATTTGCTGATTTAAAGTAGTTGGCCTGTTTTTAAACATACATATATATATATATATATATATATATCTGTTTGCAAGAGGTTTATTTATTTATTGAACAAAGTGCCTTCACGGCCTTCCTACACTTACAGTTGAGGATAACTATGTCATATTATGCTCAATGTCTGTTATACAAGCACAGCCCTGCACACAGAAAGCACTCACTACACATTTGTGGAATAGGCACTGATTATGTAAACAGCCCTGCTAAAGAGATAACATAATCACCATTTTCACAGAAGAGAAAACTGAGGCTCAGAAAGACAGTGGAAGAACCTCTGTGCTGACGAAAAAACAATTTTCAACCAAACTCTTCCCTGTTTCTACAGATTGAAAAAGAGAAGTGAAGGAGGAAGAACAGGAGATGAATTGGTGCTCAGCTCAAAGTCGGGAGGAGAGGCCATAAAGGAATTAGAGAAGGAAGAAGCTACCAGAAGCCAAGTGATAAATTTCTATTTGAATAAAGTTGCAGAAATTTAAAGAATGCCATCATTTTGGTAGATAAATGTGTGTGCTGCCTGTTTTCAAGAAATGAACATTGTGTATCTTTCTGTTTCCTTACCTGCCATGGCAACCAGAAAGCTTCAAATCAGATTCACTGCTTGAGTAATAATCAGTCCAGAGTTTAGAAGCACCTACTCCTTCTTTCCCTCCCAGAGGAGCTGTTTTCTGCTTTGTGCTTCTCTCTGCCCCAGGGAAATGCCCAATCCTCACCCTAAACATGAAGCAGCATGGGAGAATTTTCACATATTGTATTAATTGGCCCATTCTTTGATTCCTTATATTTCACTAGCCCTACACTAATCATAGGAGTAATACCAACTATAATTAGGCATCATAGGTATAATGATTTCATTAAAGCTCCTTTAATGGATTCGGACATGTACACTTTATTACCTTGTGATAATTGGAGTTGCTGAATTACAGTAACAGAACAACTGAAGGTAATTTCTTACTTGGCCAAAGTCAGTCGACCTCCCCCGGGTCTCCAATTATCATATTTCTTCCTAGAATCAGGTCTCCCTTCTACTCAGAAGCTGCTGCAAGCTCCAAGCTATTACGATGGACTCTAAGCTTGCACGGGAGTCATGAAGTTCTAATTTTCTCATTACACAACCTCATCTGTCAGTTATTTTCTGGTGAGCTAGCCCTGTTCTTTAGCATAGGTGATAAATAGGCATGAAATCTTAGCAAGCAGAGGGGCAAATAAACATCTAAAAATGATCAGGCCTTGAGAATCTTCTATCAGATAGTGTTACAGGTCAGAGGAAACCAGAGCAAACCACAGACTGAAACGTGGAGAAAAGCCTGAACCCAACCTGCCCTCTTTCACTCAGAATCACAATGACAGCACTAGGTAATTTCTTCTGCTACACAGAGAGTCTCAGAGAGTTCTTTAGACAGTGCTGTCAAACTCAGTAAAGTAAGTTGATAGCATACCATCCACTGAGCACCTAGGAGGTGTGCTATAGTGTGTGAAGGCTTTAAAATACTGACTTTTTTCTAAATCAGGAGAATAGTTTACATTATGCACATTCACTCATTCACTCAATCTTATTAAATGAAATTACAATATGCCTGGCATGCTGTAAGCGTCATATAAGTGTTAGTGACCATCTTCTTTTATTCATATAATGGCTCAGTGTCTATGTTGAGCCAAGCACAATGATAAACATCAGAGGTACGACTGTGAATGAGACAGACACAACCACTGCCTTCAAGTTGTTTGCAGTCTGGTTGGGTATAGATACTATATAAATCAGCTTATATATATATTGATGTTATTGTCATTACAATGAATGTAGTGAAGGAAAGTTCCAGGTCCCATAATAAGATAGAATAAGGGACATGATTTAGTGTGATGTAGAAGGAGGAGGCAGTGAGAAAGTGATCTTTAAGTTAAGACTCAGAAGATACCCAGGTGAAGAGGTAAGAGGAAGAATGTTTCAGAAACATGGAATAGTATGGATGGAGGTTTTCATGCAGGAAGGAGCTGTGTAAAAAACAAGGAAAGGGAAGGTTTGTCTGAAGATTAATGAGCAGTGATGGGGAGGTAGCAGACATAAGATCACATAGGGCTTTGTAAGGCATGGTGAGAGTGTGAATTTCATCCACTCAGCCACAGACACTGAAAAATTGATGATTGGTCAGTCAGGGATTGGCTCTGAACGACCAATCATCATGATTTATATGACTTCTAGATGAATTATCAACAGCCAATCCATCCTGAAATGTTTATTTAGAAACTACTGTATGAAAATCACTTGTGCAATGATGAAGAAAGCATGATAAATCTTCCATTATTTCCTGGATTATTTAAAATGAACTGTTTGGCCAGGGTACAAGGTTCAGCAGAGAATTGGAGGAGGATGAGGTTGAAAGGAATGCAACTTAAAATGCTAAGACAAGGAATTGGATTTTAGAATTTTTTTGTCTTTTAGAGAGGAGAAAAGAAAGGCAGAAGGCAGGGAGAAGTTAATCTTGTTGATTGTCTTTCATCTGCCAGGCATCTGTATTGGATATTTTATACATAGATCATCATTTTATAACCAAAACTCTGAGAAATTAATTTAAGCATCTCTGCCTATTTACCCTCAACATCAAATTTTTAGTTATGAATACAAAAAAGGAAAAGAAATTTTTCAAGCTGAGCTTAAGATGCTGACCACTGCCTTCCCATCCTCACCTTTGTCTAAAACATTTTAACCTGCCTGCATCCTTGCTACCACACTGATATCCCCACCCACGCAGCTCTCAGCCACAATTGACCACCTTGAGGCATCTCACCCAGGAAATCTATCTCATAGACCATGGTGAGGTGGTCAAGTTCACTCTACTGAGGATCTGAACCAAGTGAACCAGAGTTTGGGTCCGGTAGGAGATGGTAGGAGTTCAATACCAAAGCCAGAGCCAAATGAGTCAAAGCTGAAGTTGTGGAGAACAGAGGAGTCCTAAGCAACAGAAATCTCAGCTGCAGAGAGATGCAGATGAAGAAAGCATAGGGCACAGAAAAATGCAAGGACAAAAGGCCTCATAGCCTCATCAGAGACAGAGGGCATAAACTCAGCTTTCCAAATCTTATACTCTCAACCTGTGTTCAGTTATCTATTGATCTGTAACAATCACCCCAAAACTGAGCAGTCTGAAAGACCAATAATCATATTATTCTTATTTCCCACATTTCTGGGGTTGGCTGGGACCAGCTAGGTGGTTCTCACTTGAGGTCTGTCATGTGGTTGCCATCAAACAGTGGCTGGCGCTGCAATCAGTGGATGGATGGATGGCTCACTTGCATCTTGGAGGCCTGAGTTGGGAAGATCACATAGGTGGGGCTGAAACAACTTGGGCTCCTCAGGCATCTTTCTCTATCTCTACATGGTCTTTCCACATGGTCTCTCCTTCAAGGTGGTTTCAGAAACCTGGAAGTCTTCCTGGAAGCTGCTCAATGTTCCAAAGCCCTGGGTCTGCCAAGAGAGAGCCGGGCAGAAGCTGCATTGCCTTTTATGACCTAGCCTAGGAAGTCATGAGGCATCCACTCCTGATGCATTCTACATTCAGCAGCAAGGTATGGAGGCCAGCAGTAGTTTAGGGGAGGTGAAAAAGACCCGCTCTATTGACGAAGAAATGTCAAGTAATTTGTAGACAGGTTTTTGAACACCACAGCCCACCTATATACTTTGTCTCTTGCTCTTTGATGCCTGTAAGATGCTCCTTATTTCTCTAAATTAAAACACCTCTTTACTAGTGAGGATGGATTTTCATACAACCAAATATGTCCTGATCAAAACACAAGATATACAGGCATACTTCTTTTTGTTTTGTGTTGTTTTTTTCTTTTTTGAAACAAAGTCTTACTCTGTCACCAAGGCTGGAGTGCAGTGGTGCAATCTCGGCTCCCTGCAACCTCCACCTCCCAGAGTCAAGGGATTCTTTTGCCTCAGTCTCCCAAGTAGCTGGGGACCACAGGGGTGTTCCACCATCCCCAGCTGATTTTTGTATTTTTAGTAGAGATGGGGTTTCACCATGTTGGCCAGGCTGGTCTCTAACTCCTGTTGTAGAAGCTGCAGCAGGTTATCCAGAAGATCTAGCTAAGATCATCAATGAAGGTGACTACACTAAATGACAGATTTTCAGTGCAGATGAAACAGCCTTCTATTGGAAGAAGATGTCATCTAGGACTTTCACAGCTAGAGAGAAGTCAATGCCTGCTTTCAAACTTCTAAGGAATGGGTGACTCTCTAGTTAGGGGCTAATACAACTGATGACTTTAAGTTGAAGCCAGTACTCATGTGCCATTTCAAAAATCCAAGGGCCCTTAAGAACCATGCTAAATCTACTCTGTCTGGGCTCCATAAATGGGACAACAAAGCCTGGATGACAGCACATCTGTTTACAGCATGGTTTACAAATATTTTAAGCCCACTGTTGAGATTTGCTCCTCAGAAATAAAAGATTCCTTTCAAAATATTACTGCTTATTGACAATGTACCTGGTCACCCAAGAGTGTTGATAGGGATGTACAAGGGTATTAGTGTTTTTTTCATGCCTAATAACACAGCATCCATTCTGCGGCCCATGAATCGAGAAGCAATTTCCGTTTTCAAGTCTTATTATTTAAGAAATACATTTTATAAGGCTATAGCTGCCATAGTGATTCCTCTGATGGATCTGGGCAAAGTAAATTGAAAATCTTCTGGAAAGGGTTCACCATTCTAGGTACCATTAAGAATATTCATGATTCATGGGAGGAAGTCAAAATGTCAACATTAACAGGAATTTCCCAGAAGTTGATTCCTACTCTCATGAATGACTTCGAAAGGTTCAAGACTTCAGTGGAGGAAGTCACTGCAGATGTCGTGGAAATAGCAAAACAACTAGAATTATAAACGGAGCCTGAAGATGTGACTGAAATGCTGCAATGTCATGATAAAACTTTAACAAATGCGGAGTTGCTTGTATAGGTAAGAAAAAAATTGCTTTTTTTTTTTCTTTTGCAAGGGAATCTACTCCTGGTGGAGATGTTGTGAACATTGTTGAAATTGCAACAAAGGATTTAGTTTATTACATAAACTCAGTTGAAAAACAAGCAGCAGGGTTTGAGAGGATTGACTACAATTTTAAAAGAAGTTTTACTGTGGGTAAAATGCTATCAAACAGCGATACATGCTACAGAGAAATCTTTCAGGAAAAGAAGAGTCAATCACTGCAGCAAGCTTCATTGTTGTCTTATGTCAAGAAATTGCCACAGCCACCCAACCTTCAGCAACCAGCGCCTTGATCAGTCAGCAGCCATCAACATCAAGGCAAGACTTCCCACCAACAAAAAAGATTACAACTTGCTGAAGTCTCAGATGACCATTAGCATTTTTTGGCAAAAAAGTATTTTAATTACGTACGTACATTTTTAGACATAATGCTATTACATACTTCACAGACTACAGTATAGTGTAAATATAACTTTTTTAACCCCTGGAAACCAACAAATGTGTGTGACTCACTTCATTGTGATATTAACTTCATTAAAACATTTCCTTTATTGCCATATTTTCTTCATTGCAGTGGTCTGGAACCAAACCTGCAAGATCTCTAAGATATGCTCATAGTTCATTATGCTTAGATCCAGTATTTATACTCAGGCCTGCCTAGTTTCAAAAGCCCATGTATTTCTTATTGCACAATGTAGTAATAAGTTTCTGGACCATTGTGAGGTATTATATGGATGTAGCTGTCATCCAGACCAGCCACTAGAGCTCTAGGGTGGACTGTTAAAGGGTCTCCCCCAGCAGTGGCAGTTAGTGCTGTGTGAGTGGGTGAGCTATCTGAGGATAATGCCTAGAAAGCAAAAAGTAGAAAGGGAAGTACAGAATCATGGGGAAAGACACCATGGAGCAGCAGAAGAAACAGCGGCCAGCAGAAGTCAGAGTGGGGATCCAGTTAGAGAGCTGAGAGACCTGAGAGCCACAAAACCAAAAAAGAGAGAGATTCAAGAAAAGAAGGGCTGCCACTATTTGGAAATCTTGTTACAGTAGTCAGAACACTTTTGTATGTGAGTGAGAGAAACCTCAACTCAAACTAGCATGAGAAGGAAGGAAGGAAGGAAGGAAGAGAGAGAGAAAGAAAAAGAAAGAGAGAGAGAAAGAAAGAAAGAAAGCAAGAAAGAAAGGAAGGAAGGAAGGAAGGAAGGAAGGAAGGAAGGAAGGAAGGAAAGAAGGAAAGAAAGAAAGAAAGAAAGAAAGAAAGAAAGAAAGAAAGAAAGGAAGGAAGGGAGAGAGAAAGAAAGAAAAAGAAAGAGAGAGAGAAAGAAAGAAAAAGAAAGAGAGAGAGAAAAAGAAAAAGAAAGAAAGAAGGAAGGGAAGGAAGGAAGGAGAAAAGAAAAGAAGAAAAAAGAAAGAAAAAGAGAGGAAGGAAGGGAGTGAAAGAGAGAGAGAGAAAGAAGGAAGGAAAGAGAGAGAAAGAAAGAGAAAGAGACAAAAGAAGTAAAGAAAGAGGGAGGGAGGGAGGAAGGAAGGAAGGAAGGAAGGAGGGAGGGAGGGAAGGGAGAAAAGGGAGGGGAGGAAGGGAGAATCTAGGGAGAAGGATCCTGAGGTAGCTCAAGGATGCAAAGCAGAGTTTTAGGAATACAGGCAGATAGGAGACCTCAGTAACTGAAAACCAACTTACCTCCCCCTCTTCTCCCCCTCCCTTCCCTCTCCCCCTCCCCTCCCCCTTCCCCACTCCCTCCCCTTCTCCCTCTGCCTCTCCTTTTCCCTCTTCCCCTCTCCCTGCAGACAGACTCTCTCCAAGAAGCAGAGAATTTAGTCACCAGCAATCATAGATTCACACCCTTCTAGCTCCATGAAACAGACAAGAGTGACCTCCCTGCTAGCTCAAATTAGAAAAAATTCCTGGAGAGCACATGTGCACAACGTGCAGGTTTGTTACATATGTATACATGTACCATGTTGGTGTGCTGCACCCATTAACTCGTCATCTATATTAGGTATATCTCCTAATGCTTTCCCTCCCCCCTCCCCTGACCCCACAACAGGCCCTTGTGTGTGATGTTCCCCTTCCTGTGTCCAAGTGTTCTCATTGTTCAGTTCCCACCTATGAGTGAGAACATGCGGTGTTTGGTTTTTTGTCCTTGCGATAGTTTGCTGAGAATGATGGTACCCTAGAACTTAAAGTATAATTTAAAAAAAAAATATATATATATATATATAAAGTTTTGTTAATATTGTGAGGAGATATTTGGCCTTTATATAGGTAAAAGCTTGTGGAAGGATGAGAGGTATATGGGAGGTAGATGGTGAGGAACTGATACCTGAAGAGTTTGTATTGCAAAGAATGCAAAATTTAACTGACTAAACCACAAACAAATAAATAACCAGTATCAATTCATTTACAAAAAAAAAGAAAAGAAAAAAGAAAAAATTCCTGGACAAAGACTCTGATTTCTCCAACTGTGGCCATTTCTACCATGAAGTCATCATGGCGGCTGGGGATGGAATACTCAGGCTGGACCACTGTAGTTAAGAGGCAGAGCCTGTTCTCAAGAGAAAGGTGCAGGAGGAAGCACACCGGGAGAGGCAATGAGAGTTTCCACAAAAGTTACAGTTGAGGAAGGGCTGAGAAGTTTTTGTGTCAAGGAGCGAACTGCTGCGGGTGTCCCCTCTGCTGCCTCACTTTCCACTACAGCCAGCTGGCCACCCATATCCCATATATCCACCTTCACCCCCTGCTGGGGGCAAACGTCTCAGAATCCAAATTCCACCCTGTTTTTGACTGTCTTGGTCACCCAGTCTCTCACCTGGATCTTCCGGTCATACAAAGATCTCTCACCAGCCCTCAAACCCCATCTCATAGTCTAATGAGTCTATGAGTCACAGATATCCCCCAAGCTGCCCATAGTCTCTCCCCATTTCCCAAATTGGGCCTCAGACTTAGCCTGGAACTTTGAAACCTGTCCTATGCTCAGGCTTTGCATGTGCCCCTCATGTTTATTTACTGCCTGTTCCTGACCTGTGTCCTGTACATGCTCCCAATCAGCCCTGTTCTCTTTATCCCAGCTCAGGTTGACCTTGATCAGCAGCCTCCAGAGCTTGCCAGCCACCTGACTCTAAGCCACTTTTCACCCTAGTTCACCTCCTCACCCTGTGTCTGGGCCCAGCATGACAATGGCCCCATTACAGAGCCAGCTATGAAGGTTTGCCAAGAAGAGATGAGGGCTCTCAGGCATGGGAGTTTCTCAAGCACACGTAAACAATACCCCACCTAACTTCCCCACCCGCAGAGACCTGTCCAAATGAACAGTAAAATCCAAACTCAGAAGAAACAGCCCCAACAAGGCTAGACACCAGAAGGTTTTCCATTTGAGGTCAGCTTCCTTACCTCCTTCAAGTCTTTGCTCATCATCTTGTCAGTGGACTGGTGGAGCTATCCTGATCACCTGTTTAAATTAGCACCAATCTCACCCCCTCCCACCACCATTCCTGATCCTCCCCTTTCCTGCTCTATGTTTATATCAGCTTATAAAATACTACATAACGTATGGCATATTACGTTTGTTTTTTGTCATCTCTCTCCTCTTCTAACTCCTGTTAGAATCTGAGTTCCATAAGAGTAGGGGTAATTAGGATGGCTGCTGTTAAAAAAATGGAAAACAACAAATGTTGGTGAGTATGCGAACAAATTGGAACCCCTATGTGTTGTTAGTAGAAGTGTAAAATGGTACAACTACTGTGGAAAACAACAGGGTGGTTCCTCAAAAAATTAAAAATAGAACTACCATATGATCTAGCAATTTTACTTCTGGGTATGTACCCAAAAGAAATAAAAGCAGGGTCTCTAAGAGATATTTGTACACCCATGTTCATAGCAACATTATTCACAATCGCTGGAAGATAGAAGCAACTTATGTGTTTATTGATAAATGAATAAACAAAATGTGGCATATACATACAATAGAATGTTAGCCTTAAAAAGGAAGGAAATTCTGACACATCCTAAAACATGGATGAACCTTGAAAACATTATGCTCAGTGAAGCCAGACACAAAAGGACAAATTCTGTATGATTTCATGCATATGAGGTACCCAGAGTAGTCTAATCCATAGAGGTAAAAAGTAAAGTGGTCGTTTCCAGGGGCTGGGAAGAAGAGAAAATACTTAAGTTGTTGTTTAATGGGTACAGAGTTTCAGTTTTGAAAGATGAAAAGAATTTTGGAGATTGGATGCCTACCAGTGTGAATGTGCTTAACACTATTGAACTGTGTGCTTAAGAGTGGTTAATATGGTAAATTTTATGTTACATATATTTTACCGCTATCGCAAATAATTTTTTTTAAAAAAACAGGGGTATTTATCTATCTGTTCATTCACTGATGGATCACAAGTACCTAGAAGAATACCTGGAAAATAATAGGTATTCAATAAGTATTTGCTAAATAAATACATGCCAGAAACTTCAAGAGTCCTCATAGATACTGAGGAGATAGGACCATACAGAAAGCACAGAGTTTGAAATTCTCTCTCCAAACAGAGAGTGATCCATCTGGGGAGAAAGTAAATGAGTCTCCGAAAAGACTTTCAGAGATACCTCAATCCTGGCTCATTTTAGGCAGTATAGCTTTTTCTCGGTACAGTTGGGCAAAAAAGCGTTAAAAGTCTGAAAAGTGAAAAAGTAAAACGCAGTAACAAATTTTTAAATAATGGAAGAAAAAAGAATAAAACATTATACTGAATAAAACATTCAGTGATACTGATTTTTAAAAATACTAGCTTTCCCAGAATTAAGGAGAAAAAGACAATGACAAACATTATGATAAAGAAGATAATAGAAATGGAGGACAGAAAATGGCAAAATGCAACATAAAGATAACTTATTCATTTTCAAGAGATACCAGAACAGAACAGAAGCAATAAGAAGAAAAAGAAGAGAATGTTTTCCCAGACTAGAGAAATGATCTGTAATAAGATTATAAGGATATCTACATTTCAGATATCTGATTTCAAGCATCAATGAAGAGATTAATATCTAGACACAGTCTGGAAAAGTTTGCCACTTAAGAATTTTAGACCCGGAAAACTCGCCTTTTTTAGTGTAGAAGCAAAAACAAAACCATTTTCAACAAAGACTTTGAAAATGTGCCACCATGCATCCTTCTGGAAATTAAAAAACCACTTGAACACTAAATAGTCAAGACATGATATAGTTAACAACTCAACTTTGGGGAAATCAAGGTATTAAAAGACAATGGTGAGTTCTGCAATCAGCCAAAAAGGTGATACGTCTAAGTAATGCTTGTAAATCTGTTTATAAAACAATGCACATGTCAAAAATTATTCTTAAGAAAAGATTACCTAATGCAAGACACTAGATTGTGTTCATAAAACCCAAGAGGTTGAGGATAAGAGAATAAAAATATGCTCACACTGCATATTAAGGAGAAAAAACTGAAAAATTAATTTCATGTTTAGTTATAAAAATTTAAAAAGCAACAGTTACAGAATGTTTTTGAAAATCTTAAATAAACCCACTACTCTGATTAAAATATATCTTCCAAAATGGCATTTTTTGAAGTAAATATAGTTCTCTAGTTTAAAACAATGCAAAGAAAAACAATGAGGCATAAAAGTTTAAAACATGAAACAAAGCTAAGGAAATAATATCAAATAGTTTTAACAGTAAATGCCAATATGTAAAATTCCACTATTAAAAGAAAAAAATTCCAAAATTAAGTCAAGGACAAAATCCAACGATACAGTTTTCAAGGACACAAGTGAAGTATCTTTCTATGTTAAATATGAAAAGGGCAAATGTGTATTAGATAAATGCAAATTTTAAAAGCATAAGTACAACATTCATATCAGATAAAGTACCTTCAAAGCAAAAACATATTACACAGGACAAGAAAGATTGTTACATATTGATAAAGTCTAGGTTTCATAATGAAGATTCAACTGTCATATCTTAGCCTGTGTTCTCTCAGAAGAGCATGAGACAAAGACTTAAATACAAGGACACATGGAACATTAATTACAAAAATTGACCATATCCTGCACAAAAGCAAGAGTCAGCAAATTTCAAAGGATTTACATCATGCAAAGTAAGGTCTCTGGCTACAGTAGAATTAAGTTTGAAATCAGGAACAAATAATAGCAAAAATAATTGCCATTTGTTTGGGAATTTTTTAAACTGAAATACACTTCAAACAACCCATCAGTCAAAGAACAAATGATTAAGGAAATGAGAAAATATTTTTATGTGATTTATAATGAAAATAAAACATATTAAAATTTGAGAGACATAACTAAAGTCATGCTTATATTAGAAAGAAAATACAAGCTGAAAATCAGTAAACAAAGCATTTAGTCTTAAAAATTTAGAAAAGGAATAGCAAATTGAGCCCGAAAAAAAAAAGGAAGCAAATGAGAAAGTTAAGAGCAAAAACTAATGAAACTGAAAAGTAGAATGCAACAGAGAGCCTCAAGGTAGAGAAAGTTTTCTTAAATCATACATAGAAATTACTAACCAAATAAGAAAAAAAGTGTGATAAGTTGGACTTGATTATAATTAAGAATTGTACTCATCAAAAAATACCATTAAGATTACAAAAAGGAAAGTCAAGAGAAGAAGTTATATAAATTAATAAGAAAAAAGACAGTCAACTCAATAGAAGAATGAGCAGGAGACTTAACTAGGTACTTTCCAAAAGAGAAAATCCTAATCTCCCCCCAGTCAAAAAAAGTATGTAAAAAGATGATTGATCTTCACCCAGTGCAGTGGCTCACACCTGTAATCCCAGCACTTTGGGAGGCCAAGGGGGGCGGATCATGAGGTCAGGAGTTTGAAACCTGCCTGGCCAACATAGTGAAACCCCGTCTCTATAAAAATACAAAAATTAGTTGGGCGTGATGACACATGCCTGTAGTCCCAGCTACTCGGGAGGCTGAGGAAGGAGAATTGCTTGAACCCGGGAGGTGGAAGTTGCAGTGAGCCGAGATTGCGCCACTGCATCCCAGCCTGGGTGACAAAGCGAGACTCCATCTCAAAAAAAAAAAAAAAAAAAAAAAGATGATTTATCTTATTAGTCATCAAAGATATACAAATCCAAACAACAAGATGCCACTACACAGCCACCAGCATGGCTAGAAATAAAAAGTCTGACCATGCCAAAGTGTTGGCAAGGATGGATGCAGTGGAAGCTCTCCTACAATGTTGGTGAAAGTGCACATGGATACAGCTACTTTGAAACAGTTTGTACTACACCACTGAAGTTAAACACACACAAAGCCTCTTACCCAGTAACTTCACCCCTAGTAATGCATGCTCACATGCATCAAGAAACATAAAAGAATGCTTGTAACAGCATTATTTATAATCATAAAAAACTGAAAACAAGCCATTCAACCCCATTTCACCATTTATTCATTATCAACTCATTAATCCCAAAGCTGAAGAGACCAATTAACAAAACAACCCATTAGTACTCAAATGAACAAATAAATGGTGGTATATGTGTGTAAAAGTATAAAAAATAAATTGCAGTATATTCATATAATAAAATAAACAGCAATTAAAATGAGTGAACTATGTCATAAGTCTCACAAAGATAATGTGAAACCAAATAAGCCAGAAAGACAAAAATAAACTATATTAATCCATTTCTATAAAGTTCAAAAAGCAAACAAAACTAAACTGTAGTGTTTAGGTACATATATGTAGCTGGCAAAATCAAAAGGAAAAGCAAGGAAGTAATTAACATAAAAATTAAGACAGTAGTTACTTTGAGGGGAGAGAGGAGCAGCAACCGAATAGAGGCATAAAGGCCATTTCTTGGAAGGCTAGCAATGATCTGCTTCTGCACCTGGGTAGTAAATACTAAAGTGCCTCTTTGTGATCAGTCATCAAACTATGAAGACAAAAATTAAAAATAAAAATAAATTTTAAAAAAATTTCCTATGGTATGTGACTAAATCTCTACTCAGGGACAAATTTACTTAATTCCATGTTTTACTATTAAACAAAAAGGAATATAAAATATTTGCTAAACTTAAAACTCAAATCTTAGCTATAAAATATTAGACAAACCATGCAATAATTTATTCAGCATGTATCTATTAAATGCCTACTCTATGTTTGACACATATAAATTAACAAAAATACAAACAAAAAGTAATGATTCAGAAAACTGAAAAACACACAACACATACACATATACACATCCTTCTGGTAAGTTTTTCACCATCAACAGAAAGTAACCTGTTGATTAACTGGGGATACAGTTTGCATTGTGAACTACAGTAACACAATTCATATTATATGGCAGATATTAAAATCTCACCCCTCACTGTAGCCATGCACTTTGCAATGTGACTTTTTAAGTCCTGTCATGAAGAGAGTGAGTCTATTTTGGCTTAATTGTGGCCAATAGAATATGGCAGAGATGACCTTGTACAGTTCCAAGCCTAGGTCTCAAGAAACCTTACTTCCTCTCCCTCTCTCTTAGAACCCTGCCATCATAATGTGAGCAAAGCCAGGCTAGCCTTCTAGAAAATCAGAGACCATGTGAAGTAGAGATAAGCCACTGAGTTGAGCCCACTCCTTGTTCAACCAGCCCTGAGCTGGCCTGGCAGCTGACTGCCCAGCCAAAACCAGAAGAATCTCCCAGCTGAACCCAGCCCCAGTCACCAAACCACAAAATCATGTTGAATTTTTTAAGGAACTACATTCTGAAGTGGTTTGTTATGCAGTAAAAGTTAACTGATATACATTATGGGGACCACCAATGGTTCAAAATTAGACAAGCTACTGAATGAGAATAAGAAGACCCAGCAGCCTGCTGTGAGTGCTCGAGTATTATCATAGGAATGTGTACTTTCATTTATCCTCACATTCTATGGTTCTTTTTTACTGTTGACTTTTATAAATTGTGCTGCAAGCAAAAGTGTAAGGTTAAGTTCAAAGTTGACTCAAGGAGAATAGGAGGTTCCTGCATGTGAGAATATAAGGACAAGTAAGGAGATATTTGAGTTTGTTTCTGTTGGTATTGATAAATCAATTTTTTCATTTTTCATTTGCAATGACAAAATATACCTGCAGAAATAAAAATAAATAAACCTTTATTATTGATATTTCTGTAGAAAAAATAATTTATTGTAGATCTGAAAGTGTCTAACTCCTAACCTTCTTTTGTCATATTGAAACAATTTTTTCATAATATAATCTTTCAAATGCAGTGCTTCTAACAGTATAATTGTTTTATACTAGAAAATACCGTAGAAAGAAACTAGGTAACATATATGAGCTTTTTCACATTAAGTAGTGAGTTTATTTTTACTCATAAGAAAGAATTAGGGATAATTCTCTGCTAATCAATTTGAAATCCTCAGTAAAGTAAATTTGGGTAATTTATATATTCCTAAAGAAGAGTTGAGAAATTGGACGACTCCAGCAAACCATTAATTGTGTAAGAAATATTTTTTAAAAGAGAGAGGACCTATATTCTCAGGATTAGAAGTACCAAAAACCAAATTTAAACTTACCTTGGGAATTTATTAGAAGGATAATGGGGCAACTCAAATAACTATAGGAATGAGATCCCCTCCCCAGAGCTGCGTGTCAAGGGCAGCTGCAGCCAGACACTCATGCCATCTGCACTCTCTCCACTGGGTGCAGTTTTCTGTATTAGATTCATTCTGTCCTTCACATGGCAAGGATCTAGCTGAGCTGTAATTCCTGACTTCTAGTCCTATGGCTCCCACAATCAAAAGGGGGCTTCTTTAGTCCCCTTACTTCCAAATCAAAAAATCCTTGAAAAGACTCAATCAGCTACAGCCAAGGGAGCAGACTCCCATAGAACATACACAACTACTGGGAGTTGCAAAATAACTAATGAAATATTATCATATGTAATTTAAATTAAAAAGCAAGAGATATTTCTATTCCGAGTTAGGATGCTCATTGTTACCTTAACATCATCCTAGAAGTGCTGGAAATATAAGGAAAAAGAGAAAGAAAAGGAGAGAGGAAGAAAAGGGAGAGAGGAAGAGAGAGAAAAATGAAAAAAAAAGAATGTTGAAAAATATTCAGAATCATAGTTATTGTAAATGATGCCAGTTTCTACTTAGAAAACACAAGTATCAACTCTAAAGTATTAGAACTAATAAAACAGTTCATTAAATTTGGCGGTTACAAAATACATATTAAAAATGAGTACCTTCCTATATACATGCCATAATCTGTAAAAAAAAAAAAAAAAAAAAAAAAAAAAGTGGAGGAAATTCTATTCATAGCTGTAACAACAATATAAAATCTCCAAGAATAAATTTAATTATCAACAAGTAAACATTTTATGAAGAACACATCCAAACCTTACCGAGGCCATAGAATATGGCCCCTTCCCTCCATAGAAGAGAAAGTGACAAAATGCTCCTGAGGGCAAGACTTAAATATATAAAAATATAAATTATGCCAAATCAATTATAAATTTAAAGCAGTTGATAAAATTGTAAGAACAACTCTGAAGTTTAGGGAATAAACATCTGAGAGAAGCCAAAAATTTAGAAAAAGAGGAAATATTGGCTGGAAGAATTAGAGACAGGGTAAATCGTCAAAAAGTAAAACCTTATATACAGTTTCAATTATAAAACCACTTGGGTACTGTACAAGATTAGACAGATCAATGAACACAATAAAAAGCCTTAGACATAAATATTTAGTATGTAATAATGGCAGCACTTTAAATCAATAGGAAAAGACTACATTAATAAGGATTGTTCAAATTATTTAACTACTTGAAAAGGAAAAATCCCAAGAATACTATCTTGTACTATTCACATACCCAAAAAAATCCCAGACGTATTAAAGATTTTTAAATACAGGAAATGAAACTACTAAAGTGTTAAATATGTAGTTTTTTTCAGTTGGCCTTTGAATAACACAAGTTTGAACTGCACAGGTCAACTTATACGTGAATGCTTTTCAACCAAATGTGGATTGAAAATACAGTATTTCAGGGATGAGAAACCCAGGTATACTGTTGAAGCAAACTGAATATGGTCTGAGAAGGACTCTGTGCTTCTCTATTTGAGTCCTTGTGGATGAACTGTAGCCTAGCTTAATAGTCAGACAAGATTGAGAACCTAACTTAGGAGCATGCGCCTGTAACGATAACTGAGTCTTGGCAAATCCCAGCAGCCGTGCTTCAAACACTCAGAGGACTAAGTGTTCAAACTGTGTTCAAATGAGGCAAACGCCAACCTGGAACCAATCCAGCTGTTTCTGTACCTCTCTGCCGATGTCTGTACGTCATTTCCTTTTTTGGTTTATAAATTTTCTTCCACCATGTGGCTGCGCTGGAGTCTCTGTGAATCTGCTGTGATTCTGGGGTCTGCCGATTCACAAATCATTCATTGCTCAATTAAACTCCTTTAAATTTAATTCAACTAAAGTTTCTCTTTTATCAATACAAAGGGCTGACTTTTGCATATTTTGGTATCCTGGAAGGTCAGACACCAATCCCCTGCATATATCAAGGGACAACACACACACACACACACGTGTGTGTGTTATATGTTATGTATATAAACACATATATATGTATGTTATATATACACACACATATACACACGTATATATACACACAGATATACACATCTATATGTGTAAATTAAAAACATCTATATGTGTATATGTGTGTGTATATATACACATATGTGTGTTTGTTTGTGTGTGTATATATATATATATATATATATATACACACACACACACACACAGAGAGAGAGAGAGAGAGAAATGTATATGTTTGAGTCCTAAGCAAGTAACCAAAGTAAGGAAAACCACCAGTAAAAACTAGATTGATTTTGCTATATAAAAATGTAATATTTTGGCCAAAGTGGCTCACACCTGTAATCCCAGCACTTTGAGAGGCCGAGGCAGGCAGATCACTTGAGGCCAGGAGTTCATGACCAGCCCAGCCAATATGGTGAAACCCCATCTCTCCTAAAAATAAAAAAAAAATTAGCCTGGCGTGGTGGCATGTGCCTGTAATCCCAGCTACTCGGGAGGCTGAGGCAGGAGAATCACTTGAACCCGGGAGGCGGAGGTTGCAGTGAGCTGAGATCACACCACTGCACTCCAGCTTGGGTGACAAGAGTGAAACTCTGTCTCAAAATATATATATATATAATATATATATAACATATTATTATATATAATATTTCAATATGTCAAGAAACATAATGAAGAAAATTGGAAGGCAAAAGACAAATGAGAAAATAATTGAAATAACTGCAATGTGCTTACCAGAAAAAGGGTTAATATTCTTAAATTTTAAAGACCTCTTGCAAATTAGTAAGAAAGGAATAGGCAGTGGCAAATTGAACAGAGTATATAAATAAAGAAATCATGAAACAAATGACCAAAAATATATGGAAAAATGTTTACCCTTACTACTAAACAAACCAATGAAAATTAAAACAACAATGTGATGCCATTTCTCATTCAGTGAATTGAGCAAAAACACTTAAAGTCCAGTCCTGTGCACAATGTCAGGATATGGGAATTCTCAAGACTTATGAGGGTGCAACTTAATGGTACTTTCCAGAAGGCAGCTAAGCAATGCATGTTACAAGATT
This sequence comes from Homo sapiens, assembly GCF_000001405.40. Lineage (NCBI taxonomy): Eukaryota > Metazoa > Chordata > Mammalia > Primates > Hominidae > Homo > Homo sapiens. Next base: position 41,906,776 of record NC_000020.11, on the reverse strand, counting down.
TTAAAATCTTTGTACACTATTTTTTCTACTTTTATAAAATATATAAAATTTTTCATTAAAAATAAGTTTTAAAATTCATATGCTTTTAGCTAGTCATTTTACCTGGAAGAATTTATCTAAAGAAAGTAATAAAGAATGTGCATAAAGATTTATGAAGATATTATGGGTGGCGATGGTAATGGTGAAGATAATAGCGATTTGAGATGCTTTTGCTTCAAATGCAAAGAATGTCTTTGACTTCTTATATCTGCATCATCCGTACCCCCCAAATGGCTAAATTAAAAAAAGAAAAATCCTTCCTATTAGGCAGAGACCCCAAAAGCTTCCAACACTAATATTATCCCAAGATCCATTTGTATAATAAAACCAGTATTTTATATATTCATCATCCTTGAACATCTTAGAAATCTCTCCTAAAATTTAGTATCATAAAGAAATGACAATTGGTACCTTTTCTATTTCTTTGAGATAATAGTAATTACCTAGTAAAGTCCTCCTTGGCCTCCATCCTTTCTCAAAAGCCTGTGTCTTGACCTTTCATAGCTCAGGGGTAGTGGGGCAGGGAAAGCGGAAATCATGTGGGATAGGACCTTCTTATTAATATCAGGCTAGAGCCAAGTCCCAGTCTCTGTGGTTCTAGTTTGACCTATCGAGACCCCTAAACTGCTGAAGTTACCCTTATTTACATTTACTCAGATGTCTTATAAAAAAAATAAAAAGACAAGATTAACTAAGAGCCCTGAGTTCATAGGTTGATATACAATAACAATAAATGCTTATTTAAAATGGCAAATGAGGCCTTTGAAACATAATGAAAGCTCACATAACAATCAAATAAAACACGGTCAATTGTGACAGACTGGGCACCATTGTTCTTGGCTAAGTGGAAATTTAGAAGTGTTAAATATCATTAGAAGGCTTTATTCTTTTTCTAGGAAAGGGTAGAAATTGATAGAAACTCTATATTGTCTGAAAATCCTTTCTGGGAGAAACCCTGTTCCAAGAGAACCATCTATGTCTCCTTCTGGGCTATCTCCACCTTGGCTCATGTCTGGGAGCTTGGATAGATAGTTCTGGGGTGGTCTTTATAAAATCAAACCAGCTTCTGTGTAGATGAGTGCAGAGAGCAAAGCTTCTCAATGTTTATTAGAGTGGGCTCTAAAGCCACCCTGAACCTTTACACCAGCCGACTGCCTCCAATACAAGCAGCCAGACTGTATGAGATTGATAAAATTAAATGCTTTCTGGCCTTCTCCAAAGGCTAAGGAAAAATATAGGTTTTGAGCAGCCCTTGGAGGGGTGCCATACCAGGGTCATCTTGGATTTCTCCCAAGAATGACTGGGAGGAAACAGCTGGGATGGGATTCCCAACAGAAGAGATAGAATACCAGATGGCCAGACAGAAGGAAGATAGATTCGGTCAAGGAGAGTTAAGACTCAGCTTTGAACAGCTGCCAATCCCAGAGACTAGTAACACCAGCTCATGACAGTACCCGCCAAGTACAACCTTTCCTGACCATACGTCTCCTCTCTTCTCAATCCCAGCCCTGGAGAAACCAGAAGTAACTATTGGTGGGATGGGGAGGGGAGGAAGGAAAGAAGCCAACGCAGATGGAAGAGAGAAGCTTTAACTTCTCCCCTTCCTGCAACTAGGATCCTGTATGTGACCCAGCATTGGCCAAGCAGATGCTCCTACCTGGGATGCTGAACCCTAAGGAAGTGAAGCAAAGATGCATTTACAATTGAGAATGCATTCACAGCAGCAGTAACCAGCAGCATCATCCTAACCAGAATGTCCCTGTGGTCCCTGCTGCCCAGCTTCCTGCCTGGTCCTCAGCCTTCCCAATTCTATGAGCCATACCCAATATCCCACCAATGAATTCCTTTTCCACTTAAGTGAGCTGGGACTGTTTCCTATTGCTTGCAACTGAAACCACCTCTTTCATATCCAGCCATGCTATTTTTATCTTTTTGACTCTTACCTCTCAGATACCACTGTTTTCCTACAGAGGCAGAGCAACTTGAGACTGTAACAGCCAGGGTCCTTGCATGAAGCATAGACAAACTCATACTGGGATCACATGAACAGGACTTAATAAAAGAACCATTTGCAAAGGTGGGGGCAGGTTATAGGGAAGCTTTCAGGGACAGTGCAGTACCCCGGGATTAGTAACAATGTGGTCGTTATCTTTTCTAGGCTCAAAATGACGAGGAGAGAGAACAGATACCAGAACTGGAAGGAGAGAATTTCATAAAAGGAGCCACCTTGAGGGGAACATTTACCTGCCACTGAAAGGCACAGCCAGCCTGAGGCAATTCCTTCAGAGGAATAGATACCCTGAGCATACCCTCCTCCCTCCAAACCTCTGATCTCCTGCCAAGGGTCCCTGTTGACTGGACCCACCTAGCTGAAGCTAAAGGGCACAGGAACCTGCTCATGCAATCGATCAGAGTCAGCCTCCTGGGAAGAGAGCAGAGCACAGCAGAGAGACAGCAAAGAATAGCTCTGGGTGGTGAAGAGGCACTTGAAAGGCACTTGACACAACCACCTAAGACAAAAAGAGCTGCAGGTGATCCTCACTTGCCCACGGGGATATTCACCTAACCTGGCTTCTAGCATCCCAGTCCTATCCCAGACAACTCCAGGTTAGAACTCCGCCAAGACAAAAGAACTTACTTACAAGGCGTTGGGGTTCTCTGCCTTTGCTTCCTTTATCTGTCCCGGGACTGCTTTGCAAGAGCACCTACTTCTGCATCGTGGTCTCCATTACTTCCTTCAGCCTTTCCCACCATTCACAGTTCCATTCCTTCTTCTATAGCATGAAGACGCCTGCACACACAGCTGAAACATTTTCAGTTGAGGACAAATCTAAAAGTTTTGTTTCTGCCAAAAAGCCAGGGGATATAAAACCACAGTGAGACATGGAGGCAGCCAAGAGACATAAACCTCAGATCACAGGGCACTCAGATCCAAGCAACAAAGCGGAGCAACAAGCCATGTGAGCCATTTGTCATTCTGCAGGCAATTGTCTGTTGGCATTTTTCTGAGAATATGAGAGGAAAACAAGATTCCCTTGAAAACATAGTTCAGAAAAAGTCCGTACTTGACAATATGAAGACCGTAAGCAATTGCAGATGGAGAGACTGAGAATTCTTTGAAACTACAGAAGTATAAAAGGCTTTGATACAGAGAAACAACCCGTATAACATAGACCATCATGAGATGCAGAAGCAGATTGGGGAAAAACACTGACCTACGATTCATCTATTCAACTTTCTACAAATATTTATTGAGCCTTGTGGGCACTGGACTAGGATTACAAAAGAAGGCCAAAAGAGCTAAAACAGAATGCTTTCCCTTAGCTATGTCTGATTAAGTCTTTTTTATCTTTTCCCTAGGGAAAAAGGGTTGGAAAAACAATAATAGCTACCATTTTCTGGGCATTTACAATGTATCTGATATTGTCCTAAGCATTTCCCATTTACATCTCTCTACAGCTCTGATAGGCAAGTACTATTCTTACCCCCATTTTACATATAGGGCATGGAAGGCAAGTAACCAGCAATGAGTCACATCAAAGGAGATGGTGCACAGGAATAATAACAGAACTAGGACCATAAGGTGTAGTATTTCACTGGATGTATAATGCTTTACACAATAAGAGGTGTGTATGGGAGAGGATGGGGACATAACAGAGGGAAGGAGAAATGCATGCTACCTAGCTACCTACAGATGCTTTATCAAAGGGTTCAACTAAACTTTCAGTCTAATTGATTCCCCCTTCCATGGTTATTTTCTTCATTAACTGGTCTTCTGTGCACTGACAATGTTTTGTCAGAGAATATTGATGCTTGGACATTTAAATCAATTAATGCATCCATTTCAATTGCTCATCTGTCAAGAACACCAAGTTTTCTTTCTAAATTAAGGATAGAAGGACAGTGAGGGCAGGAAGAAGCGTGTATTTGGAGAAGTATTTATAGTTATATAAAAAGGAGAAGTGTTTATACTTTGTCAAGATAAAAAGACTGATTATCATTTTTTACCTAAACAGACAATCAGGGGAGTTCAGTAGAGACTCTGGATGCAGGCTGGCTGGGTCTACCTCCCAGCTCCAGCTCTTTCTAGCTATGTGGCTTTGAGAAGAGTCCTTAACCTTTCTGAACCTCATAGAGTGATAATAACATGTGTTAAGAGCTCAGCTGTTTGGTATTCAACCACCATTGCCAATTCTCTAAGACACGTTGACCAAACCCATGGCACTAGAATGTTCAGGGCTAATAAGCTACTCTCTGACACACCCATTCGCTGCAGCTTCTAAAAGCTGAGTTGTTTAATCTTGCATTGGTTCCAAGCGTGCTAACGCTATTTATACTTGTTACTATAATCACAGATTTAATTAAATATTATATATAAGAATCTATGCATCTATGAAAACTGTGTTTGAATACTGTGCACAGGCAAATAACTTTTTAAAAAATTCTACAGAATTCGGAGTTTGGGGAAAACAAAATTCTAGAAGGATTCCTGCCCTCAGATTTCTTCACAGGTTGAATTCTTGCCCACTTCAAAGCAAGTTAAGTTAGGGATCATCGTTGATATGTAAACTTCAGCAGAAAGGAAACCTGGGTACTCAAGGAAAATACCTGGACCCCCCACATCAAAAGACTCATGAATGCATGTACACTTATATGCTTAAGTTAAAATTAAATGCTTAAAGTGTATATAATTTGTATGATTTCTTGCCTTAATTGATTTTTTTCAGTTATCTAGCCAAATACCCATTCCAGATAAGCAGATTTTTATACCTACCTCAAAGGGATATGGTGAGAATTAAACGGGAAAAGCCAGCCAGGCATGGTGGCACAAGCCTATAATCCCAGCTACTTGGGAGGCTGAGGCGGAAGGATCACTTGAGCCCAGAAGTTTGAGGATGCAGTGAGCTATGATCATGCCACTGCACTCCACCCTGAATGACAGAGTGAAACCTGTCTCTAAAGAAAGTAATTTTTTAAAAGTCCAGGGGCCAATGCTGGCACATAGTAAGCCCTCTTTAAACAAAAGCAGCTCCAAGGCTCACAAAGCACACAATAAATGTTAGCTATTTAGTAGGAGTAATAGCAGTCTGGTTCTGTCACTACTTAGTGCAACATCTACCAGTCATTTTGCCTCTTGTCAACAGTAAGTGGAAGCATTTGGAGTAGAATGAGTGATACTCAGACTTCAGCATGCATATAAATCACCTGCAGATCTTCTAAGATGCAGACTCCAATTCAGTAAGTCTGGGTGTGGCCTGAGATGTTGCTTTGGTAACAAGCTCTCCCACGACATTGATGCTGCTGGTCTATGGCCCACAATTCCAGTATCAAAGGCCTAGCGTATCCTTCTCAAACTTGAACATGCATCAGAATCACCTGGAGGGCTTGTTAAAACACATATGACCAACTGGGTGCGGTGGCTCACGCCTGTAATCCCAGCACTTTGGGAGGCCGAGGCAGGTGGATCAGTTGAAGTCAGGAGTTTGAGACCAGCCTGGCCAACATGGTGAAACCCAGTGCCTATTTTTAAAAATACAAAAATTAGTGAGGCATGGTGGCACATGCCTGTAGTCCCAGCTACTTGGGAGGTTGAGGCAGGAGAATCACTTGAACCCGGGAGACAGAGGTTGCAGTGAGCCTGGGCAACAGAGCAAGACTCCATCTCAAGGAAAAAATACATATGTGACCGTGTTAAAACACAAAAACTCTGAGAGCTTCTGAATCTAGTTCTAGCATAGAACCCGGGAATTTGCGTTTCTAACAAATTCCCAGGTGGTGCTGATGCCACTGGTCTAAAGACCACGCTTTGAGCATCACTGTCCTAGATAATCTCTAAGCACTCTTACAACTTGAAGCAGAAACTCAGAATGGTATGACCATTTCAAGCCAAAAAAACGCACTGTTGTTGTGTTACAGATAGAGGAGACCAGGCAAGCTCTCAACCTTCCTAATCACCAGAGGCCCTATCAGGAATCAGAAAGATAGTGATACAAATCCTAGCTCTCTGTTTCTCTGTAACTCACTTCGCCTCTGAACTATAATTTCCCCACAAGTCAATAGGGTTCCTTTTTCTGCTTCTTTTTTGCTTTTTCCCCTTTCCTTCCATTCTCATCAAGAGGCCCACAAGAAAATCTTCGTAACGGGGGTGGGAACAAGACTTTGGCTCTAATCCTAGTGTCTTGACAAGCTCAAAGATGCAAACATCACTTAACATGACAAGCAAACCATAACTGCAGTGAGAAAACACTGTTAGTCAGGTAAAGAGATAATGTGCACAGAACATGCTGAGCAAATAACAGCCCTTTGTGAATCAGCATTAGCATAATTACTGAACATTGGTAATTGCTGAAATTATGTTCACTAGGATCCTTTATAATTCTAAGTGAGAGGCTTCTTCCACGTATTCTCTCAGCAGGGAGATGAAAGTGGCTCACCAGCTGGTATTAGACACTCAAAAAAGCACTAGTTGTCTTCCACAGGACATCCCAAGCATAGTCTTCAAATGGATTGTCATCATCAGGCGGGCCCCAAACTCTGCCTGGAATTTCCTGCCTCTGTATCTTTGTTCCAGTTGTACATTTCCTCTAGAATTCTGTCTCTTCTTAGTTCAATTCGTCCAACACTGGCTGGTCAAAAAGACGTATGTAGTAAAATATAGAAAGTTATGTAGTAAAATGTAGAAAGAAGGGTTTGGATCATGGCATGCAGCAAGTGCAATGAAAGCTGGATCACCTGTCCAAGTGGGATCATTTTAAAGTCAGATTCAACCAGGGAGCTACCACATGCTACTCAATGCAGGGCAGGATATGAGTCCTCCCATCCCTGCAAGAGAGCAAAGGGGTTAATTGGTTGTGAATAGCACCTTGCAGAGTATAACAAGGGAAAAGAAACTTAAACCCAGCACCATGTGTATCTACATCATAGATGGAACTGTACAGGTATGTGAAGAGATTATATAAAAGGTAACCTTTCGGCATATTAATAGACACTGAGAATTGACTCCCATTAGTCCCTGGCAGTAGGATGCAGATGATGGAACAAAGAACAAAGAAGAAGATCCAGAGCTTCACAAAGAAGAGAAGGAACTGGATAAATCAAGGCAAGATGATGCCCCTTAGCAACTTGTAACAAAGGGCATCAAAATCGCATTATGAAGCAAATATCACTCCATCCCCTCAGGCAGGAAACCTGGGAATCATCCTTTTTACTCCCCTTTCTTCCCCTGCATTCTACCTCCCACCAGTACTTAACCTATATAAGCATATTTTTGTTTGTTTTGTTTACTGCTATATCCCCAGAGCCTAGAACAGCTGAATTAATAAACTGAATGAATACATCAGTGAGTCCTGACAGCTCTACCTCCAAAAAAGATCTTGCCTCTGTCTGGGTTTCTCCATTGCCACTGCTATAATCTCCTAGCCCAAGCCACCATCATTTCTCACCTGGCCAACTCCATCAACTCCTACCTTGTGTTCCTCTTCAACTTTTGCCCACCCTGAGCTAGGCTCCTTGCAAAATCCAGGAAGTTACTAACACCCAGATCAGGTAACACACCTGATTGTAATAATCCAGATGCTTCCCCAAGTGTAAAAAGAAGTCACTTCAGAATTCCTCTTTGCTAAATCAAGACCTCTCCTAAGCTTATATCTCTGTTTGCTAAAAGTTGGGCCTCGTATATGCCAGGCAGTATTTTCTGGACTTTCCAAAGCCTGCCTCCTCTGAAAGCCCAGTTCAATCCCACCTTTCCTCGTAAGCCCTTTATGACAATCTCTGCCCAAAGTGTCTCTCTTGATGCTGAACCTTTCTGTGTCCTACACATTTGGCATTTAGCATTTGCCACTCCATGTTACAGAATGACCTTTCGCTGGTATAAAATTGCTAACAAATACACTGTGCTTTTCTAGTCTCAAAGTGGTTTTCTAACTAGAAACATACAACAAGCTGGCTTGTCAATCACTGTGATTTTCACCTGCCATTTTACAGGTGAAACAGTTCCAGGGAAACTGCTCAAAATCATGGAGAAGTAAGTGGTAGAACTGATATTCAAACCCAGGACTTCAGACTTCAGTCTCTACGTATCAGGTGCCCCATTTGCCTTGTGTATGCCTTGCCTCTCCCAACTGGCCTTATTTATAACCCTCGATGCCTAGCAAAGTGGCATATAAGTAATAAATAGTGATTACTATTAATGGTGCACTTATAACATTCTCCATATTTTATAAGTGGCTTACACAGGTTGTCATTTAGTTCTCACTGCCCTATGAAGTATATCTTATTATTATCCTAAGGTGCAAAATGAGACTTCTGAGTCACAGAGAAGTTAAATAACCTTCCCAAAGCCACACAGCCATTAAATAATGGGGCCAGAATTTAAACACAAGCAGTCTGGCTCCTAAGCCTACACACTTAGCCACTGCGCTATGCCACCTCCCTCTCTAATAGGCCCCCAGAGACTATTTAGAGGTTGACTGGTGGCACCATAGACTTTCAGAGCCAGGAGAAGGGCCTTGGTGAGTTCAAATGTCTACACCATCCTTAAAATATCTGGCTTGGAGTGACAGTTAGCAGTTGATAAGGTTTGACATTTTCAAATCAATTTCTATCGATTTCTTTCTCCTGAAAGAAAGGACTTGAGTTTGATGGATAAAGCAAGTACTTGGTGTGCTTAGGAACAGCAGGGAAAATGGGCCATGAGCTAGCTCTGCAGAGGACAGTGGGGAAGGGAATAGCAGCTGCATACTGTCTGTCAGAAAAACCCCTGCTTGGCAGAGCCCTGCTCCAAGGTATCAGAACACACTGTCAGGTAAATAACACGGGCTCCGTTTTGTTGTCACGTGATGTTTTCTCCTGGCAGAGTGGCGAGGACGCAGAAGCAGTGGTATGTGTTTGGGCATTGTCATAAAGTTATGAATATTTATGTGGTCAACACATAAAATCCCATTTTAATAAACACCATTTTGATGGATTTAACAAGTTAATCTAAGCAATTTCCACATCCTGGTGGATGCCTGCAAGAGATGAATGGATGGCGTTTCTGTCAATTGTACTGAGTGAGAAAACGTCTGAAACAGATGTGTGCATTAATCCACATTCATTTGGTAAATGTATTGTTTTGTTTCAGTATTGGGCCTGTGCCATGTGCCTAGCACCATGCTGTTGCTTTTAGTGCTGGATCCTTACAGCCACTCTTAGAGGCCCTATCCACACTGTTCACATAGGTTTGGGTGAAACCCAGAATCTGAGATGGGGATGGGCACTTTGATGGGGCAGAGCTCAGAGGTGTGTGTGAGAACACATAACTTAGGGCTAAGCCCTTGCCTGGCTGGGGCAGAAAATTTGATGCCCCAAGCAGGTGGACTTGAGATGGACCGAGGTTCCTGCATTGTTCTGCCGTGAACCTCTCTCATCTTCTCCACCTTCCCTGACCACTGGGGACAGTTGCTCCCATTAGCTTCTTCCCCTACTTGGGCTCTTTCAGCTAGCAAAGCATTTTCACCTGCTTGTTCACAAGCTCCCCTCCCAATAAGTATAGTAATTGTACTTTTGTCTCCATTTTGTGGCAGGAGAAAATGAAGTTCAGAGAGTTTAAGGGTTTTCATCATGAACAGATGGTTAGCAAGTTCCAATCTGGTCATAGACATAAATATCGACCTTCGCATTTTAAACTATGTACTACTGCTCCTATGTCTGCTCTTTATCCTTAAGTTCTTTGTTCTTGTACCCATTCTGTAGGGGTTTTCTTCCCCAACCCTGAGATCACTGGAGGTACATTGGATTGCTATCTCCAATTCTTTACCCCCTCCCTTATTAGAATTTCACGCCCAAGCCTTTTGCCATATGACTTTGCAGCTCCTACCACTACCTCAGCAGTATATATTTCCTCAGCCCATTGATGTTGGGCTTGGCCATCTGATTTGCTGTGGCCAATAGGATTGTGGAGATAACACAAACTGAGGCTACAAATATGCTTTTAGGGTTTGGTTTGGCCTCTGACACTCCTGGAATCCATTATAAGAAGAGCACACTCCAGGGAGTTACTAATCCAAGGAGAAGAAGGAACTATAAGACTCAGACCTGAACCCAAGCCATGACCTGGAGCCAAGATTAGCTTGATCAACTCACCTGCAAGCAAGAAAATAAATGTCTGTTATAAGCCAGTGAGAGTTTGAGGTTGTAGCATAGAAAAAGCTGACTGATACGCTACCAAACTGTGACAGAAAGGCTTTCAGAAGACAAGCTCAAAAGTCCTCTAGAAAACAGATTCTTATCCTTCCTTCCACAAGACAACAGTTTTCAGCAAATGTACACTCTGCACCAAACTGCTGTAACATTAATTTTGCCTTATCAAGTAGAATATTTTGCAATTCTGTACTTGAATTCAACAAATTTCAACTAAACACAGTGTACCTGTTAAACATGAGATAGGACAGACCACCACGGAGAGAGAAATCTGGCTCAGTCCTCACAAGTTCACAATCTAATGGCAAAGACAGACATGAACATGAGTAATACTAACAAAAGGTTTTGAGAAATAAGCGCTGTAGCAGGTGACAGAATGTTACCTGACAAGGGGACTTACAAAGTCAGCATGGCAAATATGACATTTGCAGTCAGAGTTAAAGGTCAGATGGGATTTCCAAAGGCTAAGATGGGAGAATAGGAGGAAAAGACCATATGGGGAAAGAAATAAGAGTATAGTCACACAAAGGCCAGAAAGCCATGTTTAAGAATAACTTTTTGCAAAACTGGACAATAGCAAGGGTATCCAAAATGGGGTGCTAATAGATGCAGTGATGTCAAAGAGAGCCTTTGATGCTAGACTGTGGTGTTTGCACAGGATTTGATGGGAAGCAGGGAGCCATGGAAGGTGTGAGAGTGAGTGAGGGAGGACTATGGGGGATTTGTTCCTTAGATCATTATGGCACAGTGCCAGATGAAAGGATTGAGGGGGTTGAGCCTGGAGCTGAAGGCACCAGGTAAGAGTCTGTTGCCATTGCTCAACTTAGGGGTTTGGGTAATAGGGTCTGGACCATCAGACACTGTGGGCAGGGCCACAGCAGGGATCTCCAGTTCACTCCGATTTTCTCCCCTCCCCTTTCTCCCTCTCAGTTCCCCCACTTCCCTGAGCTATTCCTGTTTTTCTTTTTCTCAGGAGCCTGCAGGGTTATTCCTGCCACACATCCTATCACTCCAGCAAAGCATCAGCAAAAGCCATCCATCCATCTGCTGACTCCACAAAAACGGTCAGCACCAGATCCAGGGACAGAGGAGGAGGGAGGGAGGGAGGGGACACTTTCCTGATTACAGTATTTTATCCTCAAGCATTTGCCACCATCCATCAAATTTGCTAACACGGCAAAAAAAAAAAAAAAAAAAAATCAGGAACTGAAATGTGGGGGGAGGAAAGGAAAAGGAGGCTCCTATCTCCCAAATAACCTAATACGGCTTCCCCAGCAGTCTGGGATTTGTGGGCCGACTGGATGTCCAGATGATAGTGAGTGGGGAACCAGATTCGGTAGCTTGGGGAAACCAACAAACCCAGTAGGGGGCTCCAGATTCACTGGAGTATTTTAATAATCACTCAAAGAAATGACCTCTGTTTTGACGGGGAGAATTGGAACAAATTGAACACAGGTCTGTAATTCCAGTGTGATCCTCCCCGTCCTCAGTCCAAGCAGCTGGACAGCCTCTACCCTTTGTGTTCCATCCCAGCCCCAGGAATCTCTGCCTCTCCTTCCCTCCTTTCCTCTCCCCATCCCTCTTCCCCATCCACCGTCCCCAGCTTCTCAGTCCTCATATTTGTTTTCTGTGAACAGGAACCTCATCTGTCAGTTCTCTTCAGCACCTCATGCAGGGCCTGGCACTGCCTCATGCTAATAAATGCCTGTGGACAATGGTCAGCAGAGGCGTGCACTGCCCAGCTCCCTGCCAGAGCTGCCCTTGAAGCCAGCGGACCCAGCCCACACAGCTCCGAGAACGGAGATGCCAGCACCCCCTTGCCCATGGCCTCGCTCTGGGTCATTTCATATCAACTGGCCTCCTGCTCCCCTGGCTGACCACAACTTTGTCTCCATCTCCGAGATTCCGAGGCTCTGCCTACCTCCCCCACCAGAGACCTTGGCTCCCACATACACTTCAAGCCATGTCCTGCTCAAACATCTCTGAGTTGCACGTGCCCCCACCCTGGCCAGGACCTCAGGACCACGTGCACACACAGCACATATGTATATGGACCATGTATACCCCATACATTCATACCACACATGTGTATACATGCCACATATACATATACCACACATGTGTATACACAAACTACATACAACACATGCATATACACACTCTGCATAACACATACCCACACATACAAACATTGATAGACACCACACACATATGCACCATGGGCACACACACACACACATATGCCACACACATATACATAGGGGTAGACACCATGTACACACCCCACACATACACCCACGTGTGTATACATATGTGTACATGGCCTGTGCATACCAACCCACATGTATACATACCACATATACCATGCACACATACCACATGTATATACATAACATGTATACATGCCACACACATATACACAGCATACATACCCCATGTATGCACCCCACACAGCTTTCCACACCATGTACACCACACATATGCACACTCACACACACAACATTCACTGGGACTATAATTCCTCCAGAGTGGCCTGTTCTGATCCAGCCCAATCAGAGGTTTCTTTGGTAGGCCTCTAGAAACCTCATTTCTGTTTGTTATTTTTCTAACCAAACCTAGGACTTTTCTTAAATAAATGTGAAGATTTTCAACTCTCAAAGAGGAGGGCCATACTGGGCCCACCCCGGGATGCCAAGGGTTTGAGCCAGCCCACTCTAACATCTTAAAGACAGTGGTGGAAGGCAGCCTGAGATGAAAGGTATGCAGGGGCTGGGACTGGGATCAGCAATTGCAAGAAGTCATTGTCCTCTTCTCACAAGGGCTGGGGCTGACCTGGCCAGGGGCCCACCAAGAAGCCAGTAGAGATGGCAGTTTCCACAACATCAATGCCAGAACTGGACCTGAGATATCGGTGGCAGATGCAGACCAAGCCCATAAACATGGGCAAGGCCAGGTCTAGATGCCAAATAACACAAAGAAGCCCAGGATCTGGGGCCAGAGGCAGGACCCAGGTCCTTACCCCAGAGAAGAGGCCAGAGCCCAAGCAGTTCTGGAACAAAGATAGAGAAGTCAGAATGGCCTGAAAGTGGGGCTTGCTTTCCTAGCGCAGCAAGGATATAGGACAGAGAAAGGCAAATTGGCTTAAAAGATTAGGGTAGATCGGACCTCCCTGTGGAAGGTGGAGGCAGAAAGCAGTATTTAGAGTGGTCATTCATTCAACAAAAATTTATTGTGCTGTTACTACGTGCCAGGCACTAATACAATGGCAATAGGCAAGTTCCTGCCATTAGGGAGTTTACCAATTTATTACAGTTAAATACTGAGATAAGGACTGACAAAGAGAGTGTGATTCTACCAAGTGGCCTCTCTGTCAAGAGCAGCCGTTAATCTCTAAACCTTAAGTCGCCTGACTTTAACTTTTAGCAGCTCCATGTCACATCCCCAAATTCCCTCTAATATACACCACCTCTCAGGCTCACTATTTTTCCCATTAGCATGCCAATCTTGTTCCTAATTTAGCCCTCAGAATAAGCCAGGTTGTCAGTTTGCTATTCCCTAATCCCTTCTCACCCCAGCAATTGAAACTAATGTTTGCAGTATTGCTGAGTGCCTTGTGTCTTGATCTGGTGTGCTCAGAGTGGGTAATCAGTACCACAGATGGCTTATGGGAGCTCACAGAGCCAATGCCAGGTAAACAATGCCTCCTGCCTCCACCCTGGTCTGATCTGTTTCAATAAGCACCTTTAGGGTCCTTATGTTAGGAATTGAGAACCAGTTTCTGCCCTCTGGAAACTCACGGTTCAGTGGGAAAGGCAGACCCTGATGGGTTATTCAAATGATACCGAAGGCCACCTAAAGTGGGTGGGTGTTTTGCCAAACCCCTGTTGACTCCAGTGGGATGGCACCATGTTCAAGAGGCCAAAGAAGAGACCCAGAGCCAGCGAATGAGACATAGAGTTTTATTGGGGGCTTACATAAAGGGGAGAAAGTACAGAGGTTGGGGGCTGGACAAGAGAACCACACAGCCCAGTGGTGGTGGGCTGGGAAGAAAAACTGGAGCCACTTGCAAAAGGCATGGAGTTTATATAGCATTTTCACTTAGCACCCTTTCCCTAACAACTTACACCTGTCAACCTTTATTCAACCCCAAACTGAGGCCTCGATCCCTTGTACTGCCAGTGTTCCACAGGACAGGTGGGGCTCAGATGTTCCTCAGAGACAACGAACAAATCTCCAGGTTGGCCACTCCCAGATTCTCTAACTTGGAACACATATTCAGGTGTGTCTGCCACACAGGGTCATTCTCAGTGTATGTGTAAGTTATTGCCATCAGGTGCATTTCCCCTCCATGAGGGCAGTGCATGTGGGAAAAAGCCAGGGGCATCTTCCTGAAGTTGAGGATGCCTGAACGGCATCTTGGAGAAAGAGTGGGAGAAAGTCAATGCCTAAAGATGGGGAGGAGGAGGAGCCATACAATGAAGAGGGACCCCGGGAAGCAGCAGCGGCACAGTGAGCCAGGTTATCTGCACATCAAGGCTGCGGGAGTCCAGAGAGCAGGCCAAGTCTGGCAGGTGAGAAGGCTGTAAGGGACCCTGGGGCCAGCCCCTGGAGAACCTTGTCAGCCAGGCTAAAGAGCTTGGGTTGCTTCTGGAGCTGATGGAAAGTCACTGATGGATTCTTTACAGAGAAGGAGGCCAGTTACGTGGGTGTTGCAATAGTTCCAGGAAGAGCAGAGGGAAGGGATGACTTAACCAGGTCACCCAGATGCAGTTACTGGGCCCCTCCTAGGACACACTGAATCAGGATAGCTGATGGCAGCCCCACAAATGTGCCTCTTTAATAACCCGGCCCTGGTACTAAAGTTTAAGAGCCACCAAACAAGATTTTAAAAATCACAATAAAGATGTTAGTCAATGTGCCACTTGGCTTATAAAGCAGGACTTTATCTATGACCATACCCAACTTAGGTATCTTCTTAAGCAAACCCTTAAAAGAGAACCACTGAAGATTGAGATCTAAGGTATCACAGCAAAGCACCCCTTCGTAGCAAAGCTTTCTGTTTCCTGTGAAACCCCATGACATTGATTAGCACATCTTCTTGGCCTGCAACTCATTCATATGTGCATATTTTGTCGGCCCAATGAGAGTGTTAGCAGAAAGGGGTGCAGGAAAGAACATGAGTACTAGGGTAACTATCCTGCATTCCAATCCAACAATGATATTCAACAGCCTTGGGGTTTAAGACAGTCACTCAAAGTTTCTGGACTTGAGTTTGGGGTGACCAGCTTATCTTGGTTTGCTGAGAACTTTCCAGGATTTAGCACTGCAAGTCCCATGTCCTAGAAAACCCCTTAGTTCTGGGCAAGCCCGGATGGTTGATTACCCTACTTCAGTTTCCTCATTTGTAGACAAGAGTGTTGGCTGGGCACCGTAGCTCATGCCTATAATCCCAACACTTTGGAAGGCTGAGATAGGCAGATCGCTTGAGCCCAGGAGTTCAAGACCAACCTGGGCAACATGGTGAAACCACATCTCTACGAAAAATAACAAAAAAATTGGCTAGGCATGGTGGCACACACCTGTAGTCCTAGCCACTCAACAGGCTGAGGTGGCAGGATTGCTTGAGCCCAAGAGGTCGAGGCTGCAGTGAGCTGTGATCATGCCACTGCACTCCAGCCTGGGTGACAGAGGGAGACTCCGTCTCAAAAATAAAATAAAGTAAGAATGTTAATATCTGCCTACAGGGATGCTGTGAGGATTCAAGGGGGGTTAATCAAAACAACAGTTCCCTGTTTTTTCTTCTGTCCTTGGGATTCCTCCTCCAGGTCGCAAACAAAAGCACTACATCCCATTTGATTGGAGGAAGCAATTTGGCTTACCACAAACTCGTATGGATGTAATTTGATTTGTTTCTTACAACAACCCTGTACAGAAAACAGGGAGGATATTTTGTGCCCACTTGATAGATGGGGAAATGGGAAATAAGACAAGTTAAATGGCCCAGTGGGAAACATCTTTTCTCTTAACGCTTTAAGTTTCTGCCTAGGTCCTGAAGAAAGAAATTTCTACCCACACTTTCAGCCCCCTGGAGAGGAGGAATGGCTAATGGGGTCATTCAGGGGGTGGCATTTACTGAGCTCCACTTCACCGATGGGTGGTGTGCCATATACCCTTGCCCTCCCTTCTGCCAGGTTGTTCATTTTCTCTGTCGAGTTATAGGTTTGTTTGAAAAAAACAAAACAGAACAAAAAAACCTCCGATTTAAGCAAAAGTGAGTAGGAAACAGGAAGCCTAGTTAAGCCTAGCAGCCAGAACAAGTTTCTCGAGCTCTGCTTCTCCCAGAGGGCAATGAATTGGGACCTGGAGCACTTGTTCAATCATGGCTAAAACAGGAACTTTGATTCTGATCTGGCTATTGATCTTTTGCCAGAGGACCCGACCCAGTGGGGTGTGGAGAGGAGTGGCTGCATGCATATAGGCCTAACAACTGGACTCCCAAGTTGCTAACACTAATGACTGACTCAGTAACCCGATGACTAAGCTTCCAAGCAAGACATGAGCCCGTGGTGACTGCTCCTGGATCCAACATGCATTTCCCTACATTGCGCAGCTGCACCCTGGAAACCACACCTCATAGGAGCTCAATCAATTATTGTTAACACTCTCACCCCAGACAAGCAGCTTTAAAAAAGCTGTTTTAGGCAACACCATCAGCCTTTTGCTGTCGTTCATTAAGGGTTTAGCAGCTTGGTATTGATTTTCTTGCAGCTGCCTCTGAACTTTAATTCCTGCAGCAGAAAACAAGGCTTTGTCTGTGACATTTCCTGTCCAAGTGGTGGGTAACAACCATTCCTGGGATGCTGATTTCCCCAGCTATGCTACAAACCACAGGTTGCCTGCAATATGTCCTTTGTCTATTCCAAAGAGTAATTTCTGTAGCTGCAGGAGGTCCCTTCAAATGTGAGCTGTGGCTCCACCTCCTTCCTAAATCAGCAGTGCCTTCAAACCCCAGCCTTTGGAAATCCAATGACCACCCCTTTCCTCACACTGACTTGCAGCTAAGAAAGTGCTGTCATGTATTTATGTCATATCTGTTACATTCAGATTTCTCTTAAATGTTAATTCCCAGGGATTAGAAAGGACCTTAGCAATCTTCTCTTGCAAGCATCGCCCTGATATTTTATCCCCTCTGCAACATCCCCACCAAGTGGCCATTCTGGCTTTGCTTGAACACCTCTAAGGACAAGAAACTCACCTCCTCCATAGGAAAGCAACTTTGTTCAGGAAAGCTCTGAAAGGCAGAAAATTTTTCATTGTGTGGAATCAAAATCTGCCTCCCAGAAACATCAGCCACAGCTTTCTCTGCCAAATCCCCGCTTCTCATCCCTGAAGCCCTGGATCCTATCCACAACACCTGTGTGGTTGAAGAACCCACCTCTGAGGCAGCCCCTATGTGCTCTGCATACTTCTCTTCCCAAACCATTTGATTTGATTTCCCGCTATTGAACAAGCACTGTGCTGTATGCACCTGTGAATGTTTTCTCATATTTATCTCATGGGGTAAGCTTTGCTATCCCCATTTTACAGACCAAAAAGCTGAGGCTCAAAGAAGGTAAATAACTTCCCAAGGATACACAGGTAATCAGTAGTAGAGACAGACTCCAATCTTAGAGTTGCCTGCCCCAGACCCTGTGTTCTCTCTGCTATTCTGTGCTTTCTAAAAATAGAGCAAGTTTAGTTTCAAAGGGAAAGAAGACTCTGGCAAGACACGTCCAACAAGATCAGCGAATTTCTCACAGCCACTAAGGAGGCCTTGGGAGAGCCCTGCTCCTGGCTCGCCCCTTCTGTCTCTACAGGTGGAAGGCATGGAAGGAATGATATTGCTGAATGGCGCATGAGGCTGCAGTGGACCAAGTGGTCACTCAGCGGCCAGCGGCAGCCTGCCTGGTGCAACAGGGCCCATGGTGACAACTGGTGCCCAATTCCGGTTCCAAGGCACAGTCACAGAATGGCATTCTGAAGATGGAACCACCAATAAGAAGCCACATTCAGAGCTCTGCCTTCTGCTTTGGGCCTCTATTCCAAGCCCCTGCTCCTGTAGCCAGGGTTCTTAGGCTCCTCGTGAAAGCTCAGACTCTCGTCACTCCTACCTGTCCTCTTCCTCACCACCCAGAACATGCCTCTGGGGCTCATACCTGACCTGGACTGTAATAACTCTGCAAATGGACCCACCCATGCTCTAATGGACCAGTCTGGAACTAGACTCCTTGCTCACCACACACCACCATCACCCATTCCTGCCTCAGCCACAAAGCCAGAAACGGGACATGGATGGAAGAAGGAAGACAGAAGGCAGGAAGGCCAGCCAAGAGGCTTTTGCAACTGTCCAGGTGAAAGATGACAATGAACCACAAAAGAGGTAGTAAGGCTGCAGAGAAAGAAATAGCCAAGATATTACAGCGGTAACAATGGAATACAATGACCAACAGTATGCTGATCACAGTCATGGTTGGGATATGTGGCTGACAGCTTCAAGATGCTGCCAATGACCCTCAGTACCTGGCATTCGTGCATTGGATATTAATGTAATCCTTCCATTTGAATGTAGATTGGACTTAGTGAGTTGTTTCTAATAAATGTAGCAAAAATGATACGATATCATTTTGGAGATTAGGTTACAAAAGCCTCTTTCCGTTTTCCTAGCCTTCTCTCCCTCACCCTGACAGAAGGCTGGGGCCATGATATGAGCTGCCCTATGGAGAGGCGCATGTGGCAAACAGCCGAGAGGAGCCTCCAGCCAATGCCCAACAAGGAAATGAATCCTACCAATAACCACACAAGCACACTTGGGAGTGGATTTTGCTCCGGGCAAGTCTTCAGATGACCGCAGCGCCAGCTGATGCTTTGATTGAAGCATCAGATCAAATCCTTCTGAGAGACCCAGACTGGAGGACCCAGCTCAGCTGTTCCTGGATCCTCTCCCACAGAAACTGAGCTTGTAAAGTTCATTGTTTTAAGCTGCGAATTTTGAAGGGCATTCGTTACACAGCCTTAGATAACCAATATAAACAGAGAAACAAGAAAGGTATGCTTTTTCAACTCTTGAGGAGTTTGCAGATGTCCAGGGCAAAGAAGAGAAAGAAGTCCCTGATGGTGCCCATGTTCTTATCATGGGAACTCACATGCATGTCAATGTCATTTACTGAGCTTAGAACCCTAATGGTGGAACAAGCTTTTAAGGAAAGAAACCAAAACAAGCTTTGGCCATGTTCAGCCTGAAATACCTAAGAGAATAATGGCTTCCAGCTTCATCCATGTCCCTACAAAGGACATGATCTCATACCTAGGTGATGGGTTGTTAGGTGCAGCAAACCACCATGGCACACTTTTACCTATGTAATAAACCTGCACATCCTGTGTACCCCAGAACTTTAAAAAAATTAATTTTTAAAAAAAGAAATACCTAAGAGAGATGCAACTGGGTGAGTCGAGAAGGTATTTGGATTTATGACCCTGGAGCTCAGAAGAAAAACATTGGCAGGAAACAACCATCTGAGAATCATCAAGCTCCTCCCCTGGGAGCCACTTGGAATGTTTATTTCTCCACCCACATGACAGTCTTTGAAGTTTTTTTTTTTTTTTTTTTTTTTTTTTTTTTTTTTTTTGAGACGGAGTCTCACTCTGTCACCCAGGCTGGAGTGTAGTGGCGCAATCTCGGCTCATTGCAACCTCCGCTTCCCAGGTTCAAGAGATTCTCCTGCCTCAGCCTCCCAAGTAGCTGGGACTACAGGTGCCTGCCACCACGCCTGGCCAATTTTTGTATTTTTAGTAGAGACAGGGTTTCACTATATTGACCAGGCTGGTCTCGAACTCCTGACCTTGTGATCCACCCACCTCGGCCTCCCAAAGTGCTGGGATTACAGGCGTGATCTGTAACGCCGGCCTCTTTGAAGTATTTGTAAAGAGTTCTCATGTCTCCCATGAGTTTGGCTTAAGTATGTCCACTCTCTTGCACTTTTTCTCAGATAATTTGGCTCCAAGTGCCCAGTCTGCCTCTGGGCTTGTCAGATACAAGTTTTATTTCACCTGCTCTGCTTATAATTGAATGGGCAAGTTACTTAATTTTTGGTTTCCTCATTTGCAAAACAGTTGTTTTGAGGTGAAAATAAAATAATTCATGGCAAACATTTAGCATTGTGACTAGCACATAAATGGTCAATAAATGTTAATAATTATAGCATCTGTTAATAATTATAGCATCTAGAACAGCACTATCCCTATTATGCAAGCAATATATGTAACTTTTAATTTTCTAGTGTCCACATTTTTTAATAGTTTTGGGGTACAGGTGGTTTTTTGTTACATGAATAACCTCTTTAGTCATGATTTCTGAGATTTTGGTGCACCCGTCACCCCAGCAGTGTACACTTTCCCCATGTGTAGCCTTTTATCCTTCATCCCCCTCCCTCCCTTCCCCCCAAGTCCCCAAAGTCCATTATATTATTCTTAAACCTTTGCATCCTCATAGCTTAGCTGCCACTTTGAGAACATATGATATTTGGTTTTCCATTTTGAAAAGTGAAAGAAACAAGAGAAATTATATTAATATATTTGATTAATATATTAATATATTGGCCAGGTTAGTCTCGAACTCCTGACCTCATGTGATCCACCTGCCTCAGCCTCCCAAAGTGCTGGGCTTACAGGCGTGAGCCCCTGAGTGCGCTCTGATCTTTTTTTTTTTTTCTCGAGACAGAGTCTTGCTCTGTCGCCCAGGCTAGAGTGCAATGGCACAATCTTGGCTCACTACAGCCTCTGCCTCCTGGATTCCAGCGATTCTCCTGCCTCAGCCTCCTGGGTAGCTGGGATTACAGGCACACACCACCACGCCCGGCTGAATTTTGTATTTTTAGTAGAGACAGGGTTTCACCATGTTGGCCAGGCCGGTCTCGAACTCCTGACCTCAGGTGATCCACCCACCTAGGGCTCCCAAAGTGTTGGGATTACAGGCATGAGCCACCACGCCCAGCCCTCTGATCTTAATTCTGACACTTAGTAGCCAAGTAACCTGAAGGCTCAGAGTCACTCTGCAAAATGAGGATAAGAAATCCATCTGGCTTATGTAACAAAGACCATAAAAATATCTAGAAGTTTCTACTCAATAATACTTATCCTGATATTCCAAGGTAAGGAAATAATCTGAAATATATGAAAACCATTATGCACAAAGATGTGCATCACAGCATTGTCTACAATGGCTTTCCAGATGAAATAATCTGATTGTCCCACAGTAGGGAAACAGTTAACAAACATCCTCAGTGTTTGGGCATGTTACATGCTGTATCTTACTAATTGTCACAACAGCTACTTCATCTCTATAGTAGAGATAAGGAATTGAGACTAAGGGAAGTTGTCATTTTTCTTGGACTGCAAAAACTCTTGAAAATGAATCAAATGTAATTATTATTAGACCTCATACTTAGATAGCATTTACTTTGTGATTTTCATATAAGTCATTTAAATCCTGATTTGTGCTTTGCATATAAGTCATTTAAATCCTGATTCATCTGACTCCATAGTGTTCAGAATTATCATTAAAATCTATTTTGTGAACCAGGCAACGTGCTGAGGATGTCAGCTGCAATACCTTATTTCTGTCTTACAACCCTATAAGGTGAGAGCTATTATCAGATCCATCATGTGGATTAGGAAACTGAGGCTCAGTGAGTAAGTTGGCCATTTTATTACTTTACATCATTAAAGGAAAGGAGTCAAGGGCTACAAAGAACACATTCCTAGTCATAGGAGGAGATCATAAGAGTTGGCAACAGGAAACACATGTATTTATGAAACATGTACTAATATGCCAGCTATCGCTGTAAGTGCCATGGGCACAGAGACAAAGCCGTTGATCTCATGGCACGGGATTTTGAGTCTAGGATGAGAGGTGGGTAGTAAACAAACATAAATATACATGTGTGTAGATGTGGATATGGTCAGCTTGTGATTTGTCTAATAAAAGACAAACAGAAGGAACAGAGCATGTTAGGCATGGGACAGAGTTGCTATGGTATACAGGTAAACAGAGACAAATTATTTAAGGGAGTGGCATTTGGACAGAGATCTGAAGGAAGAAAGGAATAAGCCATGTGCCCTGGGAAAGAGCATTCCAGGCAGAAGGAAACAGCAAATGCCCCAAGATAGGAGTGTGCCAGTGTATTGGAGGAACAACCAATACACAAGGAAGCTAGTGGTTCTAAAAAAAAAAAAAAAAAAATGAGCAAAAGGGAAAATAATAGGAGATGAGGCCAGTGGCCCAGACTGTATTGGCTTTTGTGGTCATAGCAAGGTTTTGGCTTTTACTGTGCATGAGATGGGAGCCAATGGAAGGTTTGGGGGGCAGAGGAGTGGCATGATGTGATGTGAGTTGTAAAATTTAAAAATAAAATCACTCTGACTGCCATGTTGAGAACAGACTGCAGGGGAACAAAGGCCAAATCAGGAGAGCAGTTAAGAGGCAACTTCAGTAACCCAGTGAAAGGCGCTGGTAGCTTAAACTGGGATGATAGTGGGAAAAGTAGTGAAAAGTGGTTAGCTTTAGATTCAGGATGTATTCTGAAGGAGAGAGAACAGGATTTGTTGGTGATTTGAATACAGGGCATAAAGGAAAGACAGTCAAGATGACTCCAACCAATGTTTTTAGCCAAAGCAATTGGAAAAACAGACATGTCACTTACTAAAATAGGGAAGATCATGGGAAGAACAAGCAAGGGGAGAAAACCATCAGTTGGCTGGACAAGTAATGTTTAAGATGCCTGTTAGACATCCATATGGAAATGATGAATGGTCTGTTGAAAGTATGGATCTGGAGGTCAGAGAAAAGCTATAAGTTGGATTGATAAAATTGGGAGTCATCAGCCTATAGTGGTATTTAAAGCCATGAGACTGAGTGGGATCACCTAAGTAGCAAATGTAGATAGGGAATATGTCTGCAGGCCTGAGTCCTAGGATATTCCAACCTTTAGAAGTCAAGGAAATGAGGAGAAACTAGCAAAAGGGGCTGAGGAGGAGCTATCAGGAGTATGGTATCTTGGAAGTTAAGTGAAAAAAATAAAAACACTTCAAGGAGGAATAAGTAAACAATTGTTCAAATGTTGCTATTAAGTCAAGTAAGATAATAACTAGCACTAGCACTAGCCATTGGACTTGGAAACATGAAGGTTATTGGTCACCTTAACATGAGCTGTACTGGCACAGTGATGAGAATGAGAGTCTAATTGGATTATCATTAAGAGAGAATTTTTTTTAAAAAGGAAGTAGAGGTAAGTATGGATCTCCCCCAACCTTAGACATCTAACGTAGGCACAAAGTGATCCACCAATGCGATTCAGATGGATACAAAAGTACATTCTCCCTTCGCCATGGGGACAGAGCTCAGGACAGAAAGGTAGCTTCTCATCAGCAGACATACAGAGGCTTTACAGAGTCAGCAAAAAAATAAAGGAGAAAGTAATATGGCACAATACCAGGCACAGCTCCATGTCTAGAGTGGCAGAGAAGACCATGACAGGGACAGGGAATCTATGTGGCCATTGTTATGAAGGGTCCCAGTAACTCATGAGGAACCAGGAAGGTGGGGTTTAGGCTGAGGCTGAGACAGAGACATGTCAACTCTTACCATGGCGACCTCTCCCACTCCTCCTGCATAGATGTGACCCATGAAACAGGTTTACACATGGGAAAACGTAGTCAATTTAATTTAAAGAGAAAACAATCCGAATCATGATATATGCAGCATGTATTAGCCCATTCTCTTGCTGCTAATAACATACCCAAGCCTGGGTAATTTATAAAGGAAAGAGGTTTAATTGACTCACAGTTCAGCATGACTGGGGAGGCCTCAGGAAACTTACAATCATGGCAGGAAAAGAAGCAAACACATACTTCTTCACATGTCAGGAAGGAGAAGTGCCCAGCAAAACGGGGGAAAGCCCCTTATAAAACCATCAGATTTCGTGAGAACTCACTAGCATGAGGACAGAAGCATGGGGGTAACCACCTCCAAATTCAATTTTCTCCCAAGGGGTCCCCTCCCACGACACATGGGGATTATGGTAACTACAATTCAAGATGAGATTTGGGTGGCGACACAGCCAGACCATATCACAGCATGATTGTTGTATGAAAAAAAATAAAATTCCAGGAATAAAGACACTAATGACACTTAGCAACATGTAAAACAATGTCAGTGTTGAAGCACCATAAATGTGGATGAGTTCTTATTTTCTCTATTTTGTAACTTGTAGTGGAACTTTTAGGTATTTTTATAGCAGAAAAAAATTTTAAGTGGATAATAATCCAAGCCAGTCTACCAGAGCTGTTATGAAGATTATAATGACTAATATTTGAATAGCTCACAAAGTGCTTTTCACACATTTAATCTCATTTAATCTTCACAACCAACATGCCTTCTCTCGGCACTTTGTAAAATCCTTTCTGTTGTTGCTCTTAGCAAAAGGTATTGCAATGATGTGTTTACGTATCTTTTTTACATCACAGACTGAAGTATCCAAAAGATAAAAACCTTGTTTTTTCTTCCTTCTCCTTGACAAGCAACATAAGCCCTGGCACATGACAGGAGCTCAATAAATGTTCAGGGATGGATAATGGTTAAACAGATTAATGAGAGGATGAATGGTTGAGAAGA
This sequence comes from Homo sapiens, assembly GCF_000001405.40. Lineage (NCBI taxonomy): Eukaryota > Metazoa > Chordata > Mammalia > Primates > Hominidae > Homo > Homo sapiens. Next base: position 41,881,851 of record NC_000020.11, on the reverse strand, counting down.
TGGATGGATGGATGGATGGATGCATAGAGGAATGGATGGAGGGATGTAGGGATTCAGGGATGGAGGGATGGATGGATGGATGGATGGATGGATGGACAAAAAATCAAAGGGTACATCTTTGGACATGAGCACTTGACTGTCCCAAGGCCACAGAGTTACACTTAATGCCTATAGACTGAGCCAACCACCAGTCCCTTCACCCCAAGCTAAAATATTTGGGAAACCCCATGGTTCATTAATACTCCCCATATCTCACATTTCTGATTGTATTAGTGAGTCCTTCTTAGCTTTCCTCTCCCATATGTATATTCCCACACTGCTCTATGCTTCTCTCTCTGCTTCCCTAATTCCATATTGTTCTTGTCTCACCCAAACCCTTCCAATTCAATACCCAGAACCCTCTGAACCATGAAGAATGTGTCTATACCCTCAAACTCTCTTTCCTCTTCTGCACTGAAGTGAACCTAGCTCTCACCTGGAACCCCACTTTCTTATAGCTCACCCTGGAAAGCTTCCCATTTTTTCCCATCTCTAGGACATCTTTCCAGAACATCTCCACATCAGGTTATGTTCTGTTATGTGCTGTCGCAGTACCATGGATTGCATATGCAGGTGTATTATCTTTTTCAGCAGTTTCCTCTATGTTATCCAGAATCAGTACACATGAAGACAGATTGTCTTCATGAAGCTTCAGTCTATGTAGATGCTTCAGTCTCATACACATGTTTGAAAAAATTTTACAATTAGATGTTTACAAGAACCATGACATATTCTGCATATGCATCAGGACTATTTCAATTGCAAGTGACAGAAAACCAGCTCAAACTGGCTTACATTAAATAAAGGGGATGTATTGGCTCATGCAACTTGGAAAGTCCAGCAGAGGTTCTGGCACCAGATTACAAGGTCTTTGTCTTCTTTCTCAGACAGGCTCTTTCTTCATGGTGGGAAAGATGACCGCTTGCAATTTCAACCTTATTTATGCCCAGAGTCCAAAAGCATCCATCTATCAATCACATAGAAAAGCTCTGATTGGCTCTGAGTTTTAGCATATTTATGAAGTTAAGAGGAATGTAGCAAAGCATGAAGATTGCGAGTCCTAAAAGGAGCAAATGGAATTGAGGGAGGAAGGGAACATATGAATCCCTCAAGATAAAACAACACACACACTACGTTTAAGTCAGGTCTATGCTATCTCAAAACAGGTTGACAGTGACCTGGTTACTCTCACATCAAATAATTGGTCTTTTGGCTTTTATATCTACATCATTTTTCAACTTGTTAAGAATTAGCAGTATCTAAATAGAACATGGTAAGAAAAGATGGGGGAAGTTCGTCCTCTGATCAGAAATTAACATATAAAATTGTTGACCCTGGTCTCCTCTAGGGAGAAAAGTGGGAGTGGGAGGGGGTGGTGATAGAAATAAATTTGATTTTTTTCCTTTGTATACTTTTCATGTATTGCTTGCTGGTTTCCCATAGAGTATGAAGGAACTGAAAAGCTCCCTATAAAGCAAAGAGAAGATTCAGGAGTTTGGTTCAGAGGGATTCTGGAGAAATAAGATGAAGAAATGACATTTTCTGGAAGATATGTGCATAGCTGCAGAGCCTGGTTCTATTTACTTGTTATTGGGAAAGCTAGCCCAGGCATAAGGCAAAGAAGGGTGACTGTGATCCCTTCCCAAAGCTGAAGAGCTGGCATTATAGCCAAGGGAAAATTGTTGTTTTTATTAGTGCTGCGTTTGTCTAATGTTTAAATCCACACTCTAGTGTACTAGGAATTTGAACTTAAAAATTACATTCATTTTCTTTGAACAGTATGCTGATAAACTGAAAGTTAAATTGGATCTAAAATCTATCCTATCTTTAAAAAACAATCACAGAAAAATTTCAGAAAAACTGGCCAGCATTAAAATAGGAAAAGACCAAGCTGGGAATTAATTTTTCCTCCAAATTTGATAATTATTAAATTCCTGTGGATGTAAGTTCCAGTTGAATTATCAACCTTGTCTGGACAGAATGAGAATGATTTTTTAAAAATAGCCTATAAGTCAAATTGGGTGAATGATGATATATAATGTTGGTGTATTTTGGAATGAGGAAGAAATGAATGACATATTTGAGTGTCATCAAGCCTGTCATTGATGAGAAATTTGGTCACTAAATCTGACAGTGTGCTCATGATTTGGGAGCCAAATCGCCATAGAATATAAAATTAAGAAAGACAGACATGGCATACCTAATCCATGTGCAGGATCTGATCAGTTTTACTCAGAACACAGTGGGATTTGCTGGGAATTACTATGTTTAAAGACCATCAATATTGTATATTTTGGGATCATGCTGAGTTTGAAAAGAGTATGGATAAATTGAAAGAACATAGCTTTATTGAGACCACCTGATGTTAAGGAATTTTACACCAATCTGAGTGGATTTAATTTCCTAAAGCAGTGTGTTTGTTCTTGTCTTGATCCCCCCTGGATGTGGTGAATAAAGAGACAGATAAACAAGTGTTTAACATTCCTGACTAGACCAAACCTTTGTGCATTATTCAGCATGCAGCTGCTTGGAGGGAAAATCTTTCCACCCAAAGAGGAAGAACACGTAATCATCTAACAGATATACTAAAAGGCCCTCCTCTTTTATACTTTGTTAACCACAAGTCTGTCCAAAGAGATTTTTTTTGCACTAAATTTATCCAAGAGTCCGAGGAGAGTAGGAAGTGTCCCAGAATAAAGATAAGGAATAGTCACATTAAATTGGTGACTATAAACCAGGTGTTTAAAAGAAGGATTATGATTGCACAGGTCAAGAAGACCATTTATCTCAGGTCCTCCATTTCCAAAGGTGTCCAAAACCACTTTTCTATTATCTTCAATTGTCTTGTTATACATTCATTCACAGAGCCAACTGACAAGTATTCATCATGCTTTAATCTTTTGTCCCATTACCAAGCCCTATCACGTAATATACCATGAATTAATTAATCCTATAACTAAGTTGTGAAGAACATAATTATAGTGTAGTTTATTTTTGGGGTCCTAAAGTGTTAATTTAATGTAATCCTTTTTTAAGGTCTCTGAAACTATAGACCTGTTTCAGCAAGTAGGGTTTTTTCTTTTGTGTGTGTGTGTGTGTGTTTGAGCCTCAAAATATAAAGAAAAGAAAAAGGCGGTGGGAAGAGAAAACAAAATAAAAAGAGTTCTGTTTTCCTTTCATCTCTGAAAAGCCATGGTCACCAACAAAAATGAATAAAAACATAGTTAATGTAATTGAAAGAATTGAGATGGGTGAGAATAGGAAATGGTGAGGACTGTAGCAGACGTAAGAGTTCAAAAGAGCTTATGCCGAAATGCCCCATTGAGAAGGAACAGTGAATATTTAGCACCAGCTGCTTATGGTGCCCTGTGGAAATTCAGACCCAGGGTTACTAGATCTTCAATATTTTCAAAAGGAACCATGAATCCATATATTCATTGAAATTTCTCAATTTTTAAAGGCTGAATTTGTACTACATTTTTTATACCAAACAAAACATATCTTCTATCCAGAGTTAGCCTGTGGAGCATCAGTCTGGATCTATGATATAATTAAAGGTAAAAGTCCAGTTGCAAGGCATTTAAAGGCATGGCAATTTGGTGGTCCTCCAAAGGATAAGACAATCAGGGTTTGGCCTATGAGTCTTTATGCAAACACGAGCCAAAGCCCAGACTAGGTAGATGAGCCAAATTCGTTTCTTCCGAGCAGATGTACAGCTGTTGTTACTGGGATGCGTGTGCTATATGTTAATTGGAGCTCATGCTATTTTAAATGTGTGAATGTTTTTGTTATGGATCTCTCATGTAACTCATAGGACATTGCCTTTTGAAGCTCATGAATTTTTTATAATCTAGTATTATCAGAAGAAAACAAGTAACAAGTAGATTCAGACTTATTTAACTCTAGAAACTGTTCTTAATAAATTGAGACAAGCACAGAAGTTGAATTCAGGAGTCATAAAAATGTAGAGCTGGGGCCACAAAGAAATAACAACAGGTAAAACTGTAGGATTTCACAGATGGCCAGGCACGGTGGCTCATGCATGTAATCCCAGCACTTTGGGAGGCCGAGGTGGGTGGATCATGAGGTCAGGAGATTGAGACCAGCCTGGCTAACACAGTGAAACCCCGTCTCTACTAAAAATACAAAAAATTGGCCGGGCATGGTGGCACGCAGCTGTAGTCCCAGCTAGTTGGGAGGATGAGGCAGGAGAATTGCTTCAACCCAGGAGGCAGAGGTTGCAGTGAGCCAAGATCGCGCCACTGCACTCCAGCCTAGGCAACAGAGTGAGACTCCATCTCAAAAAAAAAAAAAAGACTTCACAGAGTCAAATATATCCACTTATTTATTCAACAAGTATTAGTGACTAATGTATACACACTGCGTTAAGAGCTATACACACACATGGTATTTAATCTTACGGCAACCCCGTGTCTTAGTTTGGATTCCTGCAGAAATAGCATCCAAGACAAAAATCTGAGGGCAAGTTCTTTATTTGGGAGGTGATTGCAGGACACACTGGTAGGGGAGTGGAAAAGTGGGACAGAGAAGGGAAAGAAGGCAGTAAAAAGGTGTGGTGTCACAAGCAGGAACCACCATGGACAATTAGAGCTCAATACCACTGGGGAGCTCTGAGATACTGTGTTGAACTTGAACTGCAGAATTCTCCCATTTGAGGAGTGAAGGAGCTGGGATATTTATACAATAACTCCCTTTAGTCACTGGCTGAAGGCTGCTCCCAGGAATTAGTTCCTTGGCATTTCTGAGCTGTCATGCTTGTGGTAGCCAAAGAGAGACCCCAGGAAAAGAAATGCATGTACTGGCAATGAAAAGTTAGGCAAACATGCACAGAAATGGTAAGAGCCAGAGATATCGGTGGGACACAAAGAGTGTCTACTACAGACCTGAAGATAGATCCTATCCCACTTCGCAAATGAGGACACATGGGGTTTACTCTTCAGGTAGAAAGTCCTGGCAGGTAATCCCCCCTTGGAAGCATGCCAGTCAAAAGCAGGACAGCCAAGATTTCTTCAAGAGACAGGGCATGGAGAGACAAGTTGTCAGCTGCTTTGACGGCCTAGGGGAAGGTATTGACTGACAGTCTATATATGGGTCCCCAGGTTTAGGCATCAACAACACTTCAGCAGGAATCAGCATGCAGGGTTTTGATGCAGTGATGTCAATGCTCTTTGGGCATCATCAGAGATGGGATCACAATGAGCTAACACAGGAGAGGAGGAAAATGACAGGTACTATATGATCACCGAAGGGGCCATTGTGAAGGACTGATGAGACATACCTTGGAGATTTCTGATACTATCTCATGAAAAAGCGAGGGTGTATATATTTCCCTGGACTAAGTGTAGACTGTGTGTGACAGTTTACAGCGGCCCAGTTTTTATCCACAAGCCATCAAAGGTACACTGGGCTTCCAGAAATACTTCTTCTTCCTCCAATGAAGATTGTGCCAATAATTTAGGATGACACAGACAAATTACCAAACTATTAAATGAGCGTTAACATCTTTGGAAAGTGAATACAAAATGAACTTACTAATACAGCCATGTTATAACCCCATTGTGTATAAAAATTAGGTTTAAATGCTTAATGAACATACAAAAATATAATTACCAAGTTATTGCTCTTGTAGAGGTGATTAATAATTATACCATTGACTTTTCCACTGTGTTCTTGAGCTACTGAACTGGAATATTTCCGATAGGCTCTCTTCTCTGCAGCTTTTTTTTTTTTTTTTTTTGCTATTTATACTTCCAAACTTCTTCCTCTATTAGACTCTAAAATGCTTGGACATTTGGGCACTGCCATTATTCACTCCTTATTTCTAGCACCTAACAGAGAACCTGATATGTAGTAAGTGCTTGTGAATGACTATAGAAACCTTTATAGTTGAATAAAACTTTTGTCTTTATTTCGGGATATAACATAGAACTGAATGATCATAGACAAGATAGATCTAGGTTTAAATCTTGGGTCCACCACTTATTAACTGAGCAACCACAATCAAGTCACTTATACTCTCTGAATATCAGTTTTCTTAATTGTAAAATGATGGTTGTCTTACCTTGGGTTCCTCAAAGGAGACCTTGAGATAAGGACTTGGATGCTGGTGATTTTCTGTAGCCAGTGAGGAAGCGGTGAAGCAGGGAAAGCCAATCAAGCATATGTTCATGAGCAGGTTCCTGCTGTGAGCCACTAGAGCCCAGTCCCACAGGAAGTACTCCAAGAAATAATGTAAAATGTGCCCCCAGAACCTTCATGCAGGACAGGGAGGCTGGGGCAGAATATCTGCCTACTCCATTCTCTCACTGGTTGATGGCTACCCCTGAGGTCTTTAACTTCTACTTTCAGATTCTCTCTATGTACTACACAGCAAGTTCCCATAATGCCAGATAAAACCCTGAGGCACAGAAGAGAGATGGAAGCACCTGAGGTGAAGAGCTGTTATAGTGATGAGAATCACAGCTGCAGGTCAACTCAGATGGGCCAAGGGGAGATGGGGCAGGGCGTCACCAGCAACTGCCACAGCATTAACACCTGTACCATGGAACCACCTCACAAGCTGGGATTTTTAAATTAGAAAATGTATGTAGAGCATCAACCATAATGCCTGACCCACAGAAAATTGCCTATAAATTGTGTTGGTTGTGGTGGTGTTCTCGTTAAATACGGTGGTGAAAAGTGAAACTCATAAACAGAACCACTTGAATTTACAAGTCAATTCTGCATTGTTGCTGCCTGTTTTGAATCAATGTCTTTTGCAGGCTTATGGATTATAGTTGTGAAGAAAATATGACTGCTCCCTGCTTGAAGCTCAGAGTTTGTGGGACAGCCAGACATCAAAGCAAATGCTGGTTCTCTGCTCTGCCTCACTTCATCTCTTTGGGTGGGCTTGATTGTCCTTGATTGTTCCAAGATAAAAGGACACAGTGCACACATTTTTTATTGCTAACTAAACAAAAATACAAACTATGCCATCATCTGTACAAAATCTCGTACCACATATGTGATGTGTATGCCACAATCACTGGCTTGGACTAGAAATATGTTTATTCTGCTATGATTCTTTTCCCTTCTAACCACTATTACCCATTAACAATGCCTTTATTTGTGTTTCTCTTGAAATAGATGCTGAGAGGATTCAAGGGCAACGACTTTGTTTAGGAAATGATTTCTGGAAACTCCAATAGGAAAGTGGGAAAGTGAAACAGGAAAAAGGAGACAGCCAATGATAATATAGGGTGCATTATCAACCAGTGATCACTGCAGACAACCAGATCTTAATCATATGGGGAACTCAGAGTCAGGGTAAAGCATACACCTTACAGTTATCCCACCTGAGGGTTAAGAGATCTAGGATGCTTAATACATCCACCAACTCCCATAACGCACTTGTTGAGGGCTTCTCCCAGAGAGTGTTTATTGTCTGGTACTTCTGGCCTGCTGTGCTTTGCTAGCAGAGTGGGCTCTGGCTGCCAGAGAAAGCCTCGGGCAATTGGAAATCAGGCAACAAACATGACCATACTAAGATCCCAATGGATACGTATAGGGCACTAACAGGGTCTACTCAAACAGATTATTACATATGGGATGGTGGCTGCCATGTTAAATCATAAGCATGGTATCGTGGGGCCATAGAGGAGGCTCAACTGAGAGCTCTTCAGTAGGCATGTGTCAAAGACACAGAGAAGAGATTCACTCCACAACGTAAACCCAGGAAGCCAGTAACTATGCCTGTCTTCCTCATCATGGATCCCCAGTTTCTAATATATTTCCTGGCATATAGCATTCAATGAATACTTTTGGATGGATGGGTGCATGGACGAATGGCATTTGTGCTGAGTCCTGAAGGATGAATAGGAGTTCACTCAATACTCCAGGATGAAGAAACAGCATACTAAGAAGTACAGAGTTATGCAGAAATGTACTTCTGTGTTGGGGAAGATCTCAGTGCAACCCATTCCTTTGTTAACAATACACAGCTGCATAGTGTTTCCTTCTAGGGAAGCATAATCTGCCTTCCTGTGGCTTTCACATTTGCAGCCTACTTTTGCCCTTTGAAGCAGCAACAACAAAATTCTCACTTCTATTGTATATCATCGTCCTTCAGATTTGTTGACATGTCCCGTTTTCCAAAATGTATACATCCCCAGTTTCTTCTCGATGCCCCGCAAGAGATTCATCCAGGTATTTCTGGACCATGTGACACTAGATTTTGGGTCCTCAGATCAAGGGTGTAGGATATCGTGTTGTGTAGTGACTTTGGTGTCTTCTGAGTTCAAATTCTGACACTGCCAATTGTGTGATTTTGAATAAGTAACTTGTCTTCCTTGAACCACACTCTTTATCTAAAATGAAGGTGATAATGCTTATCTCACTGGAAGTCATAATGGGTGTTTAGTAAAGCTCATTCGCTTCCATTGAATTTACTGACCTTTTCTCCACCACGTTTCTGCTAAGCCACAGCTCTCTGTCCCCTCGGATTTAAGAGCCTTCAATCCAGAACAAGAATGTGACTAGATAAATACCCATATCACCCAGGCCACCGCACAGGGGCTTTGGTTCAAAGGAAGCCACTCTGGGCCTCCCTCCCTCTCTCCAGCAGCTCAGAGTTAAGCAGCCACCCTTGCTTCTACAAAAGCAGGAGTAAGTACTGCTCACTCGTTCACCCGCTGAGAAAAGGGACTGATTACCCAAGAAAGGGAAGTGTCACCCACAGAAATCAATACAGATGAGGCTTTGAAAAGGTTGGCTGACTGCACAGGATTAGATATTGATCTTGCTTGTTTTCCCAGTTATTGCTCTGCTCACCACCTGTGGAGGCCATTTCTAATCTCCCCCTAATACCAAACAAGACAAAGAGCTCAGCCCAGAGCAGGCTTAATGCATGAAAATTTTAGGACATGGAGGAATTCCCAGTAGCTATGAACAGAACACCATGAACAAAGGGGTAGGAGATCCCCAAAACACTGCATGACAACTCAGGTTGGGTGGAGGATTCAAAAAGAGCTGGACACACAGACTGAAGCTAGTGTGAAGCCCAAGCTGCATACCTGCCCGACAAAACTCTGAGGAGTCCAGGAACAGTCAAGAAGAGAGAAGAAAGCACTTACATCAATGTCTGAAGATCCATGAATGGAAATTTAGGACATAAAAATAAGGTCCAAGATTGTAAAATACCCATATGAGTATAGTAAGAAAACTGTAAGAGAACATTGCTTTTACCAGCAAATTGGAGAGGGTTTTTTAATGATAATATTGAGTAATAGCAAATGTTCAAGGAAATGGAAATAGTAAATAAACTTTTCTGGAGGGTAATTTGATAATATATTTCAAAAGCTGTAAAATTACTTTGAACCAGTAATTTCACTTCTAGGAACTGATCTGAAAAATTTAATTAAGAAGGTATGCAAAGCTTTGCTAGTAGTTAAAAGGCATGTGCCCCTTCTTGGGACACAGAGTTAGGGCAGAAGGAAGACTGGTTGCGAAGCCCAGGAAGGGCTGGGGCACTACAGTTTCAGAACTCTGTGTAGTGGAGGGTCCAGAGTTGCCTCAGAGGAAACCGTATCAAGGTCAAGAGATCCTTGGCTAGTCAATAAACATGTGGCCATCACTGTGTTAGAAATGTGAGAACCCTGGGCCGGGCGCGGTGGCTCACACCTGTAACCCTAGCACTTTGGGAGGCCAAGGGAGGTAGATCATGAGGTCAGGAGTTCAAGACCAGCCTGGCCAACATGGTGAAACCCCGTCTCTACTAAAAATACAAAAATAGTTGGGTGTGGTGGCATGCGCCTCTAGTCCCAGCTACTCGGGGGGCTGAAGCAGGAGAATTGCTTGAACCCGGGAGGCGGAGGTTGCAGTGAGCCAAGATCGTGCCACTGCACTCCCGCCTGGGCGACAGAGCAAGACTCCATCTAAAAAAAAAAGAAAGGAAGGAAGGAAGGAAGGAAGGAAGGAAGGAAGGAAGGAAATGTGAAGACCCAATCTTTGCCCTAGAGGTGTTCACTTTATAAAAGGGGGCAACAGGCATGGAAATGGAGAAGTATGCAATCTGTTATAGGAGCAATGGTGGAAAATCAAGGTGGGCGAACACAAAGGAAAAGGTTGTTAATTCCACATGGTGGGTCACTAAGGCTTTATCAGGGTATCACTTGTGAACTAAGTAGGAATTGAATAAGACTTAGGGGGGAAAAATACTCCACTTACACCTTCAGAAGAGCACTCTAAGGTATAAGAAAACATTCTTGAAAACTAATGTGTATAGGGAAGATATGAGAGGTATGTTAGGAAAACAGGAAAGACAAGATTATGGGAGTTCTGATGGGCCATGGTGAGATGCCTGGGTCATAACGATCAAAGGGAATGATGCAGGACAAGTAAGCCCCAAAATTGGGGCTTAGCCCAGGAGAATTCTTGGCTCCACCCAGGAAAGAATTCAAGGGTGAGCCCGTGGTGTTAGACAGTAATCTTTCATTAAGCAGTACTGCTCCTTGCCAAGCAGAGTTAACTCATAGGCAGTACACCAAGAATAGGCAATGTATGGGTCCTTGGCAACTGTATTTATACTCAGATAAGTCCACATTCCATTGCATATAAATTAAGGAACAGGTCAATGCAAATTGAGGGGTGGGTTGTTTCTAACTTTCTGGGAAAGGGGTGGTAACTTCTGGTTTGTTGCCATGGCATTTGTAAACTATCCTAGTACTGGTGGGAGTATCTTATGTTAATGAGCAATGAGGGCAGCTGGGGATCAGCCTCAGGGATCACGCTCATCTTTGCAAGCCAGTGTTTTATAGGAGATGTAATCACTTGAGCCCATTCATTCTACTACTGACTATTGTTATATACTCTAACACCTTGTATAACAGTCTGGTAAGACAATCTTATAGAAAAATTTGGTAATACAACATAAGATTTTCAGCAGTTTTTATTGCTCTTTCCTCTATAGATGGAAATTGGTCATGGGCTACATGAGCTAAGTATCAACCCCTGGATATTGATGCTTCTATAGAATCAGGCCCTAATACCAATGTGAGATGGAGAATTAATAGAAAGAGTCCTAACAGGTGAGACTAAAATTCTCAGTGAGGAACAAAACAGAATGTGCTCTAGCCACCTTTCTCTTTAACTTGTATTTCAGTAATGTGAATTTGCCTTTAGATGAGACAGGCTTGTGTCTACCAGCTACAGAGGGCAATAAAAGATAAATGTTCCCTTACAAATTGATAACATGGTTTCGTTGTCACATACTAAAAGAATGTGTATTGGAAAACTGGCCCTGCTATCAAATCACTGCCAGAAGAAATAACCTAGTTCAACTATTCCCAAACGAAACCAGTCTTTTCATAGCTGCTCCCAACATTACCAACTAGTAGCCATATCCATAATCACTAAAGCAAATGACCACAATTATTTTCCTCCCTGTGTCCGTGTCCTTTTTCAACATGACTTTGAAGCTCTACCAAAAAAATGGTAGTATCCATTTTTTCAGTCTTCAAATCTAGGTAGGCTTTGTAACTTGCACTGGCCAAAAGAATGTGGGAGACGAACCCAGGTGTCAATGGAATCTATACAGGAAACCTAGGCTTCTACTCCAAACTTGTATTAATAAAGCATCATCCCCTTCCCCCAGTGGAGTGTTGCCCGAGAAAGCCAGCTAAAACAGAGTTAAATAGGATCCCAAGTCTCATAATACCCATATTGTCTTGATTTTAATTTTTTTAAATCATTCATCGTACCAAAAACCAGGAATATCTCAAACTGAATTTAAAAAAAGCAAACAATTATGAACATGCTTAAAACAAATGAAAAAATATAAAGTGTAAGCAAGAAAAAAGACCTCAAGACAAACCAAAAGGAAATTTTAGAACTAAAAAATACAACTGAAATTTTAAGCTCAATATATGGACTCAACAGCAGAATAAAAGAGAAGGAAAAAAGGGTCAGTGAACTACAAGATTATAAAAATAAAAATTACCCAGTCTGAACAACAGAGAGAAAAATTGAACAACAACAACAACAACAACAATAAAACAGAGCCTCAGAGGCTTGTGGGACTATAACAAAAGATCTAACATTCATGTAATTTGACTTTAGGAAGAAGAGAAAGAGGGCAGGACTGAAAAAGTAATCAAAGAAATAATTGCTGATTTTTTTTCCTTTGAAATGTGGCAAAATACATAAACCTACAGATTCAAGAAGCTGAGCAAACTCAAAACAGGATAAATTTGAAGGAATTCACATCATAGGAAAATGTGAGAACTAAAGACAGAAATATCTTGCAAGCAATGAGAGAGAAATTATACTTTATCTATAGGGAATCAATTTGAATGACAGTGGATTGCTCATTAGAAACAATGGAAGACAGAAGGAAATGGCACTGGGATTTTCAAGTGCTGAAATTTATATACATCAAAAAGGAATAGTAAATCAAGATATCTTTCGATGAAGGAAGACTAAGACAATTTTTCACCAGCATGCCTACTCCAAAAGAATGGCTAAAAGAATTTCTCTAAATAGAAACGAAATGATAAAAGAGGAAACCTTGAGCCATCAGCAAAGAAGGAACAAAATGAATAATTACAATAAACTTCCCTTTTCCCCTTGAGTTTTCTAAATTATGATTGATGGTTTAAAAAATTATAGCAAAACATGAACAAGATTAGTACTGCAAAACCTACAAGCCTGTGATGAAGAGAAAACCTAAATAAATGGAGAGATATATCATGTTGAATTAGAAGAGTCAACATAGTAAAGATGTCAATTCTCCTCAAGTTTACATACAGATTCTATGCAATTACTATCAAAATCCCAGCAAGACTTTTTGTAGATATAGGCAATATTATTCTAAAATATACATGAACATACAAGGGAATGATAATAGCTAAACCAGTTTGTAAAAGAAGAATAAAGCAATATAAATCAGTCTACCCAATTTCAAGACTTATTATATTTCTAGTCATCGAGACAGTATGATATATTTACAGAGAGGTAAATAACAGATCAATGGATAGATCAGAGAACCGAGAAACAGACTCACACAAACATGCTCAACTTATTGTTCACAAAGTACAAAAGCAATTACATAGAATAAATATAACTCTTTCAACAAATTATTATGGAGCAATTAGACATCCATAGGCAAAAAAATAAATTAATCTTGGTCAAATTCTTACAACTTACATTAAAATTAACTTAAAATAACTTATATGAAAAGATAACTGAGGTTTGGAGAGCAGACTTAAATGTAAAGCATAAAACTATAAACTTTAGAAAAATAGAAGAAAATTTTCAGGACCTATAGCTAGACAGAGTTCTTAGACTTGATATCACAAGCAGAATCCATAAAAGGCAAAATTGATAAGTTGAACCTAATCAGAATTGAAAACATTTGCTCTGTCAACTCTGCTGAAGATCAGAGATGGTCATAGGTGTGTGACCTTATTTTTGTGCTCTTTATTATGTGCCATTGGTCTATGTGCCTGTGTTTGTACCAGTGCCATGCTGTTTTGGTTACTGTAGCCCTGTAGTGTAGTTCAAAGTCAGGTAACGTGATACCTCCAGCTTTGTTTCTTTTGCTTAGGATTGCCTTGGCTATTTGGGCTCTTTTTGGTTCCATATGAATTTTAAAATAGTTTCTTCTAGTTCTGTGAAGAATGTCATTGGTGGTTTGATAGGAATAACATTGAATCTGTACATTGCTTTGGGCAGTATGGTCATTTTAATGATATTGATTGTTCCTATCTATGAGCATGGATGTTTTTCCATTTGTTTGTGTCTTCCTTCTTTGAGCAGTGTTTTGTAATTCTCATTGTAGAGATCTTTCATCCCTCTGGTTAGCTGTATTTCTAGGCATTTTACTCTTTCTGTGGCAACTGTGAATGGGATTGCCTTCCTGATTTGGCTCTCAGCTTGGCTGTTGTTGGTGTATAGGAATGCTAGTGATTGATTTTTGTGCACTGATTTTGTATCCTGAAACTTTGCTGAAGTTGTTTCTCAGCTGAAGCAGCATTGGGGCCAAGACTATAGGGTTTTTCTCTCCCTGTTCAATAAATGGTGCTGGGATAACTGGCTAGCCATATGCAGAAGATTGAGGCTGGACTCCTTCCTTACATTATATACAAAAATCAACTCAAGACTTAAATGTAAAACCCACAACTCTAAAATCCCTGGAAGACATCCTAGGCAATACCATCCTAGATATAGGAATGAACAAAGATTTCATGACAAAGACACCAAAAGCAATTGCAACAAGAACAAAAATTGACAAGTGGGATCTAATTAAATTTAAGAACTTCTGCATAGTGAAAGAAACTATCAATAGAGTAAACAGACAACCTACAGTATGGAAAAAAAACACAAACTATGCATCTGACAAAGGTCTAATATCCAGCATCTATGAGAAACTTAAACAAATTTACTAGAGAAAAAAAAACAGCCCCATTAAAAAGCGGGCAAAGGACATGGACACTTTTCAAAAGAAGGTACACATGCAGCCAACAGCATATGAAAAAAAACTCAGTATCACTTATCATTAGAGAAATGCAAATCAAAACTACAATGAGATACCATCTCACACCAGTCAGAATGGCTATTATTAAAAAGTCAAAAAATAACAGGCACTGGTGAGGTTGCAGAGAAAAGGGAACACTTACACACTATTGGTGGGAGTGTAAATTAGTCTAACCATTGTGGAAAGCAGTATAGTGATTCCTCAAAGAGCTAAAAGCAGAACTACCATTTGGCCCAGCAATCCCTTAACTGGGTATTTACCCAGTGAAATATAAATCATTCTACCATAAAGACACATGCACGCAAATGGTCATTGCAGCACTATTCACAATAGCAAAGACATGGAGTCAACATAAATGCCCACCAATGACAGATTGGATCAAGAAAGTTTGGCACATATACATGACAGAATACTATGCAGCTATAAAAAAGAATGAGATCATGTGCTTTGCAGGACCATGGATGGTCCCGCATTATTATCTTTAGCAAAGTAAAACGGGAACAGAAAACCAAATACCACATGTTTTCACTTATAAGTGGGAGCTAAATGATGAGAACTCATGAACACAAAGAAGAGAACAACAGATACTGGGGTCTACTTGATAGCGTGGGGGTGAGAGGAGGGAGAGGAGCAGAAAATATAACTATTGGGTACTGGGCTTAATACCTGAGTGATGAAACAATCTGTACAACAAACTCCTGTGACATGAGTTTATCTATGTAACAAACCTTCACATGTGCCCCCAAACCTAAAATAAAAGTTAAAAAGAAATTTTGTTTTTTACTCCATGAAAGACCATGTGAAGAGGATAGAAAGACAAGCTTCAGAGTGGAAGAAAATACTTGCAAACTACGCATCTGACTGAGGACTAGTCTCTAAAACATAGAGTTCTTTTTTAAAAAAAATCAACAGTAAGAAGATCTATTATTTCCCATAATTGCATGTAAATCTATAATTATCTCGAAACAAAAAGGTTAATTAAAAAGGTAAAATAAAAGAATGTGGTACAAGTAACTGTGCCAATTCCAAGCTGAGGCCTCAAGAAGCCTTCATAGTCCTTTATTCAGAATCCTACCCAGACACCATGTGAACAAGCCTGGGCTAGCCTGCTGGAGGATGAGGGACTATGTAAAACAAGACAAACCATCTCAACTGAGGCCATCATAGACCAGTCAGCTCCCAGCAAATCTGGCAGTCAACTGCAGAAACATGACTAAGTCCAGCAGAGACCAAAAGAATCGCTCAGCTGGGCCCTACATAGCTGTGAAATTGTGAGCTAAGCAAATGGTTACTGATTTTAGGCGCTAAAGTTTTGGATAGTTTGTTACATAGTAAAAGCTAACTGATACAAGCCAATGCATTTACATATTTTAAAACCGATTTATCTTGAAAAGATCTCTGAAAGATTATGCTGTTTGAAATTAGAATATTTTGTAATCTTTTATGACTGAACTGAACTGAACATTTAATAAGCCCCATTAAAAGTCTTACAGGCTAATTAAGTTATTATTGACTATAGTTACCCTATTGTGCTATAGAAAAGTAGGTCTCGTTCATTCTTTTCTAATTATTTTTTGTACATTTTAAAATAACTTAAAGAATGTAATTGGATTGTTTATAACTCAAAGGATAAATGATTGAGGGGATGAATACCCCACTCTCCACGATGTGCTTATTTCACACTGCATACCTGTATCAAAACAACTCAGGTACCCCATAAATATATATACCTACTATGTACCCACAAAAATTAAAAAAAAATAGAAAAAGGTAGTTAGTTAAACAAAAAACAAAAAAAAAAAACCCTTCCAGACTAAAAGTATAGGGGTGGTACGAGACCCTGATCTGGCTCCTAGATTTGCCCTAGGCCCATCTCATTTGGGAGATGGGGTGGCATTATATTCAGGCATGAATCCTTGATAAGTTCCCCGACATTCATTAATGGCCATCAGTGCTGCCCTCAGGACAGTGGACAGTCGAAAGCACACAGCTCTACCCTTAATGGGCTTCATAGCATAGCGGCTACCCAGACACCTGACCTCCAGCTCGCTCCCACTCAGACCTCACCAAGAGCTCAATATTTGTGGAGGAGTGTCTGAAAGCGTCAGACCATCCATTCCTCCAGGTACTCTAAGTGCTGCCTTTGAATTAAGCCATACCATCAGAGAATAAAGGAAACACATTGTTTTGGCCCTCACAGTATTGTTTTTATTGAACTGCACTCTGGCATTTAGCCACTTCCTTATACTAAGGGACTTAAGAAAAAGCACCATGGAACCCAATATTGTCTTTGCTCTGATGACAGGGCTAAGAATCCTGTTCACAAAGAGAGCCTGTAGGAGAAATCTCTCTCATTTTTATTAGTAGGAAGAGCATCACTCTCCTAAGCAGCTGGTTTGTGTTTACTATGTGGCCTCTATGAATCACGACATTGACACAATTTCCCACTTGTCCAGGCAGCTCAGAGCCAAACTGAGCAGTTAAGACTCTTGTAGAATAGTGTGTGGCTCAGAGCTTAGGCACCATCAGACTCCAAACCTAGCTCTTCTCACCTGTAGCTTCTCTGCCTGCCGTTAAACCCAGAGCTGATGGCCTGCTCCAGGGAGGTCTTCTCAGTGGCCCTGGATCATGGCAGTTATGAGAAGTCACATGAAACTAAGCTTATAAATTCAGCCTGCTCCCTTCGTGCATTAACCACCAAGCTAATCAGGTATGCAGGCATGGACTCTCATGCCTGGAAGAAGAGGAGCGGGGTGTAGAGAAATCTGCCATGGGTGAGCCCCTCAATGTGTCAGTAGTAATGTATATGCTATTTCTCCTCAAATCAACTCTCGAGAATGGAAATTATTATCTGTATTGTCCAAAGGAAGAAAATGAAGGTCAGTGACCCACCTAAAAGTCACACGACTAGTCAGCAGGCAGAGCTAGGATGTAAACCTGAATCTAATCCTGATGCCCCTGTTGTTTCCTCTAGCCCCAGGGTTGGCAGACCAAGACCCATGGTCCCAATCCAGCCTACCGCCTGTTTCTGCAAATGAAGACTTACGGGAGCACAGCCAATTCATGTGTTTACGTGTTGTCTGTGGCTGCTTTTATGCTACAGCAGCAGAGCTGGGGGATGGCAACAGAGACTGTATGACCCACAAGGCCTAAAATCTTTACTATCTGTTTCTTTACAGAAAAAGTTTGCTGACCGTTGCTGTAAACAAAAAGCTCTAGACAAATGATCCCTCTGTCTTAAATTAAAGAGGGGCCATCAGAATTGCCCATCGGGGTGAAAGAGGGCTTCTTAGCAATGCACATTTCCACCCCCACCTCTGACCCACCACATGAGACCGTTCCTGGTTGGAGGCCTGCATCTGCATTTCTCATGTTCTCCCTCTACCTCCAAGTGCTCCTTACATTCACTGAAGCTTATGAACTACAGCCCAATCCTGGCACTCAGTGTCCCCCTCAGCAGCCCTGGGTCAGATGGGCACTGAGAGATAAATGTCCCTGCTCCCTCACCCCTTGGGTGGGGTAACACTGAGGCATACCCTACACTCGCTCCCAGTGTCCCCAGCAGGGATGAGCCCCACTCACTTTGTACACGGTGATAACTTGCTGGACCATGCTACTAACTGGATTCTGATGACCCCTCTTTAAAATAGAGGAATCATTTGTCTAGAGCTTTTTGTTTACAGCAAGGGTCAGCAAACTTTTTCCATAAAGAAACAGATAGTAAAGATTTTAGGCCTTGTGGGTCATACCATCTCTGCTACCTTCCCCCACCTCTGCTGCTGTAGCATAAAAGCAGCCACAGGCAACACACAAATACGTGAACTGGCTATGCTCCAATAAGACTTCATTTGTAGAACAGGCGGTGGGCTGGATTGGGCCCATGGGTCTTGGTCTGCCAACCCTGGGTGCAGAGGAAAGAAGATGGCCATCAGGACTCGACTTCTTTTCCCTACCCCACTTCCCCTACTCATCTACTGGTGGCTCCTAGGATCAACTCCTAAATAAACTACTTGCCCTTGAATCTTTTTCTCAGGATCTGCTTCTGGAAATGCCCCCCAAACACAAAAAGACAAAAGCCAGAGACATTGAGATAATTTTTTAAATGCTACATGTGTAATGATTTGCATGTTCCCACCAGGAATCAGGTTCTGTACTCATCCCAGAGAGGCACGGAGTAGGAAAGGGGTGGAGGGAACCAAGCTGCAAAAATTGATGAGGCATGGTCCCCAACTCTGACAGAGCTGATACTTTAGGAGAGGGTAGGGGTGCTGGCCCATAACACAGGAAAATAGAAATAGGAAAAGCAGGAGCTGAAGGATGCATCAAGCTAGCCTTCAGTCTCCAGATTAGGCACCTGGATTTATAGCAGGGGCAGGGACCACCACCACCAACCATCATGGCACTCAAGTGCAGATTACCCATGTCAGAGGGTAGCAAAGTTTATAAAGTGTGTTCACACACCAATATTAATTTTTCACCTTCACAGCAGCCTCATAAGGTAAGCAGGAATTGCATTATGATTATTCATTCCATTTTTCAGGTAAGAGAACTGGAGTACAGATTTGCCCAAGTCAGGGCAGAACAGCTCACAGCCCACAAGCCCTTCCGCTACTCTGCTACCAGTGACTCATTTGAAGGCTACAGTTATCCAGGATCCCATTCTGCTGAAAGTTTCCTTGGCTAAGCTAAACTGATGATTTCTGCTAGGCGAATACCACTACTATCCTAGTCCCAGCCAGCTCTGGAATCCGGTGGGGAAGGGAGTCTCTCCAAAAGAAAGAGTTCCAGGGACTCAGTTCTGAGCCCGGCTGAAAATGGGGACTTAGTTCCTACCTCAGGAAGTGGGGTTTTCCCAGTTCATCACCTAATCTCACCTCCTGAAACCTGGTATCCACCACTTTACCCACCCTTCCCCCAGCCTGGCGTGGCCCCTCTACTCCCAATGGATACTTCCTAACCCCAGAGAGTCAGAGGGATAGCGGGATTGTGGTATCCATGGCAACACAGCCAGGTTCACAAAGCAGCAGATCCTGTCTTTGCAGTCAGCTCAGTATAACTGTCAGTGGCCAAGGCAATTTCAAGTCAGGCTACAAGGTTAATTTGTCTGACGCTTTGTCTGCACAGAAGCCCCCAGCATGGAGGAAAGGTGAGTCATCAGCCCAAACCACACCATTAAGCCAGGACCAAATACAGTGGCCTTTCTTTCCCCCTACACACAAAGCTGAGGAGGTCAGCCCAGGTAAACAGAATATAGTCTGTTAATCAACCTCATGATCTCTGAACATCTCATGGGTTACACCCAAGGATGCAAGGAGACTTCCAGCACAGCATGTGCTAATGCACATGGCAACAGGGACTAGCATTCTCATTCTCCACGTCCTCTCTCAGCCTTCTCTTCTCTCCCCCAGGTTACGGGGGAAGCAGACAAGGAGGAGAGACACAGGATCCAGCTCCAAGGTAGGAGCAGGATCTGCTCAGATGGCTGATTGTTGGGAAACACTGGTTCCCGTCCTCAGTTCTCAGTTCAGAGGAGGTTTTGACAACCTCCTTGGGACTTGTCAGAGCCTAGTCCAGACTGGCAGTAGTGGTCTGTCCAATAGGAGGACATTGCCCTGCCCGAGCCCTCTCATGTGTCCTGAAAGATATACCTTCTAATGAGCCAGCAATGTAGAGGGACAATGAGCCCTCTTAATTGCCTAAGACTTGATTAGGAGACCCTTTGCTCAGGTGCTGACCCTGCAGGGAGGCTGCGCTCCTGCTCTGCAACTGGATCCTGTGATGCCTTCACTCGGTGCTCAGAAAGGAGAGTGGCCTGGTGCAGACCCCTGCCCATGTCCAGGTGAGTGCATGCTTGCATGGCCCATGGCTGTGGACAGGTCATTACTGCCTGCCAGAGGTTAGAATATGGCTTTCAGCATAACTTTTAATCCATGTATTTGAACAACATATTAGAATGCTGTGTGGGTGGCACATTCCAACAACCTTCTTAGAATAAATGAACTGAAAGAGGAAGAAGAATAGCAGCTGCTACAATTTAATTGAGTGCTTAGCATGTGCCAAGCACTGTGCTGAGCATTTTATTAATATTATGTTATCTAATCCTTGCTGCAACCCTATGAAGAACTATATTTTTTAAAGGTAAGAAAATAAGAGTCAGAAAAGTGAATTAACTCACTCAGAGTCACACAGCCAGTGAACAGTGCTTTGCACTGTTTGAACTCAGAACTTTGTAACTCCCAATTCCAGATTGTCAATATCTTTTCCATGCTTCCTAAACCAGGAAAATAAAGTTAAAAGGCAATTCCAAAGGCAACATTCCATGCACACCCTCCCAACACAAGGAATTCATCGGATTAAAGAGCCTCCCCTCTTGAGGGAGACATTGATAGGAAAATGTTGCAAGTTTGCAGTGAAAACTCACAGAGGCCACTCTGAAATCTTAGCCCCACTAAGGTGGTGGTTCCTAATCAGAAAAAGAATATGGATGAGAAAGTTTAGGAAAAGGAGGGAGAGAAGTGTACTGTCACTTTATTTGTCAATATTAAACTATACTTGTAACTTCACAGGAAAAAAGGATAATAGGAGAAAGAATTTGGGATCTAAGAGTGGGAGAAAATATCCCTACACATAGAAAGAGACACTAGGAGCCCATGGATGAAATCCTTCTACTTTTAAAACTGAAGCTGCAAATACATTGTTTCTTTCTAAACACAGTTAGACAACTTTTCCCAGCCTTCCTTGCAGTGAGGTGTGACCATGTGATTAAGTTCTAGCCAATGGAATATAAGTGGAAGGAATGCCTGCAGCTTTCAGAGTATTCTATAGAAACTTTCCACCTATCCCTTCCATGCTCTTTTCTCCTTCCAGCAGAATGAGAGAAAGTATCACAGTGGTCCTGAAAGCCACATGTTGAAAGCAACAGAGCCTCTATCAGAATGAATCCTGCCTGAATGACCATGAGAAGGGGGCCACCCCCTAAAACTCTTCATCTGCCCATGACTGTTATGTGAGCAAAACATAAACATCTAGTAGCAATAGCATCAGAGCCTGGAGTCAATGTTACTGCCCCCTTACCCTGCATGGCCACAGGGAGATTAAGGCCTGGAATCCTCATGCCTGTATGACTGTAGGTGGGGAGGAGTTTGTCCAGCAAGACCCACAAAGAAATGCAGGAGGACATGGCCCATGATTCTGACCAGTGTGTAGGGATCAAGGCAAAGGAGATGGTCTGCATAATCAGGAGATTGATTATATACAGGGGAATTGAGAAATTAAGTGACTAGATTGAGAAGAATGGAAGCCAGATTTCTTACTGTCAGAGAAGAGAGATACAAATATGGAAAAAAGGGAGGCTGGGAGTTAGATTGGAATTGGAGGCATCAGTGTGAGTTCATGGTTTTTAACATATACAGATACATATAATCAGAATTTAACCATGAAGAAATATCAGACAAAGCCAAACTGAAAGACATTCCGGAAAGCATCTGGTCTGTACTCCTCAAAAATGTCAAAGTCATGAAAGACATGGAAAACCTGAGGAACTGCCTCAGATTGAAGAGGACTAAAGGGACATCACAACTAAATGCAATGCATGACCCTGAATAAATTCTGGACCAGAAAAACAAGGGTGCTTATGAGAGACATTTATCGAGGCAACCGGCATGATTTAAATGAGTCTGCAGATTGAATAGTATCACCATATCAATGTTAATATCCTTGATTTTACATTTTTACTGAGGCTATGCAAAAGAGTGTCTTTGTTTTGGAGAAATACACATTGAATTATTTAGGAGTTATTGGCCATGATATCTGCAACTTACTTTCAAATGATTCAGAAAAACTGTACTAAGAGCGAGACAGAGAGAGATGATGATACAGTGACAGAGTGAAAAATAAGACAAATATGGTAAAATGATAACAATTGAAGAATCTGAGTTGAGAGTATATGACTCTTTTGTTCAATTCTTGAAACTTATCTATAAATTTAAATTTATTTCAAAATAAAAAGTTGAAAAAGACATTCTATTGTGTTGAACAATTATATATTTGGTTATATTTGTTACTTCAGCTTAACCTAATCTAATACAGTATGTAACTATTTTTTTCCAAGTAGGACTTTAAACATTTCAATTGTATAACAAATATTTGAGTACTCTCTGTGTGCCAGACACTGTGCTAGGTACCAGGGATATGGCACTGAAGAAGACAGGTGTGAAAGTTGATTAGACAAATTGGGTGATTTTGGTCATACCCAACTAAACCAAAGTTGAGGGGCCAGGGGGATAAAGCACTCAGGGCATATGACAACCTACTCCAAAAATTGAATTTTCCACAAGCCCAGCTGTTGAAATGGCCTGCTGTAACAACTGTAAGACCATTAGTACCTAGTATCTGCTGAAACAACCTTCCATACCTCTAAGACTAGTTTTACCTGCCACCCTCAATCACCAGATAAAAGCCTGCCAGCTCCCAAAAGCTTCTCTAGTGCCAATGAGCTTTCTTTCAGAACAATATGGAACATTTCTCTTTCTAATAAAACCCCCAACCTTGCCTTTGTTCCTCAGATATGCTAAAGACCACTCAGTCTGTATGAATGCCCCAAATTGCAATTCTGTAATTCCCAAATAAAACATTAAGTTTAGAGACTTTTTTGTGTACTTTTGACTTTGACCTACTTGGTGTCAGAAGTGAGACTCAAAGCTGATTCACCTCAGGGAAATCACTGGCCCCTGGTGCTATGGCATGCAGAATCCACACTCAGGGCCTTTGAGCCCCTTCCCTGCTTCCCTGGGACACCCCAGACAAACCTGCCTTAAGACAAAAAGTTTTTCTTCTGGCCTCTTTATTACTCAAATGTGACCTGGGTGCCTTACATAGCCCCCATGCCTTCCCCCCAGTGTGGGACAGAGACAGCCAGGAAAAGTGCATCCTGGCACTGAGAAACAATTAAGCCTAAGTTCAAGATGATTCACAAGCAATGCTTTTATAAAAAGATCTCGATCAAAAGGAGGAAATGTGAAAGTTGACTGCATGAATTGGGTCATTCTTGTCGTAGCCAACTAAATCAGAGTAGAGAGGCCAGGTGGGGAAAGGACTTGGGGCACATAGCACCTGCTCCAAGAAATGGAATATTCCACAAGCCCAGCTGCTGAAATGACCGCTGTAACCCTAAGACCAGTTTCACCTAGTATCTGCTGAAATGACGTGCTATGACTCTGAGACTAGTTTTACCTACCACCATCACTCGCTAGTCAGAGCTTGCCAGCTCTCAAAATTTCTCTAGCGCCAATTCTCTTGCCTTTCAAGAGAATACATAACATTTCTTTTTTTAATACAACCCCCAACATTTCCTTTTTTCCTCAGACATACCAAAGACCTCCTGTCTGTGCATATGCCCTGAATTGCAACTCTGTGATTCCCAAATAAAATGTTAAATTCGCAGATTCATTTTTGTTTTTTCTGTTGTTGTTTTTGTTTTTGGAGTCAGAGTCTCGCTCTGTCGCGCAGGCTGGAGTGTAGTGGCACGATCTCAGCTCACTGAAACCTCCGCCTCCCAGGTTCATGCAATTCTCATGCCTCAGCCTTCCAAGTAGCTGGGACTACGAGTGTGCACCACCGTGCCTGGCTAATTTTTTGTATTTTTTGTTTTTTTGTTTTGTTTTTTTAGTAGAAAGCGGTTTTTGCCATGTTGCCCAAGCTGGTCTCAAACTCCTGAGCTCAGACAATCCACCTGCCTTGGCCTCCCAACATCTCTGTATTTTTATTTTTTCTTTAATACAGGCATGATCCCTACTCTCATGGAGCTTTCAGTAAGGTGTGGCAGATATTAAACAACCAATTACATAATTTTTCATCAGAATCAGGATAATTTTCTTTATCTGTTAAACATCATTTCTTTGGAGAAATCTTCTTGGATACCCCAAGATGAGATTAGATCAGCCTGTTACAAACTCTTCCCCCTAGCACTTACCATAATGGGGTGCTTTGCACAGTTGAGGAGTTTGGGGTAGTCCTGCACTACAAGTTGTTTTTTATGGGAACATGTTAACAAGTTAATATGGATTCTAAAGGCCAGTCTGTGACCTCCACATCTGTGTTTGCTCACTTTGTGAATCAAATATAGCACCTAGCTGAGAGGGCAGCAAATATTATTGGCAGAGTGAATGAATAATCTAGGTAAATGAATTAAGATAGTGAGAATGAACAGCATGTGAAAGTTGATGGAAAAATGCCAGAACTTGGGAACTGACTTTTATACTGGGACAGAGGTGTGTAATAAGAAGTCAAAGAGGACCTCTTGGGTATTTGGAATCTGGGGGTCCAGGGGCCAAATTTTTAGAGTTCTTGAGGAATTGGGATGGTGGAAAATAATTTTTCAATGCTCTGCCCATAATCCTCCAGACCCCCTTACGATTTCGTGCACAACAGAGGACACACCTGCATCTTTATCGTAGGCCTGCCTACAGGGTATGCCACTTTGCTCACTGTATTAGTCAATTTTCATGCTGCTGATAGACATACCCAAGACTGGGTAATTTATAACAAAAAGGTGGTTTAACTGACTCACAGATCCACGTGGCTGAGGAGGCCTCACAATCATGGAAGAAAGCAAAAGGCATGTCTTACATGGCAACAGACAAGAGAGAATGAAAACCAAGCAAAAGTGTAAATCTCTTATAAAACCATCAGATATCGTGAGACTTATTCACTACCATGAGAATAGTATGGGAGGAACTGCCATTATGATTCAATTATTTCCCGCCAGGCCCCTCCCACAACACATGGGAATTATGGGAGCTAAAATTCAAGATGAGATTTGGGTGGGGACACAGCCAAACCGTATCACTCACCTACCTGGCCCATACAGCAGCCCTCAACTAATGATTGATGGGTATGGGAGTATAAGTACCTCAGCTCTCTCACCCTTTGTCTGGGATAAATCTGAGATGTGTGTTTTAAAAGTCTCTCCGTGTTTTCCCCCAGGGGATTAAGCTCCAATTGCCACTGTGGTAGCTGGATTAAGGGTTCATTATTTTTGGCCTTTCTTTCCCTGGATTACCTCCCTTCTTATCCACTCAAGTTCCTTACACCTCTCAATAAAATATTAGCCCTTGAATCCTTGGATCAAACACTCGAGGCTGCTCTTTGGAAGCTCCAAGTGGGTTGTGAGCAAAAAAATCCTATGACAAGAACTATGCTCCAGCAAGACACCTCCTGCAACCCACACAGGAGAACTGGAGGAAACCACTTCTGCCCTCCTGCCTGCATTGCCCAGTGTTTCCCTGTCCCACTCTGCATGAGATCCCAGCTCTGAGGATTCCAAAGTGCCCCAAATGTGTGTGGTTTTGCTATTTATTTCACAGGATGCAGAACCTATTTTTATTTTATCTCTTTCCAGACAGTTGCTTTGTTTTAACGGACTGCTCTTTTGCCTGTGCATAATTCTTCTCTAAATTAAATTCTCTTTTCAGCCCAGCATAATGCACACTGGGCTGTCAGCTCATTACTTTTAAATCCTCCCTTATTCTGTTTATTCAATGGTTTAATTAACTATGAATTGCTCTGTAGGCAACAGGAAAAAGCCCACCCCCCAGGTGGCTATGTGGCTCCACTCTGCAAGGGAAGAGAGGCAATACAGTATTGTGGGAAAATGCTAGAAGGTGAGATGAGAGCATCAAGATTCTAATCCTCTCACTACTACTTTGAGTGTTTCATTTATTCACTAAATATTTTGTTAAGTTGCTGCTGTGTGCTTGACATTTTTCTAGATGTGGGAGTGGTGAGAGAGACAGGGGCCCTGCCTTCACAGAGTTTACAGTCTATCCATGGAAATAGATGAGCAAGTATCTTAACTATCTATTGATGTATAGAAAATTATGCAATACTTGTTTCAAACAACAATACACAGTTGTTATCTCTGACATTTTTAATTCCATATCTCAAGTGGGATCACAAGTTGGTCAGGAACTCAGGAGTAGCTTGGCTGGGCAGTTCTGGCTTGGAGTCTCTCATAAGATTGTGTTTCGAGCCACCTGGGGCTATAGTGATCTGAAGGCTTGATGGGGCTGGTGAATCCACTTCCAAGGTGGCTCACTCATATGGCTGGCAAGCTGATGCTGGCTGTTAGTAGGAGACCCAGTTACTGCTAATGTGGGCTTCTCCATGGGATATTTGAGCATCCCCATGACATGGCAGCAGGCTTCCTTAAGCAAAGCAGAGCTGCAATGCCCTTTATAACTTAGCACTGGAAATCAAACATCACCATCTCAGCCATACACTCTATTAGTCACACAGACCAGCATGACTCAACATGGGAGGAGACTACAAAATGGCATGACTACTGAGAAGTGAGGAGGCTGTCTACCATAGTAGCGAACAAATAAATAAGGCAATAATTACACACTGTGATTGGTGATGTTAAGAAAATAGAGCAACGTGGCTAGCAACTGAGGGAACCGCAGGTTACCTCTTCAAGGGGGTCAGGGAAGGCCTCTTTCTAGCTATGCAAACCAACAAAAGTTCCCTAGCTTTTTTAACCCTCAGTGTCCTCATCTTTAAAAGGGGAGCAATTGTCATTCTTTACACACAGAGTAGTTGTGAGGCTACAACTGGAATCAGAAAGGAAGTATGGGAGAAAGGGTGGGAGAGACTTGTTAAAGGATAAAAAATTACAGATAGATAGGAGGAATAAGTTCTAGTGTTCTATAGCCCTGTAGGATGATACAGTTAGCAATCATATATTCCATACTTCCAAATAGCTTAGGAGGAGGATACTGAATGTTCCCAACACAAAGAAATAATAAATGTTTGAGAGATTAATATGCTAATTACCCTGATCTGATCACTACATGCTGTATGTATCAAAACATCACTATGTATCCCATAAATATGTACAATTATTATGTGTCAGTTAAAAAAAAAACTAAATAAATAGTAAATTTTAGAAAAGTTCAGTTGTAATTTTGTTTTCTGTATTCAAGTAGCTACATCTCTTTGCATCCCAGGATAGGTGGGTGGTCCCAGTAACTGCCATTTTCTGAAAGGAAATCCTAAAAACATCTTGGCAGAGATCAGAGCTACTAGGACCCAGCTGAGCTACACAACCAGGGAAAGAGAATCTCAATTTTTCTCCTACTTCCAGCTAAGAAAACACATTTGGCTTAAAAAAAAATTGTCAAGCTCTGTGTTCTGCATGAGGCACAGATATTGGCAGGTTTGATTCACCCCTTAGGAGAAGGACATATCATTCACAAAATTTCAGCCAAGTTGGTGCTGGACAGGGTAAAAAAAAATTTTGGAACTCACAATTCTGAATGTAGAAGAGAAAAGCACAGCTGGATTTTATCGCTTCTCCCTACTCTGTCCTGGGCAGGAAATGAGAGGCAGGATCCACTCCTGGATCTCACTCTGCTTTATTTTGCCTGCTGCTGTATATATCCAAGCTTCCGTCTCATCAGCAAAAGGAAGCAGCTTGACCACCGGCAAAGATAAAAAATATGATAATACATAATAATGCTTGAGAGGATATAAGAAATGGGCAACGTTCTACAGGACTGAAGGGAGCGAAAATTGGTTTAACCCTTCTCAGGGGTTGGTGGGAGGAGGACGAATTGATAATCATGGCAATAATTTAGAGGAACCCTTTTTAAAAAGCATACCATTGAAGGACAGTCTCCCACTGGAGTTTATCCTGATAAATAAAGATGTGCTCCAAGTCACATGTAGTTATATGGAAATATGTTTAAAATACATTATTACATGTTTAAATAAATCTGCAAGATACTATATACAATATGATTCTACTTTTAAAGAAAAAGATAGAGATATAAACTTTTTACCAGAATAGTGATGAGGGTTCATAAACTGCCATCAGCCAATACAGACTATATTCTTTCTTTAGCATGCATTGAAAACTTACAAAGACTGATAATGTAGTGGGTCACAAAGACAATAAATTTCAAAGAATTGATATCATATAGCCACATTATATTATGACAACAGAATTAAATTGGAAATCAAGAAAATGCTTACTTAAATGGAAAATATTGTTTGGTGAGTTAAAAAGCACTCTTAAGTGACCCATGGTATACAGAGGAAATTACAAGAGAAATTACAAAATACAGACAAGTCCCCAATTTATAGTAGTTTGACTTAACGATTTTTAGACTTTATGATGCTGCAAAAGCAATATGCATTCAGTATACTCTGTATTTTGAACTGAGAAGCAATGAAAATACTGCATGCCAATCTTGTAGGATAGAGCTGAAGCAAGACATCAAAGAAAAAGCACTGCCTTCAATTACCAAATAAACATGGCTTAGACTGGTAACTCTACATCAATATCTATTCTCCCTCTTTTCTATAATAATAAAACCTCTGCTTTCTAGCTAGGTACGTGGCTGCTGACAATAAAGACCACATTTTCTAGCCTCTCTTGTAGTTGGCATGGCCAGTGTTGAAGCTCTGGCCAAGGAGCTGAAACAGAAGTCACATGTGCAGCTTTCTGGTCATGTCTTCAAACTGCCTTATTGGCACTTTTCACTGTCCCGCTGATTGGAACATAGACATGATGCCAGCAGACTGACTATGGTATAACAAATAATTTTTCTAGTCTTTGTCCCTGATTCCTATCATGGAGCTTAAAAAACCCTGGGAATTTCCTGGGAGATAGGAGTGTCTCTATTACCCTAGTGAAGTGACTTATGGTGGGATCCTAGATGGATTCAGAATAGGGGCTAGTCACCAGGAAAATCCAATATGTAATTAGAGGGCTGGAACTTTCAGCCACCCATCCTCTGGAGAGGGAAAGGAGGGATGGAGATTGAGTTTGAATACAATCACTTCTAGTGGCCAATGAATTAATCAATCATGCTTACATAATGAAACCCCAGTGAAAACTGTAGACACCAAAGCTAAGAGGAGGTTCCTGATTGGAGCACCCACTGGTGAGTTGGGCAGGTGACACACCCTAACTCCACAGGCAGACGGCATGGAAGTGCTGCACTGGGGAGCCTTCTAGATTTCCCTATGTGTATACTTTATGATAAAACTGTAATCATAAATTTAGCTCTTTCAGTGAATTCTGTGAATCATTCTAACAAATTATCAAACCTGGGGCAGGGGGACTCCCAGACTGATAGCCAGTTGGTTAGAAGTGCAGATAGCCTGGGGCCCCCAATTGTGGCTGGCATCTGAAGTGACAGGAGTCTAGTACGAGACTGAGACCTTAACTTGTGAGATCTGAGGCTAACTCTAGGTGGTAGCATCAGAATTATATTGCACTATGGCCAGCTGGGGTGGAAACGGAATAGTGACAAACCATCCCAGTTTGCCCAGCACTGAAGGGTCTCCAAAGACATGGGACTTTCAGTGCTAAAACCAGGAAAGTCCCAGGCAAACCGGAACACACTGAGCACTGTAGTTGGCAGTGCTCCTAGAGTCATAAGGCAAGGGGAACACCTTAAGAATGGTGGAGCAAAAAGACTGAAAGGCCCTGGATCCTTCAAGATTTCATAGAGCACAAACTCCTCCCAGCAGGCCTGGACTGTCTACCTCCAGTATCTCACATGAGAAGCAAACATTTATCTTGTGAAACCCACTATTGCTGTTGAACACATATACAGCTAATTTTGGTGTCTTAAAGTAGAGTGCTGAACGTAAGAAAGACAAACGGGTGTCTCATTGGAATACTCACTGTGTGATAAGTAGTATTGACTCAGATACAGCAGGTTGGAAAGTTGATAATCCTTGTTATGCAGTGGCAAAACATTTGGCAAAACCATAATGTTTTACCTTGGAAGATAGAACATAGGTTCAGAGGCTATAGTGCTATAAGAATAAGTATCCTTTGATCAACATTTCTCTTGGTGCTTGGTGCAAGCAAAAGTAATGGCGAAAACCACAATTACCTTTGCACCAATCTAAATATGTAATATATAGAGAATGTTGGTACGACTGGTTTTTGTGGCTCTTAGCAAAATCCCAAAGAAGAGATACAAACTCAAGAACCTAGATGATATTATGCTAAGTGAAATAATTCTAGGCACAGAAAGACAAGTATTACATAATCTCACTTATATGTGGAATCTAAAAAAGTCACACTCAGAAGCAGAGAGAAGAATGGTGATACCAGGGGCTCAGGGGCTGGGACTGGGGAGATGTTGATCAAAGGATACAAAGTTTCAGTTAGAAAGGAGGAATAAGTTCAACAGATCTATTGTACAACATGGTGATAATAATCAATAACCATGTATTGTATACTTGAAAATTACTGAGTAGATTTTAAATGTCCTCAGCACACACAATTTGTCAATTTAAAAAATATATTTTAAAAAACTGTTTAAAAAAAAAGCTAGCCAGTGTGCTAACAGAGATGAAAGAAAATATAGCACTAAAGCACTCTCTGCCTGTGGTTTACAACCTAAGTTGACCAGGAGTCTGGTCGTTTGGGGCTTTTCAGAGTGAAAAGGCTAATTACTTCTATATACCCAAAATGCAGCTATTAAGAATGATGGCGCTGTAGTGCCAGACTTAGCAGGTGCTAATACCATGGCCCCATGACTTTATCAACACCTTCTTTTAAAAGATGCTCCTGCCAGAAAATTGTAGCCAGCCTGGAGGAAAGGATTCAATTAATAGAAGTGTCTTTCCCACACAAGTTTTTGTTTCAGATGCACTAGTTAGCTGCCACTAAGTTAGAGACAGGACAATCAACAAGGCACAAAGCAAATTTAAAGAGTAACACAAGAATCTTCAGGCTCAAGAATCTATTTCTAAACAAGAGAGCTAATTGTCAATATTTGACAAAGAATTGACTTGACATGGACCAGCAAAAAGCAGGCTACAAAAGCTTTTCGATTCACAAGGAGAACCCACTGTGCATGGCCCATCTCACATGCGACCAGGAAGCATAATGCACAAGAAAGAACAGACAAAAACATACCACCAGAAAACACAAAGGATGGTGATCTAAAGAGTTCCTCCAAAGAGGATAATCAGAGGCCACTGGATGGGCAATGGTGTTTGATTATTGTTAGCACTGGCAGTTGTGTATTCACTTTCTTCTCTGTCCAAAAGGGATTTGTTATTGTTGCTTTCCTGCTCCTGCTTTGTCGTTGTATATTGGGTATATGATAGGCAGATAACTTACCTTTTACATTTTAAGCCACTGTACCATGAGGAGCCACATCTAGACCTGATGGAGAAAACTGTACATTATGAAGGTATGCTAGATTTCAAATTGGATTTAATAACTGCAAGGAATTTTAGAGTGTCTCCTTTGGCATCGGAATGGTTGAGAAGATAGGTATACATGGATGTCTGGATACCAAAGGAGTGGACTGTGGCAGACACTATACCCCTTATCCAGTATCCAGTATCCTTGCTCCCATAGTAAGAGAACCCTTAATTTTTAGCTGGACATGTGACTTCTCAGAATAAAAGCTAAATTGCAAGTCTCTTTTATATGGCTGTAGGACTGTTCTTACCAATGGGATACAAGCAGAAATGAGGCATGTAACCTCCAGATCATATCTTCAAGGGAGGGAAGCCCTTCTTATCCCTTTCCTCCTTCATGCTGGCTGAAGCATAAGCATAGAGATAAATTATCTTGCAGCTGGTAGACAAAAGCAATACCCCATAAACAAGAAAGTAGAAGGATCCTGGGTCTTTACTTCTGCAAAGTATAGTTATCCTACCAGCTCTGGATTGCCTGCCCTCTAAATTTTCAAGTATAAAAAAATTAACTTTCATCTATTTAAGCTATTTCAGGTCTCTGCTATAGGCAGCCAAGTTTACAATGCTAATTTAAGAAATACCGAAAATAAATGAACTATGCATTCATCTTTAAAACTAGGAAGAAAACTCCAAAAACTAGAAAAAAATAAAAGAGCATCAATTAATGAAATATGAAAAAGTAGATGTTTTGATAAAATGTTTTTGACCAAATGACAAAAATTTCTGACAATAAAAAGGCTTGTTCTCTGAAAGTACTAATTATGTACACAAACTTATTATAACATTGATTAAGAAAAAGAAATAAGGCACAAAT
Source organism: Homo sapiens (assembly GCF_000001405.40). Classification (NCBI taxonomy): domain Eukaryota; kingdom Metazoa; phylum Chordata; class Mammalia; order Primates; family Hominidae; genus Homo; species Homo sapiens. The sequence continues at coordinate 41,849,233 of NC_000020.11, read as the reverse complement.
AATATTCTCATTAGATGATAAAATACAGATAAATTTTGTTTTTATCATAAAAATTATCACAAACAGGTTTTTGTTGACATAAGACATAGATACAGAAGGAATTTTTCTACAAAAATATAAATTACCAAAATTGATGTAAGGAAAAAAAAATAGGAAACCTGAATAGGCCAATAACTATTTTTAAATCTGAATCATTTGATGAAATTCTTCTCCACCTGAAAAAATGCACTAGGTTCAGAGGGCTGTGCAATCATATTTTACCAAACATTAAGGAAACAGACTATTTCTGCATTATATAAATGCTTTCAGGGAAGAAGAATGATTTTATGAGGCTGCATTAACCTTGATTCTTAAACCAGGTATGGATAATTCATTAGTCAGCTTTACTTTAGTGACAACCCAAAATCTCAGGGGCTTACAAAAAACAAAGATTTATTCTTCATTCATATTCCATGTGGGCTGCAGGTCAGCTGAGGTTGTGCTCCAAGCTCAGCCCTGTCCCATTTGTTTCCACATTCAAGGGCCCAAACTGAAGGAATATTCCTTATGCGGAACATGTCTGCTCTTGTGAAAGAGAAAAAGACCCAGAGAGTTAGTAGAATAACTATATTGCTCCCTAAACCCTCTACTTGGAAGAAACAAGACCCCTTCTCTAAAATAAAAAATTTAAAAAAAAATTTAATTGGCCAGGCATGGTGGCATGCACCTTTAGTCCTACCTAGCCTGCGTGACAGAGTGAGACCGTCTCAAAAAAAAAAAAAAAAAAAAATGTGAGATTGACACAAAGCAATGTACACACACATTGGGTCAAGTAAATCCTATTGTCAAACTCGGCAAAGGAGCATGAAGTATATACCCCAGCCACCAGGAGGCATTATATGTCACACTGAGAATATGTAATCCTTTCACAGGGAAGGTATAATTAAATAATTGTGAATGATAATACAATCTTCTACAGATAGTATAAGAAAAAATAGATTAATTTTATTTATAAATTTTAATATGAATATCCTAAATTAAAAAGTCCATTGAATCCAATTTTTCTAAAAATTATAAAATATAGCCAAGTAGAATTTATGCCAGGAATTTAAAATGATTTTTAGCCCTTTGTCAGATGAGGAGGTTGCGAAAATTTTCTCCAATTTTGTAGGTTGCCTGTTCACTCTGATGGTAGTTCCTTTTGCTGTGCAGAGGCTCTTTAGTTTAATTAGATCCCATTGGTCAATTTTGGCTTTTGTTGCCATTGCTTTTGGTGTTTTAGATCTGACAAATGGCTAATATCCAGAATCTACAATGAACTCAAACAAATTTACAAGAAAAAAACAAACAACCCCATCAAAAAGTGGGCAAAGGACATGAACAGACACTTCTCAAAAGAAGACATTTATGCGCCAAAAGACACATGAAAAAATGCTCATCATCACTGGCCATCAGAGAAATGCAAATCAAAACCACAATGAGATACCATCTCACACCAGTTAGAATGGCGATCATTAAAAAGTCAGGAAACAACAGGTGCTGGAGAGGATCTGGAGAAATAGGAACACTTTTACACTGTTGGTGGGACTGTAAACTAGTTCAACCATTGTGGAAGTCAGTGTGGCGATTCCCCAGGGATCTAGAACTAGAAATACCATTTGACCCAGCCATCCCATTACTGGGTATATACCCAAAGGATTATAAATCATGCTGCTATAAAGACATATGCACACGTATGTTTACTGCAGCACTATTCACAATAGCAAAGACTTGGAACCAACCCAAATGTCCAACAATGATAGACTGGATTAAGAAAATGTGGCACATATACACCATGGAATACTATGCAGCCATAAAAAAGATGAGTTCATGTCCTTTGTAGGGACATGGATGAAATTGGAAATCATCATTCTCAGTAAACTATCACAAGGATAAAAAACCAAACACCGTATGTTCTCACTCATAGATGGGAATTGAACAATGAGAACACATGGACACAGGAAGGGGAACATCACACTCTGGGGACTGTTGCGGGGTGGGGGGAGAGGGGAAGGATAGCATTAGGAGATATACCTAATGCTAGATGACGAGTTAATGGGTACAGCACACCAGCATGGCACATGTATACATATGTAACTAACCTGCACATTGTGCACATGTACCCTAAAACTTAAAGTATAATAATAAAAAAAGATTTTTAAAAATTTTGAAAATGTGATATACTACATAGGCATATTAAAATATAAAGACATGTTATTATCTAAATAGTTGCAGAAAAGTATTCAATAAAATGTAACAGCCAATCCTCCAATTTTAGCAAATGAGAAATAGGTTTTAACCTAAAAACATATCTAAAATAATAATAATGATAATAATAGCTACAGTAAAAATAAGACTTCATGGTTAAACTTCAAAAGAATTTCCATTAAAATTAGAAACAAAACACAAATACACATACCCTTTCTGTTCTTCTGAAGATCCTAGTCAATTAAATGGACCAAAAAAAAAATACATGGTATAAAGATTGGAAAAGTAAACAGCAAAATTATCATTATCTGTCTAGAATATGACTGCTACCCTGAAATCCCAGAGAATCTAAAAATGATTAGAATACATATTTTCATTCAATTGCTTAAGTTCAAAGTTATAAAAATTCCAGCAGTTATTTTTATACACCAAATATCACCAATTAGGAAATACATACAGAATTTTAAAAACAGTATACGCATTAGTCAAAAAACATAAAACAACTAAGAATAAATCTAAGAAAACAAAGTGTGACATTTTACAGAGAAAATTACAAAGCATCCTTGAAACACTTTTTGGAGACCTGAATAAATGGCAAATTATAATATGATAAGAAGGAAGATTTATAAGAATGCCAGTTCTCTACAATTTAATTTATAAGGTCCACGTGATTCTAGTCAAAATCCAAATAGGACTTTTCATGGAACTTGTGCTAATATTTTCATGTAAGAGTAAAAATCCAAGAACAGCAAAAACAGTTTTTAAAAAGAAAAACAAGCAAAAGGGATTCACATGAAAAGATAGGAAAGATATTATTAAGATATAATAAGTGAGGCAGTATGGTCTTGATACAAGAATAAAACCACAGTTTCTTGCAAAAGAATAGGGAACATATGAGTATGAATGAAGTACATAACAGCATTATATATCCATATAGCAATTCAAAGTTTGGGAATAATTTTATTTCTGTAAGGAAAAGAGTAAAATTAAAATTACACCCTTGCCTTATACCACATAAAATTTTTTAAATGAAGATGGATTACAGACCAAAATGTGAAACAATTTTTACATATGCCAGATATTTTTAAAAGTTGATCTCATGGAAGTAATGAATAGAACAGTGGTTATCAGAGACTGGGGTGGGGGTGAGGGGCGCGGGTTATGGAGAGAGTTTGGTCAATGGGTACAAAGTTACAATCAGAAAAGAAGGATAAGTTCTGGTATCCTATTGCATAGTGGGGTGACTATAGTCAATAAAAAGGTATTGCATATCTCAAAATAGAAGAGAGGATTTTGAATATTACCATCACAAAGAAATATTATAAATGTCTGAGGTGATGGATATGCTAATTACCCCAATTTGCTAGTTACATAATGTACACATGTATTGAAACATCACATTTCACCCGATAAATATGTAAAATTATGTATCAATTAAAAATTAAAAATACATATTTTTAGAAGAAAATGTACACTTTTTTTAACTCATGGTTGGGAAGAATTTCTTAAACAAAAGATAACAAACACATATCATAAAATCGTCAACCATAAAGGTCAACAAATTAAAACTGTATGTAGCAAAAAAACCAAAAAGATACTATAAACAAAGTGAAATGACCAAAGTGGAAAAAGCTGTTTATAATTCACATAGCCAACCAAGAATGAATACCCAGAAAATGTAAAGAACATCTACAATCAATAAGAAAATACAGAATCTGAAATATGATCACTAAATCAAAAGTTATACTGGCATCTGCTCAAAATTGCAAGTGCTAATTTTTTACCAGGCTATTTCTCACTCTGACACCTTTATACTGTAGCACAATGAAGTTCAATTTGCTGGAAGCTGATAAATGCCCATGTCAATCAGAAGTGGACAGAGGTCTGTGATAAGATTTGAAATGGAGCATTTTGGGGTTTCTGGAGGACAGGCTGAGATAGAACAACCAGATATGGGAAATGAGAAAGCAGTGAGGAAGGCATGGTTGAAATAAACAAACAAGTAAACTCAGACTCCAGAGAAAGGTGTGAGAGTAGGCATATCGACAGAGGGAAATGGTGATCAATAAGTACACCAGGGGTAACCTGCCCCAAACCAGGGTGAGAAAACTGGCTTAGTAGTAGTGCCACAAGGAGACATTCCAGAGTTTGAGTCTACAGTGAAGTCAACATGGACCAACAGTGAGATGTCACTATCAAAGACTAATGTCACCTAAGCCATATATTTAGGAGTAGCCTGTCCTTAGGAAGGGAGATTAGAGCTATCATCTTCTCCTCAATAAGGAGAACATACTTGGAAATGGTGTTCTACACAAGGGACACCAAATAAGATAAATCCCCAAAAATTCACATCGAGACACATAATCCAACTGTTAAAAGTTAAAGACAAAGGGAAATGGTGCTCCATTCCAGGCCACTATGTGTGGTAAGCACACCTAGGAAAATTGATTTTCCCATCAACAAAAGGTTAAAAGTCATTCCATTGAATGAATATGTGTTGAAAACCTACTATTCATTCATCAAAGTACTGGGTGCTAGGTTTACAAGAATGACCAAGACATATACAGTCTCCACCCTTACAGGTTGGGGTGTGGTAGAAGGGGGTCAAGTGGAGAGCAGGTTAAAAGATACTTCACTGGAATTTGTGCCATTTTATGATGAGAATTATAAAATGCTATGAGAATACAAGGAAAGGCGATGGATCAGTCAACTTAGACAAAATTTTGTGGAAATTACAAAACATTCCCAGGTTCTAATTGCTTGTAACCATAAATATTTAGTTCTCACTCCACTGTTGTCCACTGTGAGTCAGCTGTGGCTCTTTCCACCTGTTCTTCATCCTAGGACCCAGAATGGAGGACCAGCCTCTATTTCAGTCTGTTGTATTAATTCTTGCTGTTGTTTATTTTTTATTTGTACAAATTTATGGAGTACATGAGAAGTTTTGTTTCATGTATGTAAGGTATAGTGATCAAGTCAAGGTATTTACAGTGTCCATCACCTGAATACTATATTTTTTTAAGTATAGTCACTCTACTCTGCTATCAAATAATGAATTTATTCCTTCTATCTTACTGTATGATTGTACCTTTTAATCTAGTTCTCTTAATCCTCTCCCATCTCCCAACTCACTTTTCCAGTCTCTGTTATCTATCTTTCCACTCTCTACCTCCATGTAATCAAATTTTTTGCTCCATATATAAGTGAGAACATGCAATATTTGTCTTTTCGTGGCTGGCTTAGTTCACTTAAGATAATGACCTCTGATTTCATCCATGTTGCTACAAATGACATAATTTCATTCTTTTTTATGGCCAAATAGAATTCCATTGTGTGTATATAGCATATTTTCTTTATACATTTATTCATTGATAAACACTTAGGTTGATTTCATGTCTTTGCTATTGTGAATAGTGCTGCAATAAATATGTGAGTGCAAGTATCCCTTTGATACATTGATTTCTTTTCCTTTGGGTAGATATCCAAGAGACTGGGATTGCTGAATCAAATGGTAGTTCTATGTTTACGTTTTCAAGAAATCTCCATTGTGCTTTTCATAATGGCTGTACTAGTTTACATTCCCACCAACATTGCATAACAGTTCCCTTTTCTCTGCATCCTCACCAACATCTGTTATTTTTTGTCTTTTTAATAATAACCATTCTGGCTAGAGTAAGATGATATCTCATTGTGGTTTTAATTTGCATTTTCCTGATGATTAGTGATGTCAAACATTTTTTCTTCTACTTGGCCATTTGTATGTCTTCTTTTGAGAAAGTCTATTCATGTTCTTTACCTGCTTTTTAATGGGATTATTTGGTTTTCTTCTGTTTCTTGTATATAGGGGATATTAGTTTCTCCCATTGAGTGAATAGTTTAGAAATATTTTCTCTCATTCAACAGGTTGTCTCTTCACTCTGTTGATTATTTCTTTTGCTGTCCACTCTTTAGTAACATTTGTCTATTTTTGGTTTTATTGTCTGTGCTTTTGAGGTCTCAGTCATAAATTCTTTGCCTAGACTCATGTCCAAGAGAGCTTTCCCTGGGTTTTCTTCTAGTCTTCTTATAGTTTCAGGTCTTACATTGAATTCTTTAAGCCATTTTGAATTGATTTTTGCCTATGGTGACAGATATGGATCCAGTTTCATTCTTCTGTATGTCAGCCTGTATGCTAACCTCGTGTCAGGGGGAAAAATCACAGTAGCAGAACCACGCAATGACTCTTAATCTAATCCAAAGTGGCATACATTCCTTCTATCACATTTCACTGGACAAAGCAAGTCACAAGGCCAGCTCTTGTGACAATTGAGTAGAAAGTAAAATCCTCCTGGCAAGGATCATTCCAGTGAGGAAGAGCCCAGAAGGAAGAGGCAGCAAGTATTTCAAAAAATAAAATCAGGCCAGGTGCAGTGGCTCACGCCTGTAATCCCAGAACTTTGGGAGGCCGAAGCGGGTGGATCACGAGGTCAGGAGATCGAGACCATCCTGGCTAACACGGTGAAACCCCGTCTCTACTAAAAATACAAAAAATTAGTCGGGCATGGTGGTGGGCACCTGTAGTCCCAGCTACTCAGGAGGCTGAGGCAGGAGAATGGCATAAACCCGGGAGGTGGAGCTTGCAGTGAGCCGAGATCGAGCCACTGCACTCCAGCCTGGGCAACAGAGCGAGACTCCGTCTCAAAAAATAAATAAATAAATAAATAAATAAATTGATCACAAGGTAAGAAAAAAATGCATGTGATATGGTTTGGCTCTGTGTCCCCAACCAACTCTCATGTTGAATTGTAATCCCCAGTGTTGAGGAAGGGACCTGGTAGGAGGTGATTGGATCATGTGGGTGGATTTCCCCCTTGCTGTTCTCGTGATAGTAAATGAGTTCTCACAAGATCTGGTTGTTTAAAAGTGTGTAGCACTTCCCACTTAACTGTCTCTCTGCCGCCATGTGCAGACCATGCTTGCTTCCCCTCTGCTTCCTGCCATGATTGTACGTTTCCTGAGGCCTCCCAGACCTGCCTCCTGTACAGCCTGTGGAACTGTGAGTCAATTAAACCTCTTTCCTTTATAAGTTATCCAGTCTCAGGTAGTTCTTTATAGCAGTGTGAGAATGGACTAACACACACGTGTTCAGCAAAAAACAAGTGTGCTCATGGCAGCAATATGCATAATAGCCAACAATTGGAAATAACTGAAATGTTCATCAAGCATAGAATGATCAAATATATGACATATTCATACAATGGATCACAAGATGGAATAACACAGGAAGGAAAAAATAATCTACTGCCACATGAACCAACATGGATGAGCGCAAGGAGTCAGATGCAAAACGTGAATACTGTATGATGCCAGGTATACAAGGTTTAAAAGACAGCAAGAATCTATGGTGATAGCTGCCAGAAGAGCAGTTGCTTTTGAGAAGTATATACTAAAGGAAATATGAGGGAGCCTTTCTGATGGTGAAGATGTTATATAACTTTGAGTTATTATATGATAAAAATGGGCCTAATTTACTGTATGCGGGGGAGGGAAGAAAGGAGGGAGAGAGGGAGGAAGAAAGAGAAAGAAAAAAATAAGGAAGGAAGAAAGGAAGGAGAAAGAGAAAGAAAGAGAAAGGAAGGGAGGGAGGGAGGAAGGGAGGGAAGGAGGGAGAGAGGGAGGGTGGGAGGAATGGAGGGAAGGACGGAGGGAGGCAGGGAGGGAAGGACAGAGGGAGGCAGGGAGGGAAGGACGGAGGGAGGGAAGGACAGAGGGAGGGAAGGACAGAGGGAGGGAAGGACGGAGGGAGAGAGGGAAGGGCGGAGGGAGGGAGGGAAGGACGGAGGGAGGGAAGGACGGAGGGAGGAAGGGAGGGAAGGACGGAGGGAGGGAGGGAGGGAAGGACAGAGGGAGGGAGGTAGGTTGGTTGGTTGGTTTGGTTCTATCACAGAGCCCTAACCTAAAGAGGTGGGTAGCCACTCAGTGTAGGCTTACCAGATGAAGTTACTGCAAATCTCAGACCTGAAAAATGAGCAGAAGTTATTCAGGTAGATAAGAGGAACAGATTCTAGGCAGAGGGAACCATCTACATGAAGCCTTGGGACCAGAGAAGTCATGTCATAATCAAGATGCTAAAATACTTTCTAAACGCTTAGCATGTCAGTTGCCAAGGGGAAGGCTGGAGCTGTGACTGGAAAGAGCCAGACATTGCAAACCTTCAGGGGCATGCTAAAGATTTTCATTGTTTCTATGAAGGGCACTGAGAATTTGCTGAATGGTTTTAAACAGGAATATGGCATGGTCGTATTTTCATTTGGGGAGGACTGCTCTGCTGACAGTAAAAATGAAGTGGAAAGGGCAAAATGGCAGTGAGGAGGCCAGCTAGAAGACTGCTGTAGTCATCGAGGCCAGAGAAGAGGAAGATTAAAAATAGAGCCATTGATACTAATTTCCACAAGGTCGTTTGTCCTATTTTCCATGCTAAGTGACTATGGAAGTAAAGAGAAGAAACCAGACTCAAGAGATATTTAGGAGGAAGAATTGATAGGACTGCAAGATGCCATTTGATAAATGGCTAAAGAATCCAAGGTTTTTTTTTCATTTGGGGGGAATATGCAAAGGGCCAGCTCAAATATGAAGGGCTGTTGTATGGAAGAAGAAGCAGAGATGCATAGGTAAAACCAGAGTCAATGGGCAAAGTTACAAGGAAGTGCTCCCATCTATCTCTACTCCCCAGTCAGAGAGCATAAAATCACTAGATACAGCAATGAAACTAAGCCGAGATTAGATGATTACCTTGCAAGAATTCTGTGGAGAAGAGCCAGACCTCAGGTAAAGGTGGGCCAGCTGACCTCCAAGGTCCCAAGATGCTAAAACTGTAACAACATTTGTCTCCTTTGAGCCTCAATCTTATAACACTTCAGGTCTGCTCTCTGATTTGTATGCCACAACTTACGCACTGTGATTTCGGCTCGCTGCTTAAAATATTCCCATCACCCCAACCTGTTTTAATTCCTATATTTCCATGAATTTGACAGGGTATACTGTAAAGACTTTTTTCTGTGTTCTGCAACCCCCTCAAGACTCAATTCCTCCAGATCTGGCATCATGTCTAAGCTGTTTAATTTTATCTGTCAACTGGATTGAGCTAAGGGATGCCCAGAAAGCTGGTAAAACATTATTTCTGGGTTTGTCTGTGACTGTGTTTCCAGAAGAGATTAACATTTGAGTCAGTAGACTGAGTAAAGAAGGTCTCCCTCACCAATGTGGTTGGGCATCATCTAATTCACTGACGGTCCAGATAAGACCAAAAAAACAAGGAGGAGGGGCAAATTCACTCTCTTTACTTGAACAGGGCCATCCATCTTCTCCTGCCCTTGGACATCAGTACCCCTGGTTCTTGGGCCTTTAGACATGACTGGGACTTACCCCATTAGCCACCCAGTTCTCAGGCCTAAGGGCTTGGACTACAATTATACCACGAGCTTTCCTGAGCCTTCAGTTGCAGATGGCAGATCGTGGGACTTCTCAGCCTTCATAATCATATGAGCTAATCCATCATAAATCTTTGTCTATTTAATCTATTTATATAGCCTATTGGTGCTGCTTCTCTAGAGAACCCTGACTAATACAATGTCTGACTCATTTATATTTCCAACAACCTATCACATGGCCAGGTGCTACTGAGTAGAGGAGCAGACACCTGAATAAGAGATGAGAGTTGGAAGTGTGGATTAGAAATCAGAATTACATAAACAATTGTTGAATATGAGAGTTGAGGAGCTCATCCAGGGTGAGAATAGAAAGGGTGCCAGACTCACCTTCAGAGGCACCTTGCTGCATTCCAGCCCAACTTCTACTGCTGTCTGATCCTGCTTCCTTCCCTTCCCTTCTACAGTGGTTGATCCCAAAGGCATTCTTCAGTAAATTTCCAGCGTGCTATCCCCATCTTGGAAGCTGCTTTCCATGAAACCTGAACTGCAATCAATAGTGTCAGCCACAGAAAAATAAATGAATAAAAGAGGACAGGCTGACAGCCTCATTGGGCAACTGGTGCTCAACTCCTTCTGATATCCTCCGAAGAGCTATTAGAATGTGCCTCAGAATTGTCCCATCAGAGCACAAGGAGGCAGAACATTTGTCCACCAACTCTGATAACCTATTGCTCAGGGGTTGTATCTGGGATGCTAACATCCCATACACATCTGAGTTGTCCCTGAACAAGGCTAAGCAGGCTTTTGAAGTTTTGAAGAAACAGTAAAGAGATATCACAGCACAACTTTGATGTGGGACAACTAAATTACAGGCAACTGTCTACCATGGCACTTCTAAAATCAGGTAGGCTAAAGGGATGCAGCATAGATTATCACAGGAACCTGTTAAATTTATCATTCTTTTTTCTTTTGGGTGAAAAGTGTCCACCAAAAAGGACCAGTCATTTACTTCTTGAATGTCTCCTAGAACACAGTATACACTTATGAACAAAAATTAAGAACTTACTTTAAAAAAAAAAAAAAAAGAGTGAAATAGGACTGAGCCCTTGGTAGGAAATGTAAGTTTTTAATATTCAACACCTCAGCGGGAAGTGCAGGTCTCAGTTCCTCTGACTGACAGCTCTTAATGACAGCAATAAACTAAGGTGCCCCCATGAGCCAAACAGATGTTCTGAGTTGACAAAGGAAGCCCAAACACTGCCCCCAGTTGATGTCACTTCTGTGTTTTATAATTGCTGAACCCTGTTTAAATGCCTGAGCTATACCATGCATGTGCTTCATCCCCAAAGAAATGGATGTACAGACAACAAAAACAAGCAGCCTGATAAAACCAGGAAAAGGGTATCATCGATGTGCAGATGAAGGTAGATGAAGGCATTCTAACTGCTTCACTAAAATGTTTCAAAGCAAATCCAGAATGAACTGGAGTAGGGGAGAGGGGAGGTGGTGTAGAGAGAGCAAGAGAGTGAAATTCAGGTTAATTACTCCTGTTACTATGGTAGCAACCCAGAACAAGCAAAGTTAGACACACATTCAAGGTGAATCCCAAACAGGGCCATGTGCTTTCCTTCACCAAGTAGCTGGGAGCAGACAGTGATTTAACAGAAATAAATGTCACAGTTAGCCCACATTACTCCAAAGATAATCTTCCTCGATCAGTTCAGGGCTGTAACAGCACAAGTGTTATCTGAATCAAAAAATCTCCTACCCGTATTCACACTGGCCATTTTTTCAGGATGGTCAATTATGTGGTATCTTGGTTGGGGTCCCCTGGAAGCTGACCCTGAGATAAAGATTCAAGCACAAGTAGTTTCTTTGTGAGGGTAGGGGCATGGGGGATGGAGAGTAACTACAGGAAGAACTGGCACCAGTAGGAGAATGGTGAAATCAAACAGGAAGGGGAAGGCGGCCAAAAAAATGGTGTCTTATAAAGCAAGTTTCCACTCCAGACAACCAGAACATAAGCCCACTGGGGAACTCTGGGAGCCAGTTTAGAACATGTGCTTTATATCTACTTCTAGAACTAAGGTTGTTAAAACTACCCCCTGCCCTGCTCTAGTGTGCCCAGCACTAAACACACAAGAAACAGATGTCAGTTACCCCAGCTGGAGGTGTTATTCATCAGGGTCCCAGCAGGAAATGAATTCACCCCAAATGCTTTAAATGAGGAGACCTTAATCAAGAGGCTACTTATGGAAGTGGGCCTCACAGTTGAGCAGGCATCAGAATCACCTGGAGAGCTTGTTATAAAACAGATGTCTGGGCCCTGCCTCGCAGAGTTTCGTGGAGTGGATGGTCTTGAGAATTTGCATTTCCCACAAGTACCCAGAGTATGCTGATGCTGCTGGTCTAAGGACCACATTTTGAGAACCACCAGCTTACAGAGTTAAGAATAAAGGCAACTGTGGTCTACCCATACAATGGAATATTATTCAGCCATAAAAACAAATGGAGCCCGGGCACAGTGGCTCACGCCTGTAATCCCAGCACTTTGGGAGGCTGAGGTGGGATGATTACTTGAGGTCATGAGTTCGAGACCAGTCTGGCCAAGATGGTGAAACCCCATCTCTACTAAAAATACAAAAATTAACTGGGCATGGTAGTGGGCGCCTGTAATCCCAGCTACTTGGGAGGTTGCGGTGAGCCAAGATCTCACCACTGCACTCCAGCCTGGGTGACAAAGTGAAATTTCATCTAAAAAAAAAAAAAATGAAGTATTAACAATGCTACAACTTGAATGAACCCCAAAAACATTATACTAAGTGAAAGAAGCCAGACACAAAAGGTCTCATACTGTAGACTTCTTTTATATGAAATATCCAGAATAGACAAACCCAGAGAGAGAGAAAGCAGATTAGTGGTTGCCAGGCGATGGAGAGAAGAGAGAAATGGAAAGTGATTACTTAATGGATGTCCTTCTGGGTTGATTAAAAAAAAAAAGTTTTAACACTGGAGAGAGAAGGTTTTCATGCAACATTGTGTATGTGCTAAGTGCCACTGAACTGTACTCCTTAAAATGTTTAATTGCATGTCATGTGGATTTCACCTCACTTTTTAAGAAAAGATTTAAGTGGGGAGAAAAGGATGAAAAAAACACCCCAAAATTAGCAAGAGCTAGAGTCTTGCTGTCCTTGGCTTGAAGAAGCAAGAGGAGGATATAACCATAGCAATCGTGAAGCCCAGTGTGGTGGGAACAACCAAGGAGTAGACATGGAAGAGTGTAACCACAGCCAGAGGCACGCACCAGTGCAGGCAGAGAGGGAATCCGGAATCTGTGCCCGAATCTCTCTGTTCCTACCCTCTCTCCTTTACTTATAGGCCAAACCCAAGCAGAAGCCAGAAGATAAGGGAGCGCAGGTTAAACAATCTATAGATGTCAGCCTCGCAGGACACAGAGAAAGATGAAGGCATGTACAAAATGCATCTGAAGGCGTGAGAGAGTCCAATGGGGAACGACCTGCATACCCAGGCTGGCTGGCAGGGCTGATGTCATCTGACCAAATTTTAGCCAGTTTCCTTCAAAAGCTGAATAAATCCTCCCTTTCAAAGTTTAGGTAGGAAGATGTGCTTACAAGAAAACATTTCACAAACCTGGCCAAGACTGAGAGTCCTTTCTAAGAAGGTAAAGGACAAAATTCTCAGACGCCAACCTCTTAGGCGCTGCAACAAAACAAAGAGAACTTTAATTAAAAGCAACCCTTCCTGTGTTGCTGCCCAGCTTCAGGCAGTCCTTTGGTCTCTGGCCACCTCCCTGAGTTGCAGAATATTTTCCATCCACAGAGAAACAAAGTACAGCCACTGCTGCCTGGCACCTGGAGGCCTCTTGTTACCTATCCTCTTGTCCCTCTGTGGGGAGGAAAAGAAATATCCATGAGCAACTGTAGGTTGTACCCATCACCCCTTCATAATCCTCAGATGCACTGATCATTTTCCCACTGCCCTGGCCTTCTGACTTTTTTCTCATGGTGAGATGTCTTTTAAATAGGAATCTATCTACACATGCTTGCAAAAGCACACCAGTTTAGCCAAAGACAACCTAGTTGTATCTGGCTCAGTGATCCTGACACCACCCAGCCTCCTGCACTGCAGGAAGGTCCAGGTGAGGTGGTATCGGGCTCCTTTGGCTGCTGCCACTGCTGCTGCTTAAAGGCAACCTTCCGGGATGCCAACCAAAATTACTTGTTCTGTTCCACTGAGAACCCTGTCAAAGGGAATCACAGGAGGTGGTTTCCCAGATCACTGCTCTTCATTGGTTCTGAGCTACCAGGAAAACATAGAAAATCACATTAATCAAGAAAAGGGAACTTTGGGCTGAAACACTGCAGGAGTCACTGCCAATCAGGCCCCAGGGAAAAGGCCTTCCCCAGCCAGCAAATGAAATAGAACTGTGGGCAGCCAGAAGCCAGAATCTTGTCCCTTTTGCTAGTTTTTCAATCGCAAGTTTAAGAGATTTGATTTATTAAAGTTGTAAACTTTAACCTCATAGATGAATTTCTCCCATCCATCGTCATGCTGTAATGCGACGCGGTCCTTGCAAAACATTTATGCCTCCAACTTTGTTCAAAAATAAGTAGAAAGGAATGAAGGGGAAATCCTCAGGATTTTACTATCTCAGAGCCTAGACACACAACACACACACAACTAATATCCTCTAAGGTCCATCACCTGCTATGGGGGTTATCGGGGAGAGGGACATTAACAATTTTATAGCGATATCCTCTGTCTTTCCCTGCTTGTTTTCCTGGGGAAAAGGTCTTATTTATCCTTCAAAACCCAGTTCATAAACCACCTTTTCTTTTGTTCTTCCCTCACCATTCTGATCCTCCCTGTGTCTACTATTGCACTTTTCACATTATGTTGTAACTCTTATTTTACATGTCTCTTCTAAATTCTGCAGAATATTTGATTTTGTCACCCTGTACTCCCAAAATCTAAGCACTGTACCTGGCACATAGTAGGTGCTAAATAAATGCTTGTAGAATTAAATTGAGTCAGGAGACTTAAGTTCTACTTCTAGCTCTTTCGCCTTAAATTGCTTCACCTCTGCTCATCTCAGTTTCATTGGATATAAGATGGAATCGGTCATTTCCTATCCTGCCTACTTCCTATGGCTGTTTTTGAGTCAAAGAAGATGAGTTTGAGTAAACGCGAGTGTGAACTTTGGTGTGAAGAATAATTTAAGGATAATTGCCAAGCAATGCCCAGACCAATCTGTAGCTTGTTGTCTTACCCCAGCTTGCCTCTCCCTTGACCTCCAGGGCTAGAAATCAGTAACATCAGTCAAGTCTGAATATATAGCTTCATCTGTCACAAAACACTGTTCACAAAATCAAGTGACTTTAATTTGATTGATGAGGAAAAGAAAACTTAATTTTTCTCCTAAAAAGTTTTCAGTGACTCACTGTCTAGAATTCTTTACCTCGAAGAAATGCTAGGTGTGAGACTATCATTTTGCCATAGGGTGTTCCATAGAATTCTTGTGCCAAAAACTGCCAATAGGCAGTCCATGAAAAAAAATGGGTCTGAAAAGGTTGGAAAATACAAG
Source organism: Homo sapiens (assembly GCF_000001405.40). NCBI lineage: Eukaryota > Metazoa > Chordata > Mammalia > Primates > Hominidae > Homo > Homo sapiens. Next base: position 41,833,993 of record NC_000020.11, on the reverse strand, counting down.
GCAACACAAAAGTCAACAAGTTTCTTTCATGCAGGACTTCTCAGAGCCTTTATTATTCAAATATGCATTGCAAATCTTCAAAAGTGGAGCTACAGTATGCTTTCTTAAGAAACTGGCAAAGAATTTGGGATTGGGAATGCTGGCTATGTCTATTTGTATCATTAAGGGTTGAGACTAAGTATCAAACTGGTGATTGAAGTAAGGAATGGATCTTGAAAAAATAATTCTAATCATAGACACCATTTACTGAGCCACTGTTATATACTAGTCGCCAAGATAGACATCTTACAGACATCACCTCATTTAATCCTTCCAATAACCCCCTCGGGTTCGGGAGCACTCACTCTCCCACCCACCCAATCCTTGCCTCCCATCTGCTATGCTGCATCGGCATGGCTTTGCCAATGATTTCTATGGTATGTGACATATTTTTCCTCCCTGCTACTAACAAAAACTTTCTTGAAGAATACCAGTAGTGGTGTCAAAACAAACTGAATTAGTTATAAATTCAACAAGAGATAAGAGCTTACACTGGAGTCACAGAAGCATTTGTTTCTGACAATAACCAAAGAATCACAATGCTGTAACTCCTTAGCCTCACTAAGCCTTTTGAAGGTAGGATGAATGTATTGTATTTTTTTGGCCATAATATATGCATTATAAAACCAGGGTGAACATCAATATTTTCTTGTGTTATCTACTGATATAACTTCATATGGTTATTTTTCTTTCTTTGGTATGGACACGTGAACTTTCCTTAATCTCATATGAACTGTGAATAAATGCATCTTTAGAAAATGCTTGTGTTTTTCATTGGAGTTGCACATATAAGGAAACTAAAAATGGAGAGATGGAGAGTCTGCCATGTTAATACAGGTCCAGGACAGGTCCACTAGCCACTTTTGCCTCAAGTCCCACTGTACTTCAGCCCTGAACTGCTTTTACATAAAAAGTCTACAGCTATGGCTTTCCTGAAATACCCCAGAGAACAGCCTGTGCAACTGAACCATCCACCCAGGGTCACGCAGTCAGCAAATGGCAGAGCCCAAGCTGTTCCCCTTCCTTTATGATGAAGTTCCACTTATGAGAAACAAGGCAGGTGAGCCATGATCAGGGCTCAAACATCAGGTCAGGCCAGCTCAGCCAGGATAGGCTTTGGAGGCAAGACCCTGAGAATGCAGCTCAAGCTGCCCCTCTCCCATTCTGTCCACTTCAGTGGGACCTACCTGGATGAAGGACTGAGCACACAACTGAAGTCACATGAACAGGTGCTGTGGCATGAAGCACAATCAACCAGAAAGAAACAAGAGTGACTTCTACCTTTACAGTCCAGGTTCCTCCTGACCAGCAGCAGTCCCTCCCCTGGAGCAATCTCCACTTACTCAAAATTCTGGTGTGCATGGATGGACTTCTTTCTCTGTTTCTCTCCTGCAGCTGTGTGAATTTTCGATCATGTTTATATGTGACTTGGTAATTACTTTTGAGTCATGACTTAGATAGGGTGACTTAGGCAGTCCAAATCTTAAAATCAGAAAGGCATTAAGCATTTGGATGGAGGTTCAAGCACTAAAAGAAAATGTCTCTTGGTATGCTTATTATCTTCAACAGAGCAAAACAAATCCATATTCCATTAAAACTATACAGAAGGATGATACCAAAATTTTCCAGAGAGCCATAGTAGGTGGAAGTTAATGATACAGTAACTATTAATGCTATTTTGCCAATTTAAGATACAAAAACTGTCACTGACATTATCTTTATTCAGGATATTATCACCTTAATATTGCAAGTGTAAAATGTACCTATAAGAACATTCATACGTTTTTAACTACCCTGGTCCCCCCATTCTATTTTTCCCATAAATTTCTTAATTGTACAGTCTTCTGCCATGAAGATGTTTAGAACTATTATTTTTGCAGTTGGAGAGAAACTAGTTAAATCTTTCTTCATAAGTGAAAACATCAACTCAGTCATCCATACCATAAACCCTGGGTCATCCTAGGAGTTGTCCTGTAATTGTGTCTCTCCCTCACCCTCACATAAGATCAGAACTATAATTTTAACTCTTCGTATCTATTGACTCTTTCCCTAAGACGCAATTTGCACCATTGAGGTGTTCATTCCTTGCTCAAATCTTGTCAAGTCCCAGCTGATCTCCTCACTTCTAGGCAGATTTATAGAAGGCAAATCTGACCACATCACTCTCCTGCTTAAAACCCCTCAGGACTCTCCTTTGGCTACAAAAGGCCATTTAGGTGTCCTTCTCAATTGGCTTCTGCCTGTTTCTTCTACTTCATCCCCATTACTCCCCTATACATCCTACTTTTCCACCTGTGGAAGTGCTTGTAGCCCTACAGAAGTGCCTTGCTATGCCCTGCATACCTGCTGCTCCCTCCTCCTAAACCCCACTCCTCCCCCATCTCCCTGGTGTGGTCTCCTTAAAGACCTAACTCACTATCTTCTGGGGAGCACTTCCTAGTCTTCTCCCTGCCCCATTGTGAGGCAGGAAGAAAACTAGGAAGTCCCTAATATAGGAAGTCCCCCAGTATAGACCCAGCAGATACTAGAACCTCAGTCAGCTGTGTGGCTTTGGGAGAGTAGCTTAACCTCTGTGAGTCATCTTCCCTTCATTGGCAAATAGATATAATAGCTATCTTATGGGATTGTCATGAGCACCTAAAGGTCCACTATACACTCAACTCAGAGTGGGCCTTTAATAAATTTATGTTGAACCTACGTGTCAGTAGGACCCTGTGATAATGAGGATTGGAGGAGGCAAAGGCACTAAAATAGACCTATTTCCTCATTAGATGATGGAGAGATGGTACTAGATGACTGCAAGGAAGAAATTCATTTTACCTTTATAATATCCATGATATTATAGGCCCTTGCATCTTCCTTCAGTAGAAACTGCTTATTATTCCCCAATACCCATGTTCTCCTTTTTCTATAGTAATAGAAACTCTTGACTCTTAGTTGGACACTTGGCCATCTAAAATCAATATTGCAGTTCCTAGCCTCCCTTGTAGCTAGATGAGGTCATATGATTAAGACGGTTAAGTTCTGGCCAACAGGATGTGAGCAGAAGTGGCATGTGCCACTTCCAGTTCCTGTTTTTAGACAGAAGAGGCCGGCTCTGCTCTTTCCTTTCTCTCTTCCCACAGCAAACATGGTGGTGGGAGTGATGGGTCATATTGGACCATATGGAGAGAGACAGTATGTTAGGAATGAAAGGAGAAGCAAACACAGACACAGCCTGGGTTGCTGAGCCCTAGCAAAGAACAGAGCAGCCACACTCACCTGGACTTTTATGGGAGAGAGAAACCATCTTCTTACTTATTAAGCCACTATCATTTTGAGTGTTTGATAGAGCAGCTGAAACTCTATCTCAACTAATACAATTTCAAATACATTTATATTTAGATTTTTGATACAACAACCCCACAAATATGGGGAACAAAAATGATCCTTTCTGCCCCATTCACTTCTCCCAATCTACTGCAGGTCAGAACCCAGGTGAGGTAAACCCTGGCTTTTGATCAGCAAAACTCAGAATTGTAAAAATACCTGCAGAATTATATGCCAAAGACTTTTATTATTACCATATCACTATGTCGAAATTGAAAGGCATGTAAGATTTCTCCAGAGAGGCCATCCATAATGCATTGCAGAACCGTGTGGGTGTTTTAATGAAATGTGTTTTATTCAAGCTAGGATATACAACACTAACATTATTGAAAGAAATTGAGGGTCTGGTCTTCTCTTTTTAATATGTTCATTATTCATGTTATAGTCCTTTAACAAAAAAGTAAAGTCGTATACATATTCAATTTAATTTAAAATTTTATTTTACCTGCTATTCATCTTGGGTGTCCAATGAAGAAGAAATATTCTCTTATTATTCTTATATTCGTTTTTGACAGTTCAATTTCTCTGACTGCTACACCTCAGACAACCTCCACTGAAAAAGCATATAGGTAATTGCTTTGATCAAAATTTCATGCCAAATCTTTTAGATTCCATGTAGATCACAGCCTCTGAACAGAGACTTGTGGTAGAAAAGCTTCTCCATAAAAAACATGGCTGCACATGGGGTATTACCTGGGAGCTATAATATATATTGATGTCCAGGTCCGCCCCAAGCTTCTGCTGTCATTCATCAGGGGCTCTAGGCATCAGGGTATCAGTGCACATCCTGGGCTGGGAACCACTGATTTAACAGCTTGGTGGAGTTTGATAGAAGAAATGCAGAACATTTAGGGAATTCCTTGGATGGATCACTGACTCTCACGTTTGTTTTTTATTTTCATTTTGTTGTTGTTGTTTGCTTTCAGAGCATTATTGAGATATTTGCACACCATACAATTCACCCATTTAAATTATATAATTCAATGGCTATCAATATATTCAAGTTGTGAAACCATCACCAGAATTTTAGAATACTTCCTTACCCCACAAAGAAATCCCTTGCTTTCACTGTCCTCCAATCTCCCCGTCACCCCACAAACCCTAGGCAATCACTAATCCATTTTCTATCTCTATAGATTTGCCTATTGTGGACATTTCCTATAAATTGAATTGTACAATATGTGATCCTTTGTGACTGGCCTCTTTCACTTAGCATAATCCTTTCAGGGTTCTTCCATGTTGTGGCATCTATCAATATTTTATTCCTTTTGATGGCTGAATAATATTCTATTGTATGGATATGCCAGTTTGTTCAGCTATTCATCAGTTGATGGATATTTGGGTTGTTTCCATCTGGGGCTATTATTACAGCTTTTGTGGTTTAGTGAGCGAGAGGAAATGGCACCCAGCAGCTTTTTCTCACCCATCGCTCAGCGAGTGGAAGGGAGGGTTACAGTGTTACAGAATTCCTTGAGTGCCCCTTCCCCAGCTGAAAATCTCTGTGGCCGCCATGACCACTGCCTAGGGCCTTGCTTGGGCCTGCTGGGCTCACTCTGCCCACTGGGCCTGGCAGGCTGCACTCCGCTTGCATCCTGGCCCAGATCCCACACTTGCTGCAGGATCCACGCTCAGCCAGCGCCTGGACTGGGTGTACCGCAAGCGATCTCTGGATTGGACTCTGCCGTCTAGATGAGGGGAACACAGTGGTGCCCGAAAACTTGGAGATGCCAGCAATTGTGGAGCCCCAAGGGGTGTTACAGCTCTCACGTGGGGAGTCCCAAGGTCCAAGCCCCCAAGAAATGTCGCAGCTCTCGCTTGTTCCCGCCACCCACAGCTTGGCAAATGGCTTAGTTTTCAGGCTTCAGGCTGTCTTTGGCTTGAGGGTTGGGTTTCACCAGGACCCATCTCTGTCTGCCTAGGAATTTGTCTGTCTCCTGCTGTGATCACCATCATGAATACTTCTATAAACTATAAACATTTGTATACAAGTTTTTGTGGCAGTATTCTTTCATTTGGGGGTATGTATCTAGGACTGGAATTGTTAGGTCATATGGTAACTCTATGTTTCACTATTTGAAGAACTGTCAGACTTCTCTCAAGTGGCTGTACCATTTTACATTCATGCCACCTGTGTATGAGGGTTCTAATTTCTCCACATCTTCTCCAACTTCTTACTATCTGTCTTTTGTTATTATAGTCATCCTAGTGGGTATTGCCTACATAGTTTCTGCGAGATTTTCAACAACTTCTTTCGCTCCTCTGGCAGGTCTCATTTTCCATTTTCCTCATCTGACAAATGGGATAAAAGCAATATTACAGGGATCTTATGAAGACTAAATGAAACAGAACGCAGAAAGTACTTAGTTTAACCTCAAATGCTGTGGGCATGGACAAGATTGCTAACGAAAGCCCAGTAGCTGTAATCAGGTGAGAAGTTAAAAAGACCAAGGTCAGAGGAAGTGCTCTTTGATTTTATCCAAGGAAGGATAATTTTTTCAGGGTCTACCCACCCAGAATAATTATCTTCTGTCATAAATTTGTTTAATGTAGTTGCTGCCTTGGCATCTATTTTCAGGCTCGACATAAGTTACTTGAAACACAGTTGGACCCAATTCCCTTTGCCTTACCTAAAACTTCCCCTCCCTATGTGGTTTGTGATATACTCTATTGTTCCTCATTTCACTGATTCAGAACACAACACATCCCACAGTGGCTGACCACAAAAATACCCTAATGGTCAATCCCAGGGTCCTATAAACAAGTCCTCCCCCTCCCTCCTTCTCTCCACCTGCTGGCTCAGCATGCACGCTCTGGATAGCTCACGTCTTCCCACTGGCCCTGCAAAGTGTGCTGCTCTCTTCTCTCTGGGAGCTGCGAGTAATAAAACTGTTTGTGTTATTACATTTGTTTGGTTGTGCTGTCTCCTCTATGTCTCACCTGACCCACAATCTGAACCTAAGTTCTTTCCATGTCAGGGCTCTCCTAGAGAGTGGCTATCATGGTAGGAATAAAATGAACACGTCAGACAAGAGGTACAAGGGTGTCTGCAAGTACAAAACAAGTTTCCTGTGAGAGGAACACCTGGTCACAGGTTGGACGCTTAGGCATTAGGCTGTCTACTGGGAAGAAGCATCCCATGAAAGGCATTCTGTAAACATCCACAAATACCTCCCCTGGAGCCCCAGCAGGACAGGACTAGAATTTATAGCCATTCTTCAGAGAGAAACCTCAAAATCAAATCAGAGGAAAATCACATCTTTTCACTTAGGTATGATGTTTGGCAAAGTATTTTTTTTTAAGTCTCTTTTTTATTCAAGACTGCAAAAGGGATGTGATAGGGTTTACCTTACACAGTGGGAGACAAGATTTAAATGAGATCACTTAAGTAAAGCCCTTGACACTTGACACAAAGCAGGTAGCCATCAAACATTTATTCTCATTCACTCTCTTTGCAGAAGAGTTAAAAAACGGAAGGCCAGAAGAAGAAACGGCTTCATGCGACTAGGAGAGCTTGATCAATTTATGAATGACAAAGCAAGAATGGAGACAATGTCTCCCACCTTCAAGGTAGCTATGAAGGAGTACTCTCACAGGCTGCCAGATTTCCTCCCTTAATCACCCCTTCAGAGACGGAACCCTGGGCTTACTGGAATATGGATCAGTCCTAAGGAGGGAAATCTCTCATCCTTACATTCCCTGGGCTCAATGAGGGAGAGAGACTTGATAGAAGACGGTGGTAACCTAGGTCTACTGACTCTGTGGTTCTCTCCGTAGAACTGGTGATAGATTCTCGTGATGAGGAGGTGTTTAGAATTGGAGGTGGACCTCTTTAGAGAACCCCAAGAGAAAGATGCGTCTGACTTAGAAGATAGCCCAGTAATCTATTACACCAAAACTTCTCTTTTTAAAGGCTGTATTATCTTTGCTTTCTTTTCTTTCATTTTTTAAATTGACAAATAATAATTACACATATTCATGGGGTGCACAGTGATGTTTCCATACAAATAATGTGTAGTGATCAGATCAGGGTAATTTGCATATCCATCATCTCAAATATTCACCTTTTTTTTCTGTTGGGGTTGTTCAATGTCTTTCTAGCTATTTTAAACTATATAATATTAATTATAGTCACCCTATAGCGATATAGAGCCCTAGAACTTACCCTCCTATCTAGCTGTAATTTTGTATCCTTTAACAAATCTCTCCCTATCTCTCCTTCCCCTACCTTTCACAGCTACTAGTATCCTCTGTTCTAACTTTTTATTTCTATGATATCATCTTTTTTCAGCTTTCACATATGACTGAGAACATGCAATCAGAACTTCTCAAACTTTAATGTGCTTGAGAATCACCTGGGAGCTTGTTACAATGCGAATTCTGATCCAGTAGGGCTGGGGTGGCACTCAAGACTCTGCTTTTTTAACAAGCTCCCTGGTGGTACCCATGCTGCTAGTTCTCAAAACCATGTCTTTGAGGAATAAGATATTAGACTTTGTTTTTCATCCAACTTGAGCAAGAAAAGACCCAGCTGTGGAATGCTGGGAAGAGAAAAGATGGGGACAGATTTAAACAGAAGAAGGAAGTTGGCTGGACCCCTTGGCACCTGCTGTGGGCCTAACAATTGTTTCCTTGGTGTGGGAAAACTGTATTTTCATGTGCAGAAGAATAAAACTAGACAATTTCTTGCCATATAGAAAAATCAAATCAAGATGGATTAAACACTTAAATCTAAGAGCTCAAACTATGAAACTATTAAAAGAAAACACTGGGGAAACTCTCCAGGACACTGGACTGGGCAAAGGTTTCTTGAGTAATTTCCCACAAGCATAGCAACCAAAGCGCAAATGGACAAATGGGACTGGATCAAGTTAAAAAGCAAAGGAAACAATCAACAAAGAGACAACCCACCGAGTAGGAGAAAGTATTTGCTAACTATCCACCTGACAAGGGATTTATAACTGGAATATATAAGGAGCTCATATAACTCTACAGGAAAAAAATCTAATCATCCAATTTAAAAATGGGCAAAAAGGCCACACACGGTAGCTCACACCTGTATTGGGAGGCCGAGATAGGAGGATCACCTGAGGTCAGGAGTTCAAGACCAGCCTGACCAATATGGAGAAACCCCACCTCTACTAAAAATACAAAATTAGCCGGGCGTGGTGGCACATGCCTGTAATCCCAGCTACTTGGCAGGCTGAGGCAGGAGAATCGCTTGAACCCAGGAGGCGGAGATTGTGGTGAGCCGAGATCACATCATTGCACTCCGGCCTGGACAACAAGAGCGAAACTCTGTCTCAAAAAAAAAAAAAAAAAAAAGGCAAAAAATCTGAATAGACATTTCTCAAAAGAAGACATACAAATGGCAAACAGGTATGTGAAAAGGTGCTCAACATCACTGATCATCAGAGAAATGCAAATCAAAACTACAATGACCAGTTAAAATGGCTTTTATCCAAAAGACAGGCAATAACAAATGCTGGCCAGGATGTGGAGAAATGGTAACCCTTGTACACTGTTGCTAGAAATGTAAATTAGTACAACTGCTATGGAGAACAGTTTGGAGGTTCCTCAAAAAACTAAAAATATAACTACTATATGATCCACCAATCCTACTGTTAAGTATATACCCAAAAGAAAGGAAATCAGTATATTGAAGAGTTTTCTGCACTCCCATGTTTACTGCAGTGCTACACATAATAGCCAAGATTTGGAATCAACCGAAGTGTCCATCAACAGACAAATGGATAAAGACAATGTGGTACATATATACAATGAAGTACTATTCAGCCATAAAAAGAATGAGATCCTACCATTTGCAACAACATGGATGGAACTGGAGATCATTATGTTAAGTAAAATAAGCCAGGCACAGAAAGACAAACTTCGCATGTTCTCTCTTACTTGTGCAAGCTAAAAACTAAAACAATTGAACTCATGGAGACAGTAGAATATGATTACCAGAGGATAGGAAGGGTAGTAGAGGGTTAGAGGGTGAAGGGGAAGTGGGGAAGGTTGACAAAAACAAAAATATAGTTAGATAGAATGAATAAGATCTAGCATTTGATAGAATAGGGTGACTACAGTCAATAATTTATTGTACATTTTAAAATAACTAAAAGAATATAATTGGATTGTTTCTGGAACAAAGAAAGAATAAATGATTGAGTTGATGGATACCCCATTTGCTCTGATGTGACTATTACACATTGGATGTTTATATCAAAATATCTCATGTACCCCATAAATATATATACCTACTATATAGCCACAAAAATTAAAATAACATTTTTTAAAAGATAAAAGAATAATAATAATTGTTTCCTTTGTGGGAGGTACACTCCCTTTCATATCCAAAACCATGTTACAGAACCTTAAATATTTGATTGAAAATTTTAGATGCACTAGGATATATCAGTGTCAGTATCTTTGTTATGATATTGTACCACAGTTTGGCAGAATGTAAACTTTGTATTATTCTCACAACTCTGTATCTCTTGGTATGATTTCTTACGACTGAATGTGAATCTACAATTATCTCAGAATAAAAAGTTTAATTAAAAACTCCACAATAAAAATTGTTAATGATTCTGATGAGATGGCAACCAAGCCTTTGGTAAGTCAATTTCCAATTCTGTGCTGTCGACAAAATTGAAAAAATACTTAATCATATTGTTGATTAGCAGATGATTAAAAGTAATCCTTGATCATTAAAAAAATACACTAGGAAGAAAAGTAATTCAGGGTTGTACTTAAGTAAAAATCAACTTCAGGTGTAATGGTGGAAAGAAAGAAGTGGTGTTTGTTTTTTAAATATTTAGATTAAATGCATATCACATTAGACATTTGACAGATTCTCATTTGACAATCAGAAACACAAAAGCCTGGTGTATAGTCATAACAAATAAACTTGTTTCTAAATTTCATGACATGGTCTCTGAGACAGAGTGAGGAGAAGGTAAAAAAGCAGAAAGCAAGGATTGAAGGAAATGGAGAAGGGGACGATATGAGAAACCTAGAGACATAAAACAGAAAAATGAATGGGTGAGGCTTAGAAGTCTCTGGAGTAAGGTCTCATTGCCCTTTGAAACTCTGATTTATAAAATTGAAATGATATATCCAGAGGCTGTTAATACTGGAAGGCCTCTCAGACAGTGGTAAATGTTTAACAAACTTCTTAGGGAGGGAGTGGATGGGAATACCCTGATTTGCAGCATTTGCTAATTTCCATGGTGTAAAATACTCTCACTAATGCCAATTTCAGGCCACCAACATGACACTGCTGAACTCAGAGTTGGGATGAGAAGTACACAGTCAGCTCCCATAAGTTGATATGAACCAGCTCCTGTACCCTATGGCTCTCAAGATCATTTTCTCCAACCTCATCATTTCACAGATGATACACTGAAGCCAAAGATAAAAGGGTGACTTGTTCATGTTTGCAGACCCTGCAAGTGAGAGAGCTGAAATTAAGACAAATGACTTCAAGTCCCGAGACTAATACTTTTCCAACACATTCTCCCCATTCAACCTTATTAATAACCTCAATTTAAAAATACTCACATTTCATATTTCCAGACTCCTTTGCAGCTAGGAGGTAGCCTGTGGACCTTGTTTGAGGCAGTAAGATGAAAACAGATTTTTTTAAATAAAAAGGAACAGAATTAGCTTGCACACAGCTTTAGCTTTTCCCCTATCTACTTGACATCTTGCAAACAGGAGGATAAAAAAAATCTCATTACACAGATGATGGACCAGGCAATTAGATGGCACTTGGATTCCTGGAAACTTCTTCAAGCAGCTGCACCAGCCCTGGACTTCTTGTTATGTAAAAGAAATGAACTCCAGCTTGGTTAAAACACTGTAGTCAGGTTTCTGTCACATGCAACCAACTGCAAAACCAGCTGCTATACAACGCCTTTGTGGTCAGATGGACAACAAATTAGAACATCTTTAGAGTTTTATGGCTAAAATAAATATCTGTTTCCCTATGGAATTCTAAAGTTTTGTATATGTGTGAGGAAGTGATTTAGATTTTAGTGACGTACTTTGGAACTTTAGAAGCATCAGTTCCTTTGACAGCAGCTGTCTGATTGCCTTATATGCAATCTTTGAGAGATTGGACCTGCTATATTTAGTTGGAATCAGTGTATTCCACATCTTTTGCAAAACTGTTTAAAAAATCAGATATCAGTTTGGAGGATCCACTTAACTATGTTATATGTCAAGAATCTAAAAACTATTCAAGCTGATTCTACTACAAATACAACCAGAAATTAGTACTTGTTTTGAGTAAAATTGATCAGGTATTTTGGTACATTTTACACAAGGAATCTTCAGGTTACTGTGTCAAAGATCCCAGGATCTGGGGTGTGAATTTTGAAATATTTGTCACATCCTGGCAAATCCTATCATGTGGCTTGAATGAGAAAAGATACCTTCAGGTATCAGTTTCTGAAGGTACCTGACCTTTTCTTTTTTTTGAGACAGAGTCTTGCTCTGTCACCCAGGCTGGAGTAGAGTGGTGTGATCTCGGCTCACTGCAACCTCCACCTCCCAGGTTCAAGCAATTCTCCTGTCTCAGCCTCCCAAGTAGCTGGGACTACAGGTGCACACCATCACACCCAGCTATTTTTTGTATTTTTAGTAGAGACGGAGTTTCACCATATTGGTCTTTACTTTAAAGAAGTAAACGTTATTAAAATGGCAGCCTAAAATAAAAAGCATATTCCATAACAAAGTAGAAAACAGAAATAAATGTTTAAAACAGAATTTTAAGTTAGGCATTTTGTTCTGTTCCTGGGTCCCTTCTATTGTTCTTTCCATCAGTATTGCTCTAATTTGGGGTTCCTAAAAGCGGGGTACCTTTTCTCTTTGAATGTGTTACTACCAAGCACTGTCCACATTGCCAAGAACTCTGCTTGAAACAACTGCAGAAGCAAAATCTTCAACATGCTGCTTTTAGAAATATAAAATAGTATGTTTCATATGGCATGATCTTTCTGAAGTGCAATTCGACAACAAATATCAAAAACTGTACCCACCTGTTGCCCTCGGCAATTCCATCTCTAGAAACTTATCACAGATGAGTGCAAAAACCTAGCAGCATGTTTCACAAGATGGAAAAATTGGAAAACAACCTAAATCCCCAACAATAGGTGATTAATTATCATTTTTCCTGTATAAGGGAGGCATTAAAAATGGACTTATAGAAGACTGCTTAGTAACATTGGAAAATATTCCTAAGTGAAAAAACAAAATATACAATATGAATCCTTGGATAAATGTGTATAGGGAAGGACATATGCAAAAAATAGCTTTTTATAGGTAATTGTTATTTTCCTTGTGTTTCTATTTTAAATACATGACTTATAAAATGAGTTGTTTTTTAAAAAACTGCTGCCACCACTGTCGCCTCTTACTTCTAAGTAAATTATCCTTAATAGCCTTTCACATCTCATCAGAGAGACTGTCAGGAAGAAAGCTCATCAAATGTGAAAATGGCAAGTTGCTGAGAGGGATAGAAGACACATAGGATGGAGGGAGTGATAACCAGAATAGGCCAAATCAAATTTAACAGGGCTAAGGACAAAGTCCTGCCTGGGAGACCATGAAAGCGTCTGCACAGCCACAGAATGGGCAGACTCAGCTTCAAAGCTTTGTGGATGAGAGATAATCTCCTCCCTAAAAGCCAGGCTGCATTAAGAGAAACTGCATTAACCGCATATTAAGAAGAATGGGAACAAACTGGAATATGTCCCAAGGAAAATAGCCAGAACCCAAATCTGAAAGTTATGTAGTGAGAGGACAGTTCAAAGAATAAGGAATGTTTAACCCTAAGAAGAGATAACATGTTATGAAGTATGAGACTAGGGAGTTATCCTCAAACATGTGAAGAACTGTCATTCATTTATTTTTGAGACAGAGTCTCGCTCTGTCACCCAGGCTGGAGTGCAGTGGTGCAATCTCGGGTCACTGCAACCTCCGCCTCCCTGGTTCAAGTGATTCTCCTGCCTCAGCCTCCCAAGTAGCTGGGATACAGGCACCCGCCACCACGCCCAGCTAATTTTTGTATTTTTAGTAGAGGCGGGGTATCATTATGTTGGCCAGGCTGGTCTTGAACTCCTGACCTCAGGTGATCCACCCACCTCAGCCTCCCAAAGTGCTGGGATTACAAGTGTGAGCCACTGTACCCGGCAAGAGCTGTCATTTAGAAGACATCTGGAATCTAGAGTGCGGAACTATGGTGGCAGCTTCAGGGAGCCCAATTTTAGTTGAAAATAAGGTGTAACTTTTTAAAAATCAGAAGTACCCAACAATAAAATGGGCTGCTTTTTCGTGCCATGAGTGCCCCATCTCAAAAGGCATTCAAGCAAAGAATGAACAACTATTAAAGTATTCTGTAATGAAATTTCTGCATTCTGTAAGAAATTTAACTAGAAAAACCTCTATTTCCTTCTTGCTAAAGAATGTTATGATTCTAGGGGAGGCAGCTCCCTTGGGGATGGCAGCAGGTCTCCACTCACCAGTTCTTGCCAAAAAATTTCTAATTCGAGATTAACTGCTTTGGCTTCATCTTCTTTTGAAATTAAAAAAAAAAAATTAAAGATTATACCACAATTCAAGCTGCCATCAGTTATGATCACCTTCATGTGAATGAGTCTATGTGGTCCTTTTCCAGGAATAGGTTTCCATAATGGTTGATGAGAGAGATAACGTGGCCCTAAGGTACAGAAGCAGCTATTTGGGAGCCACTGAGAGAGAGAAAAAAAGGATATTCCCAGGACCAAGTTCAAACTCTTGTACATCAACACAACAACTTGGGTCTCGAAACTGTTTTAATTTCCACCCCATGGTCCTATGTATGTGCCAATTACTCACTGTTTCTTTAATCCAAGGGTGGTTAATGAGCACCAGACCAAGCTCCCTCCAACTACATGGGAGAATGCCTACTCCACAATCGCCAGCCAGCTGTGCCACTGAAATTAACTTGCTCAGCTGGCCCTCCAAATAAAGCCATTTAAAGAAAGCAATGTACCATAGAAAGCAATTTGTTTCCTTAAGATTTAGTACCCCACATGAAGATTGATTTTGATTTGAAAGACAGAAGCTACTGCAAGGTGAATAATTTTAAGTTAACATATTCCTCCTCTCAAGGAGCCAAATGCATTAAAATTAGGTGCAAAGTGCTTCTAATTTGTCAATCACTCCTTGGATAATTCTGTTCCTGCATTACCAGAGAAATTGCCCAAGAGACCTGGCTTTTGGCTCCTTTCATCTCAACTATTCTTTTAACTTGATCATGGCTGCAGTATGCAAATGTGACTCTACTGCTGGGGTAGGATGGGGGGAGATCCGAGATACAGACAGCCCCAACCTACACTAAATCTGTCAGGAGGTCAGAGGTGTGACAGGCCTCCTAAGTTCTCCTGTCACACGTCAGGTTGTAGCACAGGGCACACCGTGAAACAGCTGACGTGGAAGGCACTCCTCCACCATCCAGGATCTCACGAACACTTGCTAGCTCCTGCCCACTGGCAAGCACTCACTGAGCCCAGCTCTGTGTCAAATGCTGTTCTTGGCCCTTAAGCACACAGATGGCCAAGGACAGATCCTGCCCTCAAGAGACAAGAAAACCCCAACTGCTCCCAGGGAGGTAAGTGCTATGTTAGAGGTAACACAGACCCTCCAAGATCACTGGGGAGGGTGCCTCTTCCAGCCTGCGGAAGTTGTACAAGATCTTGGGAAGAAAGAATGACCTTGAAGAATGGCAGTGACTTGACTGTCTGGTTGGTGTAGGACTCTTCCAGAAGGAAGACAGGGTATCCAAAGCACGCGGTGTCACGCTCGGCATTTGTTAAGTACTACAGGCACACCAGGTACCAGGCTGAGCCCTTTACAGGTATTTTCTCCTACATGTCTCACAACAACCCCCTGCAGTGGGCTCTCTTACAAGGTAGGTACCATCATTACTCCCATTTTACAGATGAGGAAACTGAGGCATTGAAAAGCTAAATAGCATGCACAAGGTAACACAGCTTCTGAGTGAGGATTTAAGTAAAGTAAATCTGATACAAAGTCTGTATACCTTCCAAAAGACATGGAGCTTTGGGGCATTGCAGAGCTGGAGAGCAGGGAGGGGTTCCACGTGGTGGTCAAAGCACAAGACCTACAGATGGGGTTGTTCTTTGAATCAGCAAGATATTTGTAAAGCTCCAAGCACAGGACCCAATACACAATAAATGCTCAATAAATTTTATCCACTATGATGAGAAGGTGGAAGAGGAAGCCATGGGGGAAAGTGGAGGGAGAAAGTACCAGATACTTCAGCAACTCATGTGGAGGATTTTGTGGGTCCTGCAAGGTCTGAACATTACCCTGAAGACATCAAGGATTCATTCTAGGTAAGGAAGTGGCATGCCTAAGGTTGGGATATAGAAATGGGACCCCATGGAAGGTGGATTTGCTGGGCAGAAGCAGAAGGATCTCGGGAGCCGTGGATGTTGTGCCCCAGGGAGAAAACACTAGAACTGACTGACATAAAGGCAATGAGTAGGGAGGACAGGAGATAGTCTCCAAGGATATTTAGGAAGAAAAACAGACCAGAAGACATTATAAATGGTAAGGAAGGGAAAAGTTTCTGCCTTGGGCAATTCGGTAAATGGTAGTGCCGTTCCCAGGACAGAAAATGTGAGAAAGGGCAGAATATATACCATCAAGACATAAAATGGAATTGGCTATGGGATGTGCATGTGGGGGTATCCAGCAGGTCTTTGGAAACATGCAGAATCAAATCCATCTGATTGTAGGATAATCAGATGAAAGCGCCCATCCCTACATGACTCCAATAACCATTCAGGCTGACCCAGACTCCTGCCCACAGAATGCACAAAGAAGCTTCCAACACAATCTTGCCCCTTCGCTGTCCTGGTCCTCAACAGCTTACCCTCAACTACCATGCATGCCACAGTTCAACCTGCTCCTGGTTCAATAATCTGCACCCCATCTCCCAGCTCTAGGCTTTGCATCCTGTCTCAACTTTAGATTCTCTCTCTGGCCCCCCTGAGAAAGCCACATAGCCTTCCAACCTAGCACCAGACCCTATTGCCAGAGCTTCTGGGAGTATCAGCCCAGAATGGAGTGAGATAGAGTAGAGCAGGATGTGAGGCCATCATCCTGGTTCCTCACCTCCTCACCTGGAGTTCAACAAGCCCCAGAATGGCTCACCCATACTCATAGCTCTTTCCAGTGTCACATCTTCCATGAGGCCAGTCTCTGGATGATAGTGGCCCAATCTTGAGCATCATTCCCGCTGGACTCAGATTCAAGAATTGCAGTGGTTTCGGCTGGCCGCGGTGGCTCACACCTGTAATCCCATCACTTTGGGAGGCCAAGGCAGGTAGATCACGAAGTCAGGAATTCAAGACCAGCCTGACCAACATGGTGAAACCTCATCTCTATTAAAAATACAAAAATTAGCCAGGCATGGTCGTGGGCACCTGTAATCCCAGCTACTCAGGAGGCTGAGGCAGGAGAATCACTTGAACCCAGGAGGCGGAGGTTGCAGTGAGCTGAGATCGCACCACTGCACTCCAGCCTGGGCAACAGAGTGAGACTTCAACTCAAAAAATAATAATAATAATAATAATTGCAGTGGTTTCTAGAGGGAAGATGTGCACAGGGAGAAAGGGAATGATCTTTGCCGATTGCTCCACCTGCTGCTTCTGCTGGGAACAAGGCAAGCTGGAGCTTCCCAGAGTGAGTCTTCCCCTCTTCCAGGCTGCTCCAATCCTGGGCCCACTTCATGTTCTCAGGACACCTCCTGCCTTTGATCCTGTCCATACGTCAGGATCTACATTATCTTACACCAGGCCTGGGAGATGGGAATGAGGCTGCCATATTGGCTGTCACTTACCAAGGGCCTATTATACTAAGTACTGTTCTGGGCACTCTACTCACTACTACAGTGTCCAGTCCACCAAGCCAGAGCTGACAGTCAGTGGCTTCTCGGGAGCAGAGCTTAGACAGTATTCCCTCCTCTCTAAGACAACTTGCCCAAGCCTCTTGCACGGTGGCTATTGTTTTGGCTGAAGGGAGACATTTTCTTTCACTGGGGGAGAGGGAAGAAATGGGCAAAGGTAGACTGGATACAGGCCAGAGCCCCTGAGGAAAGAAAAATCAAGGTTGGAAGATAAAAGAGATGCCTTCATTGAAGATGTGATGAACATCTGGGCACAGAAGGTGCATCTTCAAGACACAAACAAAAAAGTGCAGCACAAAACGGGAAGAGGGTCATTCATTCCTGCACACAACCCAGCACTTCAAGGCCGTGATGTGGAAGCAGAAGGCAGAAGGCCTGCGTTGCCCACTCCAATGCAGATACAAAGCTCCAGATTGGCCAACCCTGATAGCCACACTGAGCAAGTCTAATTTGTGGACAAGTCCCGTCTTACAAGTTTCTAGAAAGATTCCACAGAGACCGCCTTCATGCAATGGATAAGATGTGAATATCCATGGGCTCCAAGGTCAGTGAACCTGGAGATGTGGTTACAAGTACAGCCAACATCCAATTAATAAAAGAATGAACAAACTCCATTTTATGTTTCATATTCAGAATTTGTCTATTGAAGTAGGCTTCTCAGTAGTGAGTCTTGGAAACATCTAAGCAAAGACAGCATGGGTAAGCAAAGTTGATACAGAGGGGTTGAGCCATAGATGAGCTCTTTCAACTCTAGAACATTTCTTTCTATGACTTGTCCAAGGTTATAAGGCAGAAAATGCTACAGCTGAGACCAGAACCCAGATCTCCTGAAGTTATACCCAGTGCCCTGGTACCTTGGCAACAGGGAACAGATTACTGCCAGGAGATAGGCATTCTTTGACTTCCATAAAAGGAGCAGTTACTTATAGCCAACACCCTGCAGCATGTAAGGCTTACTTCTTAACCTGCACAACCAAAAACCATTCTATCTTGGACACGTAATTCACCAATATTAACTCAGGAGGAGCCCTCTGCTGCTTTTGTTCCAGAAATGCTACGAATTATTGCAGGTTGGTTAAGGAATGGAAAATGGTCAAAGTAAATTGGTTAATAAGCAACTTCTTACTTCATTTCCACAAGAAAAGCAAGAGAAATCAATTAAGAACAAGGATCCTGGGCCCACCAGTCTAGAGATGGCTGTTTTAACCCACAAATGGGCCCAACTAGTACTTTGTTAGCAATAACCAGCACATTGATCCATTTGTTTCAGGAGCAAAGCACCTGGCCTTGCCTGCTGAAGACCAAGGCTGCAATCTTGTGCCCCAGCCAAGCCTGAGGATGTGTTTGCACCCACATGGAGCTCTTATCCCTGAACTGCTGAATCATTTTTGAATTTGTATACTAATGGGCTATTAGTGGGGTCATCTTCCCAGCTATCTGTCCCAGTGGTGGCTTAGGAAAAACAGATTTGGTATTCCTGGCAGCAAAGTCAGTGCCCCAAGTAAGGCATGAAATGACAAACAGGCACATTTGCAGCAAAGACTCCCAGGTGGATTCCCTAGCAACGATGATACTTGGGCATTTTCCTTAATAAAACTCTCATCTTCCTTTAACCACCCAGGAAATAGCACCTTTAAAATTAGGGAGGCTCATTAGAGGAGAAGTGAGAGGGGACATAAGAGAAGTAGTCTCAGCTTTCAGCTATACTCATGCTGATGCCCATCGCTGAGAGAGCAGCTCTGCAAAGTGCCATAAAGAGGTGTTTATCATCATCTAGAGGGACATCCATCCAGCAAATGTGTGTGCAGGTACTAGACTGGGAGAATCCTAGAGGCAAAAATGAGGGAAAGCAGAGATGGTGGGAGCAGCAAGCTGAGCTGGGGGCCCTCCACAAAAGGCTGAATGTCCCAGGTGGTCTGTTCAAGCTGTAGTGATTGGGCTAAGGACCCAGTTCTGGGGCTGGAATGGGAAGACCTCAAACAGAAGCAATATTCATGGGAAAAAAAAAAAAAAAAAAACAGGATATCCATGAACTGCTGACCAAGAATGGAGCAGAAGCCCAGTCAATGACTAGAGAGACACCCAGATTCAGAAAGAAATCATAATGCAGAAGAGAAACTGAGGCAGGTGCCCAGTGTCATGTGTACTGCAAGTCTGCAGCTCAGTGTCTGGCATAAAGTAAATAATTAATATTACTTGACCAGAATCTGGCTTGTATTGTAACTTTTTACATTTTTAATATATATATAAAAGACACAAATCTGAAGAGTTGGTGAATTTTGGTTGGGCACAGTGTCACACACCTATAATCCCAGCACTTTGGGAGGCCAAGGCAGGTGGATCACTTGAGGTCAGGAGTTCAAGAGCAGCCTGGGCAACATGGTGAAACCCCGTCTCCACTAAAAGTACAAAAATTAGCCGAGTATGGTGGTGCATGCTTGTGGTCCTAGCTACTCAGGAGACTGAGGCATGAGAATCACTTGAACCTGGGAAGTGGACATTGCAGTGAACCGAGATCACACCACTACACTCTAGCCTGGGCAACAGAGCGAGACTCTATCTCAAAAAAAAAAAAAAAGAGTGAATTTATTTTGACCTATGTATATACCTACATATCCACCACTGAGATTAATATATAATACATTACCCCAGAAGGGTTCCTGTGCCCCTTTACAATCAGAGGGAATCACTAACTGGACTTCTATACCATAGATTAATTTTCCTTTCTTGCTTTTGAACTTCATATAAATGCAATCATACAGTATATATGTATTCTTTGGTGCCCGGCCTTTTTCATTCAACATAACATTTGATAGCCATCCATGTGGTTGCATGTCATATGAGGCCATTCTTTTTCCTTGCTGTATAGTATTTCAATGTTGAATACACTACAATCTATATGTCCATTCTGTGTTGCTACATATTTGGGGTGTTTTTCCAGTTTGGGGCTGTTGTAAATAATACTATCATGAGCATGTTCTTCTTTACCATTGGTGCATAGTGGACACACACACACATTTCTCTCAGGCTTGTGCCTAAGACTGGAATTGCTGGCTCATGGGATAGGAATATGTTTAGCTTTAGTAGATATGGTTTTGCTGTTGTTCTTTAAATTTTCATAGACACGTTTCTTCAACATGACACTACCCTTTGCTATGTGTTGTTAGTGGACTGATACTTTCATCATTATATAATGTCCCTCTCAGTCTCTGGTATCTTTCTTTCTTCTGAAGTCTGTCTTATCTAATATTAATATAGCCACTCCTATTTTCTTTTTATTAATATATCTTTTTGTATCCTTTTACTTTCAACTTGCCTACATTGTTATATTTTAAATGAGCATCTGGTAGATAGTATATAGTTGGGTCATGTTTTTAATCCATTCTTCCAATCTCTGCCTTTTCATTGTTGTACTTTGTAGGGTCTCCCATTCCCCCCATTTTGTGCATTCTGAGTGAAAAACAGGGAGTGCCTTGTTGGCTCTGTGACCCAGCCAGTTGCATGTTTTTCCCAGCAAGGCTGAACCGAAGCCAAGGCTTTGAACATTCCCAGGCATTAATAAAGGTATCTAGGTTGTTGCCTAAAACACTGAAAGAAATTGGTCCCAGCCTTGAGCCAAATTAATTAAATCCTCATATGAACTCCATGCCCTGATCCTCTTGGCATAGGCATACCTAGGTATAACATACCTTTCTTTCACTGTCCACCTGAGGATATGCTGTAGTGCTCTGTAAGTTCCCCTAATAAATGCCTTGAACTGATCACCCTGGCATTTAATGCTTCTTTCTTTGGAATCCCAACTGGCCCCATCTTGGGATACTTTGGGGGTACTCCCTTGTGGGGACTCCTTTGCTACCACTTTTGGGGCAACTCTAGCCATTGCTTCAGCAGAATGAAACATACTTTGGCCATTTATATTTATTGTAATTGTTGATATGCTGGGGCTTGTCTGACATTTTGCTTTTTGTTTTCTCTGATTTTCATTTCTGTTTTTTCTTTTCTGCCTTTCTGTGAGCGATATGAACACTTTTTATAACTCCATTTTGATTTGTTTATGGTATTTTTGAGTGTGTCTCCATGTATAATTTCAATAGTTGTTCTAAATATAACATATGCATAACTTATAAGTCTACTGATGTCATCATCTTACCAGTTTGAGTGAGGTGTAGAAACTTGATTTCCTTTTATATTCTTTTATTTCCCTATTTATAATGGTCTTAAATATTTCTTCCTCATACATTTAGAACCACAACAGACAGGGTTTTAAAATTTGTTTCAGGCTGGGCATGGTGGCTCACACCAGTAATCACAGCACTATGGGAGGCTGAGGCAGGCGGATGACTTAAGGTCAGGAGTTCAAGAACAGCGTGGCAAACATAGCAAAACCCCCATCTCTACTAAAAATACAAAAATTAACCAGGCATGGTGGTGCATGCCTGTAATCCCAGCTACTCGGGAGGCTGAGGCAGGAGAATCACTTGAACCCAGGAGGCAGAGTTTGCAGTGAGCTGAGATTGTCCCACTGCACTCCCAGCCTGGGTGATGGAGTGAGACTTCATCTCAAAAAAAAGGTAAAATAAAATAAATAAAAAACATAAAATGTGTTTCAATTCCCAAATATAATTTAGAAAACTCAAGGCAAGAAAAGTCTCTTGTTTCTACCCATGTGTTGCTTATTTTTGCATTTTCTTTTCTTCTTGCTGATGCACCAAGTTTCCTTCTTTTATCACCTTTCTATTTACAGAAACTCCTCTGGTCTTTCTTTTAGGCTATGCCACTTATGACAAATTATCTTCCTTTCCCTTCATCTGAGAATGTCTTGATTTCCCCTTTATTCCTGAAAGATATCTTCATTAGGTATAGGATTCTGTGTTGACAGTTCTTTTCTTTCAGCACTTGAAAAATATTGTGCCACTTACTTCTTGACTCCACGGTCTCTGATAAGAAATCTGCTGTCATTCAAATTATTTCTCCCCATAGGTAAAGTGTTGTTTTTCTTTTTACTGCCTTCAAGATGTCTTCACTTTTTTAGTTTTCAGAAACTTAATTATGATGCTTCTTGGTGTGGGATTCTTTGGGTTTATCCTATTTGAGGCTTTCTCACCTTTTTGAGTCTGTAGCTAATGCCTCTTGCCAAATTTGGAATGATTTCAACCATTATTTTTTATCTGTCTTTTTTCTCTCATTCTGGGACTCCAGTGATATGAATGTTGGATATTTTGTTATAGTCCCACAGGTCCTTGACGCTCTGTTCACTTTTTTCAGTCATTTTCTGTGTTGTCCAGATTGAATAATTTCTGTTGTTGTGTTTTATAGGTCTTTGATTCTTTCCTCTATTATGCTATTGAGCCCATTCACTGAGTTTGTATTTTAGTTTATGTGTTTTCAGTTCTGAAATTTCTATTTATTTCTTTACACCTTCCATTTCTTTACTGAGACTTTCAGTTTATTTGCTGAGCCTTTTTGTTTTTTCATTCGTTCCAGTAATGTTCATAACTGTTCACTGAAGGATCTGATAGCTGCTTTAAATCTTTGTCAGATAATACCAGCATCTCAGTATTAGCATCATCTATTGATCATCTTTTTCCACTAAGTTTGAGACCTTCCTAGTTCTTGGTATGATGCATGCCTTTTTGTTGAAACCTAGACATTTTCAAATTATTTTCAGAAATTCTGGATCTTATTTAAGCCTTCTGTTTTAACTGATTTTTCTGATACCACTCCAGCAGGTGCAAAAGGAGGGGCACTCCATCCCATACCTCTCATTATTGCTAGCTGTAGATGGACGTTCAGGTTTCTACTCAGCTTCTGTTGACACCAAAGGTAGGGAACTTCTTGATACTGCTTGCTGAGTAGTAGTAGGAATACTGGATCTCCACATGGTCTCCACTGAAACTGCAGTAGGGGTGGCCTTGTTAGTCCTGGGTAATGGTGAAAGTCCTGACTCTCCACTCAACCCTTCAGACACCACCCCAGCAGAGAGAGGAAGAAAAACCTTGCTGCTGCCAGGTGAGGGTGTAAGTCCGCACTCCATATATGGTCTCCACTGAAACTGTGGAGGGAGGGGTGAGTGGACTCATTATCAGCCAACAGAGATCAAAGGCCCAGATTACTACTCGGCCTTCTCTGACACCACTCCAGCAGGGATATTGGGGTGCCTCATCACAGCCTTGCCAGAAGGGAAGGCTAGGCCAAAGCTGACCCTTGGTGGCATGGGTGGGGTTGGGCCATGGTTCTTTTCTGTGGTGTTTTGCTGCAGTAGAACAGTTGTTAAAAGTTTTCTGTCTTGTTAGGTTACTTCTGTTCTGGTGTTTTGGCTAGAGAGAGCAGGTTTTTGTTGGAGTTGTGGGGTTTTTTCTGTGCCTGTTGGCATTTCCAGATTACCAACCTTTTCAGCTCCAAGACTGGGGTGGATGAGGCAAAAAGAAAACCCAGAGAACTCACCACCCTATCATTCTCAGATTCTGAGGTGCCTAGCCTGTCTGCCTTCTTCTTTCTACTTTTCAGTCTTCTGGTATTTTACATGTAATGTCCAAGAGCTTTTAATTGGACTTAGTAAGAGAAATAGGGAAAAGCATATCTACTTAATCCTCCCAAAAGCAGAAGTCCAAATTCAGTTTTTAAGAACAGTTAAGACTTTGCCAGACAGACAAGAGTAAGTTACAGAACTATCAGCCTTCTCCCTTCCCAGCCCTTCTCAGCTACAAAAAACAAGGATCGTCAATCTGGAAGCTTAGCTGCAGCCCATCCATATCAAGGTGTGGTTAACATTAGGAGTCCTGTCTACCAGCAGGTAGGGGCTGAAGTTGACCTCACTCTCTTAAGACTCAAAGCCACATGCTCAGGGAAGATCTGCACAACTTAATGTCCACTAAGTACTAGCCTAGCCCATACTAGCCTCTGCCAGGGGTGCCTTCTGCATGGAGTTAACTCATTTCCCTGGGCCTTCACTCCCCAAAGTGCCTGAACTTCCTTTACCAGCCCCTCTGCTTGTAGGTAGGCCTTAGACCTGGTACAATCCCCTCTCCCAGTCACTGGAAATTTCTCTAAACCAAATGGCAGCCCAGCCCAGATTCATAGCTCAGCCACCACGCCTGACTCTGTGTACAGCCTCAATTTCAAGACTCCTGTAATTGCATCCCACTCACCAAACATCAGGGACACTAAGATAATGTCAGCGCATGTGTCTTGAGCTCACCACACAAGCCTCATCCTTTCCCCAAAAGCCCATCTCAAACAAACAAGTTGAAGAGAAAAATGCATACTGTTTATATTTTTAAACCACAAAAAAGATTGTACTTTCAATATTGCCAACGTGTGTTTGTGTGTGTAGTGAATGCTTATAGAAAAGCCCTGATGCTGTTTGGATGTGTGTTCTCTCCAAATCTCATGTTGAAATGTGATCCCCAATGTTGGAAGTGAGACCTACTGGGAGGTGTTTGGAGCAGGGGGGCGGATCCCTCGTGGATGTCTTGGTGCTGTCCTTGCAGTAACAAGTGAGCTCCCACTTCATTTGTCCAAACAAAAGGTGGTTGTTTAAAAGAGCCTGGCAAGCCAGGTGCAGTGGCTCATGCCTGTAATCCCAGCACTTTTGGAGGCCAAGGCAGGCAGATCACGAGGTCAGGAGATCAAGACCATCCTGGCTAACATGGTGAAACCCCGTCTCTACTAAAAATGCAAAAAATTAGCCGGGCATGGTGGCAGGCACCTGTAGTCCCAGCTACTTGGGAAGCTGAGGCAGGAGAATGGCATGAACCCAGGAGGCAGAGCTTGGAGGCGGAGTTTGCAGTGAGCCAAGACTGCACCACTGCACTCCAGCCTGGGTGACAGAGAGAGACTCTGTCTCAAAAAAAAAAAAAAAGCCTGGCATGGGGTTAACGTATGTTTATTGCAGCACTGTTCACCATAGCAAAGACTTGGAACCAACCCAAATGCCCATCAATGTTAGACGGGCTAAAGAAAATGGGGCACATATACACCATGGAATACTATGCAGCCATAAAAAAGGATGGGTTCATGTCCTTTGTAGGGACATGGATGAAGCTGGAAATCATCATTCTCAGCAAACTAACACAAACCAAACAGAAAACCAAACACCGCATGTTCTCACTCATAATTGGGAGTTGAACAATGAGAACACATGGACACAGGGAGGAGAACATCACACACCGGGGCCTGTCAGGGGGTGGGGGCCTAGGGGAGGGATAGCATTAGGAGAAATACCTAATGCAGATGACGGGTTGATGGGGTGCAGCAAACCATCATCGCACGTGTATACCTATGTAACAAACCTGCATGTTCTGCACATATACCCCAGAACTTAAAGTATAATAATAAATAAATAAATAAATAAGCTTGGCACCTCCTCCCCTCTCTCTTGCTCCCCCTCTTGCCATGCGATATGCCAACTACCTGTTTGCCTTCTGTCATGAGTCCAAGTTTTCTGAGACCCCACCAGAAGCAGATGCCATGCTTCTCATAAAGACGGTAGAACTGTGAGCCAAATAAACCCCTTTTCTTTGTAAATTACCCAGTCTCAGGTATTCCTTTAGAGCAATACAAAATGGACTACCACAAGCCTGGAAGGATAAATACCAAATAGAGTTGGGGCAGGGATTGGAATAAAGGTCCTGAGATTAGGATGGCAGGGCAAAGGGAATTTGAACCTATTCTGCCTATTTTCACAAAGAGAAAGATTTTTGTATGCGTTACTTGTATAATTAAAAATGAATAAATAGTACCAATGTTGGTTTCTTAGTATGACAAATATACCATGGTAAAATAAGCTGTTAACGATTAGGAGAAACTGGGTGACATGGGTATAGAAACTGTTTCCTCTTTGCAAATTTTCTGTAAATCTAAAATTATTCCAAAATAAGATAGTTATTTTAAAAAACAATGAAGATAATTGACAAAAATACAAAAAAGAAAGCATAAATTATAAGATATTTACAATATAACTTCCTATGTAGCCACAAAATATAAATAAATAAAATAATATTCTACCATGGAATGATCCCCAAGGCATATAATCGAAAGGAAAAAAACCGTCTCAGAAAAATGCATATGGTGTAATCCCAATTATATACAAAATGAAATAGAGTCTGTGAATACGTCTGCTATATAAATTAGTATAAAAAATTTGAGAGTCCATATCCTTAACTAGGCGAACTTCCATTAAGAACCACATAGCAGAGATGGGTTCCAAGATGGCCGAATAGGAACAGCTCCAGTCTACAGCTCGCAGCATGAGCAACGCAGAAGACGGGTGATTTCTGCATTTCCAACTGAGGTACCAGGTCCATCTCACTGGGTCTTGTCAGACAGTGGTGCAGGACAGTGGGTGCAGCCCGCCAAGCGTGAGCCGAAGCAGGGCGGGGCATTGCCTCACCTGGGAAGCACAAGGGGTAGGGAATTCCCTTTCCTAGCCAAGCAAAGCTGTGATGGAAGGCACCTGGAAAATCAGGTCACTCCCACCCTACTGCACTTTTCCAATGGCCTTAGCAAACGGCACACCAGGAGATTATATCCCACGCATGGCTCGGAGGGTCCCATGCCGACGGAGCCTCCCTCATTGCTAGCACAGCAGTCTGAGATTGAGCTGCAAGGTGGCAGAGAGGCTGGGGGAGGGGCACCCACCATTGCTGAGGCTTGAGTAGGTAAACAAAGCTGCGGGGTAGCTCAAACTGGGTGGAGCCCACCACAGCTCAAGGAGGCCCGCCTGCCTCTGTAGACTCCACCTCTGGGGGCAGGGCATAGCTGAACAAAAGGCAGCAGAAACCTCTGCAGACTTAAATGTCCCTGTCTGACAGCTTTGAAGAGAGTAGTGGTTCTCCCAGCACAGAGTTTGAGATCTGAGAAGGTACAGACTGCCTCCTCAAGTGGTTCCCTGACCCCCAAGTAGCCTAACTGGGAGGCACCCCCCAGTAGGGGCAGACTGACACCTCACACGGCCGGGTACGCCTCTGAGAGGAAACTTGCAGAGGAACGATCAGGCAGCAACATTTGCTGTTCTGCAATATTCGCTGTTCTGCAGTCTCCGCTGCTGATACCCAGGCAAACAGGGTCTGGTGTGGACCTCCAGAAAACTCCAACAGACCTGCAGCTGAGGATCCTGACTGTTAGAAGGAAAACTAACAAACAAAAAGGACATCCACACCAAAACCCCATCTGTACGTCACCATCATCAAAGACCAAAGGTAGATAAAACCACAAAGATGGGGAAAAAACAGAGCAGAAAAACTGAAAATTCTAAAAATCAGAGTGCCTCTCCTCCTCCAAAGGAACGCAGCTGCTCACCAGCAATGGAACAAAGCTGGACAGAGAATGACTTTGACGAGCTGAGAGAAGAAGGCTTCAGAAGATCAAACTTCCCCAAGCTAAAGGAGGAAGTTCGAACCCATCGCAAAGAAGTTAAAAGCCTTGAAAAAAGATTAGATGAATGGCTAACTAGAATAACCAATGCAGAGAAGTCCTTAAAGGACTTGATGGAGCTGAAAACCATGGCACAAGAACTACATGATGAATGCACAAGCTTCAGCAGCCAATTCAATCAACTGGAAGAAAGGGTATCAGCCACTGAAGATCAAATGAATGAAATGAAGTGAAAAGAGAAGTTTAGAGAAAAAAGAAACGAACAAAGCCTCCAAGGAATATGAGACTATGTGCAAAGACCAAATCTACGTCTGATTGGTGTACCTGAAAGTGACGGGGAGAATGGAACCAAGTTGGAAAACACTCTTCAGGATATTATCCAGGAGAACTTCCCCAACCTAGCGAGGCAGGCCAACATTAAAATTCAAGAAATACAGAGAACGCCACAAAGATACTCCCTGAGAAGAGCAACTTCAAGACACATAATTGTCAGATTCACCAAAGTTGAAATGAAGGAAAACATGTTAAAGGCAGCCAGAGAGAAAGGTCGGGTTACCCACAAAGGGAAGCCCATCAGACTAACAGCTGATCTCTCGGCAGAAACTCTACAAGCCAGAAGAGAGTGGGGACCAATATTCAACATTCTTAAAGAAAAGAATTTTCAAACCAGAAATTCATATCCAGCCAAACTAAGCTTCATAAGTGAAGGAGAAATAAAATACTTTACAGACAAGCAACTGCTGAGAGATTTTGTCACCACCAGGCCTGCCCTAAAACAGCTCCTGAAGGAAGCACTAAACATGGAAAGGAACAACTGGTACCAGCCACTGCAAAAACATGCCAAATTGTAAAGACCATCGATGCTAGGAAGAAACTGCATCAACTAACGAGCAAAATAACCAGCTAATATCATAATGACAGGATCAAATTCACACATAACAATATTAACCTTAAATGTAAATGGGCTAAATGCTCCAATTAAAAGACACAGACTGGCAAATTGGAAAGAGTCAAGACCCATCAGTGTGCTGTATTCAGGAAAACCATCTCACGTGCAGAGACACACATAGGCTCAAAATAAAGGGATGGAGGAAGATCTACCAAGCAAATGGAAAACAAAAAAAGGCAGGGGTTGCAATCCTAGTCTCTGATAAAATGGATTTTAAACCAACAAACATCAAAAGAGACAAAGAAGGCCATTACATAATGGTAAAGGGATCAATTCAACAAAAAGAGCTAACTATCCTAAATATATATGCATCCAATACAGGAGCACCCAGATTCATAAAGCAAGTCCTTAGAGACCTAGAAAGAGACTTAGCCTCCCACACAATAATAATGGGAGACTTTAACACCCCACTGTCAACATTAGACAGATCAACGAGACAGAAAGTTAACAAGGATATCCAGGAATTGAACTCAGCTCTACACCAAGCGGACCTAATAGACAACTACAGAACTCTCCACCCCGAATCAACAGAATATACATTCTTCTCAGCACCACACCACACCTATTCCAAAATTGACCACATAGTTGGAAGTAAAGCACTCCTCAGCAAATGTAAAAGAACAGAAATTATAACAAACTGTCTCTCAGACCATAGTGCAATCAAACTAGAACTCAGGATTAAGAAACTCACTCAAAACCGCTCAACTACATGGAAACTGAACATCCTGCTCCTGAATGACTACTGGGTACATAACGAAATGAAGGCAGAAATAAAGATGTTCTTTGAAACAAACGAGAACAAAGACACAACATACCAGAATCTCTGGGACACATTTAAAGCAGTGTGTAAAGGGAAATTTATAGTACTAAATGCCCACAAGAGAAAGCAGGAAAGATCTAAAATTGACACCCTAACATCACAATTAAAAGAACTAGAGAAGCAAGAGCAAACACATTCAAAAGCTAACAGAGGGCAACAAATAACTAAGATCAGAGCAGAACTGAAGGAGATAGAGACACAAAAAATCCTCCAAAAAAATCAATGAATCCAGGAGCTGGTTTTTGAAAAGATCAACAAAATTGATAGACCGCTAGCAAGACTAATAAAGAAGAAAAGAGGCAAATAGATGCAATAAACAATGATAAAGGGGATATCACCACCAATCCCACAGAAATACAAACAACCATCAGAGAATACTACAAACACCTCTACGCAAACAAACTAGAATATCTAGAAGAAATGGATAAATTCCTGAACACATACACCCTCCCAAGACTAAACCAAGAAGAAGTTGAATCTCTGAATAGACCAATAACAGGATCTGAAATTGAGGCAATAATTAATAGCTTACCAACCAAAAAAAGTCCAGGACCAGACGGATTCACAGCCGAATTCTACCAGAGGTACAAGGAGGAGTTGGTACCATTCCTTCTGAAA
The DNA here is from genome assembly GCF_000001405.40 of Homo sapiens. Taxonomy (NCBI): domain Eukaryota; kingdom Metazoa; phylum Chordata; class Mammalia; order Primates; family Hominidae; genus Homo; species Homo sapiens. The sequence continues at coordinate 41,803,840 of NC_000020.11, read as the reverse complement.
CTATTCCAATCAACAGAAAAAGAAGGAATCCTCCCTAACTCATTTTATGAGGCCAGCATCATCCTGATACCAAAGCCTGGCAGAGACACAACAAAAAAAGAGAATTTTAGACCAATATCCCTGAAGAACATTGATGCAAAAATCCTCAGTAAAATACTGGCAAACCAAATCCAGCAGCACATCAAAAAGCTTATCCACTGTGATCAAGTGGGCTTCATCCCTGGGATGCAAGGCTGATTCAACATACACAAATCAATAAATGTAATCTAACATATAAAGAGAACCAAAGACAAAAACCACATGATTATCTCAATAGATGCAGAAAAGGCCTTTGACAAAATTCAACAGCCCTTCATGCAATAACTTAGGTATTGGTGGGACATACCTCAAAATAATAAGAGCTATTTATGACAAATCCACAGCCAATATCATACTGAATGGGCAAAAACTGGAAGCATTCCCTTTGAAAACTGGCACAAGACAGGGATGCCATCTCTCACCACTCCTATTCAACAGTGTTGGAAGTTCTGGCCAGGGCAATCAGGCAGGAGAAAGAAATAAAGGGTATTCAATTAGGAAAATAGGAAATCAAATTGTCCCTGCTTGCAGATGATGTGATTGTATATTTAGAAAACCCCATCATCTCAGCCCAAAATCTCCTTAAGCTGATAAGCAACTTCAGCAAAGTCTCAGTATACAAAATCAATGTGCAAAAATCACAAGCATTCTTGTACACCAATAACAGACAAACAGAAAGCCAAATCATGAGTGAACTCCCATTCACAATTGCTTCAAAGAGAATAAAATACCTAGGAATCCAATTTACAAGGGATGTGAAGGACCTCTTCAAGGAGAACTACAAACCACTGCTCAACAAAATAAAAGAGGACACAAACAAATGGAAGAACATTCCATGCTCATGGATAGGAAGAATCAATATCGTGAAAATGGCCATACTGCCCAAGGTAATTTATAGATTCAATGCCATCCCCATCAAGCTACCAATGACTTTCCTCACAGAATTGGAAAAAACTACTTTAAAGTTCATATGGAACCAAAACAGAGCCCACATTGCCAAGTCAATCCTAAGCCAAAAGAACAAAGTTGGAGGCATCACGCTACCTGACTTCAAACTATACTACAAGTCTACAGTAACCAAAACAGCACGGTACTGGTACCAAAACAGAGATATAGACCAATGGAACAGAACAGAGACCTCAGAAATAATAGCCATCTACAACTATCTGATCTTTGACAAACCTGACAAAAACAAGAAATGGGGAAAGGATTTCCTATTCAACAAATGGTGCTGGGAAAACAGGCTAGCCATAAGTAGAAAGCTGAAACTAGATCCCTTCCTTACACCTTATACAAAAATTAATTCAAGATGGATTAAAGACTTACACGTTAGACCTAAAACCATAAGAACCCTAGAAGAAAACCTAGGCAATACCATTCAGGACATAGGCATGGGCAAGGACTTCATCTCAAAAACACCAAAAGCAATGGCAACAAAAGCCAACATTGACAAATGGGATCTAATTAAACTTAAGAGCTTCTGCACAGCAAAAGAAACTACCATCAGAGTGAACAGGCAACCTACAGAATGGGAGAAAATTTTTACAATCTACTCATCTGACAAAGGGCTAATATCCAGAATCTACAAAGAACTCTAACAAATTTACAAGAAAAAAACAACCCCATCAAAAAGTGGGTGAAGGATATGAACAGACACTTCTCAAAAGAAGACATTTATGCAGCCAAAAAACACATGAAAAAATGCTCATCATCACTGGCCATCAGAGAAATGCAAATCAAAATCACAATGAGATACCATCTCACACCAGTTAGAATGGCAATCATTAAAAAGTCAGGAAACAACAGGTGCTGGAGAGGATGTGGAGAAATAGGAACACTTTTACACTGTTGGTGGGACTGTAAACTACTTCAACCATTGTGGAAGTCAGTGTGGCAATTGCTCAAGGATCTAGAACTAGAAATACCATTTGACCCAGCCATCCCATTACTGGGTATATACCCAAAGGATTATAAATCATGCTGCTATAAAGACACATGCACACGTATGTTTATTGCAGCACTATTCACAATCACAAAGATTTGGAACCAACCCAAATGTCCAACAACGATAGACTGGATTAAGAAAATGTGGCACATATACACCATGGAATACTATGCAGCCATAAAAAATGATGAGTTCATGTCCTTTGTAGGGACATGGATGAAGCTGGAAACGATCATTCTCAGCAAACTATCGCAAGGAGAAAAAACCAAACACTGCATGTTCACACTCATAGGTGGGAACTGAACAATGAGAACACTTGGACACAGGAAGCGGAACATCACACACCGGGGCCTGTTGTGGGGTGGGGGGAGCGGGGAGGGATAGTATTAGGAGATATACCTAATATAAATGACAAGTTAATGGGTGCAGCACACCAACATGGCACACGTATACATATGTAACAAACCTGCACGTTGTGCACATGTACCCTAGAACTTGAAGTATAATATAAAAAAAAAAAAAAAAATATATATATATATATATATATATATATATATATATGAACCACACAGCAAATATTTTCAGCTTCGTGAGGCTTTGTCACAACTATTCAACTTTGCAATTGCAGGAGGAAAGCAGCCATAGATAATGTGTAACTGAAAGGATGTGGCTGTGTTCCAATGAAACTTTACTTACAGAAACACTCTGTGGGATAGATTTGTCCTATGGACATAGTTTGCCAACCCCTGTTTTAACTTGTTAGCAGAGTAAGAGGCAAATTATTTATTGCTAAAATAAATTGCCAAAAAAACTTGTATTAATGTATTATTTGTATTAAAAATAATATCAATAAAAAGAATGTCCTAATGCAGTTTTGGCATAAAGCTGTGTTTAGTAAATTTTGCTCCTTCTCCTACTCTTCATCCACCACCATCCTGCAGCTGAAATCCCCACATGCCTGGATGTTTAACCTGCTAAGTTGTTACAATTACTTGATCCATGCAACCCAAGGTGCGATTCAGTTTTGAGATTAGGAACCAGCTGCCCCGCAGTGGGAAACAAGAATGCAGCAGGTGCCACAGCTCAACATTGAAATGAGTTCTGACTCCCTTATCTGCTTTCCCCTTTCACAGAGGCTCACGGGAGGCCCAGCCAGGTACAGGAGTCTCCCAGAAATCTCTGGGCCCTCTCAAGGAGAATGACAGAGGAGTGTGTTAATTGACAACCAGGCAGAGTGACAGTTATGTTTGTGAATGATTTGCAAATTGCATTCTAGTGGAGCTTATTAGAGGACCCATTAATAGTACAACAGTACATTACTTTCTGAAATTCTGATCTAAGCAGAAAATTAAAATTATTTGCTAAATGACCTAGTAAAATTGAATAAAATGTGCTGAGAAAATGAAAACCACAATAGATCATCCTGCAGAATTTGGGTAAAAATACTATCTTTTGCCTCTCATTGAGAGACAGTGCTTTGCCTTTTGAATGACCTGGCACGTGACTCAAAGCCTCAGTGATCCCACCTGCAGAATGACTCACTAGGCCAGGAGGGCGAAACTCAATGCCAGAATAGGCTGATAAGATGGAGCCCACACTCCAGGCTGAAAACCCAGCACCTCTCACACTTTTAAACCACCTAGTTCAGGCCTCACCCATTCTCAGTTGCTTCAACCATTTCAACCACTGTGTAACTGACCTGCCCGTCCCCTGACTACCCACTCCAGCATGGTTGCCACAATTTCTTCATAATGCTTCTTCCAAAATGCATGTCTGACTTTGTAATACTCCTTCTTAGAAAATTCTCAGGAATACTCTATTGCTCAGAGATCCAAACTCTATAAACAGTGATTCTCTAAGTATGGTCCCTAAACTAGCATCATCATCATCTGGGCAGTTAGAAATGCATGGTTTTTGCTTTTTTTTGTTTTTGCTTTTTGAGGCAGAGCCTCACTCTGTCGCCCAGGCTGGAGTGCAGTGGTGCAATCTGGGCACACTGCAACCTCTGCCTGCCAGGTTCAAGTAATTCTCATGTCTCAGCCTCCCAAGTAGCCGGGACCACAGGCATGAACCACCATGCCCAGCTGCTATTTTGTATTTTTAGTAGAGACGGGGTTTTACCATGTTGGCAAAGCTTGTCTCAAACTCCTGGCCTCAAGTGATCTGCCTGCCTCGGCCTCCCAAAGTGCTGGGATTACAGGCGTGAGCCACCATGCCCAGCCAGAAGTGCATGTTTTCTAACCTACTGAATCAGAAGCTCTCGAGATGGGACCCAGCAATCTGGGTGTCCACAGCCCTCTCAGTGATTCTGATGCATGCTCAAGTTTGAGAATCACTGCTCTCTAGTATGACACATCTGTAGCATGACACAAAAGAAATGCTGCAGTGTGGTCTTGATTTTCCTGATTTCCTGTGCTCACTCTCACCTACCCCAGCTTCCCTCCATACTCAGCTACACGGCTTCTTGACCCATCCAAAACAACTGGCGGTTTGTACATGCTGCTCCCTCTGCTGGAAATGCTCCCCTCCTTGGCTTGGTGAGTACCACATCCTTCAAAGAGCCAGCATTAAAACATCCATTGATTTTCCCATTTGAAAGGCTTACCTTGCTTGTATCAGTCCCAAAGTTAGCTATTTAGCTGGTCTGAAGAGCAGCTTTTCCTGACAGCCCCCAGGGAGGTAATTTTCTTCCTCATCAGTCCCCACTTTAGCTTTCTGCATTTCCGTTAATGTCTGTTTAGACTGGCTGCCTTGCTCAACTGTGAGGAACTGGGGCCAAAATGACATTTTCTCAGGAGTTCACATTGAACCTGGGAGGCAGTTAGTGCTTAGAAAACACTTGTATAAAAAAGGATCTTATGAACTTGAATGTATAGGGAAAGTCTCTAAAATGTACTCCAATTCACAGACACATTTGGTTTTTCATGCTTTCAAAGAAAAGCATATTCAAAACAGCAACCTTCCCCTCCCCCACCCTACCAAATGGTAGCGGTTCGACTCCATGCGTTGCACACAAATGATCACACTCACACGTGTTTTTAGCATAAGCTAACCGTTCACTTAGCTGGAAAAGATGTGAGTACAGAGGTGTTGCCAACCAGCATAGGCAGGGATTCCAGCAGCTAGCAGAGGCCCAGATGTTCAGCAGTCATCCCTTCTGGGTGTGTGAGGCTCAGGTGATATATTTATCAACATAGGACACATCTGAGCTCATTCTGCTTAACAAAAGTCTAACAGGAAGCACCTACACTCATTTAACTCGTTAATCTCTTTGAGACGCTAATGCTCCTCCTGAAGAACATGCCTGGAAGATGAACCCTAAAACCTTTGAATTAGCACCAACTCTAAACTCTCAACTGTGGGCCCCAAGGGATGACCTGGAAGAGTCTGTGGGGGCCGAAAACCATGGTCTTAGAGCTAAGAAACCTCGAAAGCCACGTAGTCAAATTCCCAGCTAATAACCTGAAATGCCCCAGACAGCATCCTCAACAAGCTATTGGCAACCTCAGCAGGCACCAAAGCTCATAATCATCCCAAAAGTTAAGGCTTGGCATTGTGTCCTGATTGTTCTCGAACGTCACATTCTTTGAGCTATGAGAGGAAATTGTAAATATCATTTAATTTAGTGGTTATGGATGCAGAGATCCCTGAGCTACTGTTTTTATTTCAAAAAAGACCAAAGAAAATTAGGTATTTGCCATAAATCAGTCTACCCAGGCTACTATTTAAATACACATTGTATTTCTGGGGAAAAAATAATCCCTCAAAATCATGGTGCCCACCAAAAGGAAAGCTGATTGAAGGAGGCCCACTGTCCTAAAAAGATAGACACCAGTGACTTGTCTCTTTTTAGGGATGAGGAAAGCCCAGAGAGGGCAAGTGACTTGCCCACATACTCACAGCTAGATGAAGTAGCAAGTGGCAAGAACTCAGGTCTCCTATCTCCTAGCCTGGTGCTTTTTCAACAATACACCAGTTATCATTCATGAAATTAGTGAACCCATAGGAGAGGGGTTCTCAAAGAGTGGTCCCTGGGCCAGCGGCATCAGCAACCCCTGGGAATGTGTTACAAATGCAGATTTGGAGGCTCATCCCCAAACTGCTAAATCAGAAATTCATGATGCAGCCCCACAATTGGTGTTTCAACAAGTCCTTCAGGTGATTCTCATGCACTGAAGAGCTTAAGAACCACTGCCATAGAGAAAGAATACCTTTTCTAGGTCCACACTGAAGGGAGGAGCACCTGGCGGTAGCATTAGCTGAACAAATCAGAGATTGCAATTTGCAAGCCAGAAGTCCTCTTGGAAGCTTAGTCCAGACTGCCTCCCTGAACAGAAGCCCCCTCTATTGCATCCCTGATCGTGATGGTTAATTTTATTTGTCACCTTGGCTGGGCCATGGTACCCAGATATTTGGGCAAATATAAGTCTGGATGTTGTTGTGAATAGGTATTTTAGATGAGATTAACATTTAAATCAGACTGTGAGTAAAGCAGATTACCCTCCATAATGTGAGTGTGTCTCATGGGGAGTTCCATAGGATCCCTTCACAGAGAAAAAGAAAATAATCCTGATTTACAGATGGTTCTGCACGATATGCAGGCATCACTTGGAAATGGACAGCAGCAGTGCTACAGCCCCACTCTGGGACATCCCTGAAGCACAGTGGTGAAGAGAAATTCTCTCAGTGGGCAGAACTTCAAGCAGCACACGTGGTTGTTCATTTCACTTGGAAAAAGAAATAGTCAGATGTGTGGCTGGGTACTGATTCATGGGCTGTGACCAATGGTTTCGCTATAAGGTAAGGGACTTGACCATGATTGGAAAATAGGACAAGGTCTGGAGAAGAGGTATGTGGATAGACCTCTCTGGATTGGCAAAAAATGTTAAAGGAATTATGTCCCATTTGAATACTCATCAAACAGTGGCCTCAGCAGACGAAGATTGTAATAGTCAAGTGGATTGGATAACCCATTTTGTGGCTACTAGTCAGCCTCTTTCCCAAGACACCCCTGATATTGCCCAACAGGCTCATGAACTAAGTGGTCATGGTAGCAGAGATGGAGGTCACGCACAGACCTAGCAACATGGACTTCCACTCGGTAAGACTAACCTGGCTATGGCTATCACTGCATACCCAGTCTGCCAGCAACAGAGACCAACACTGACTCCCCAGATGGCATCATTTCCCAGGGAGATCAGCCAGCTACCTGGTGACAGGCTGATTACACTGAACCCCTTCCACCACAGAAGAGGCAGAATTGTTTCTTATTGGAATAGAAACTTATTTTTGATACAAATTTGCCTTCCCTACATGCAGTGCTTCTGCCAAAACTACCATCCATGGGTTTACAGGATGTATCATCCACCATCATGGTGTTCCACGCAGCACTGCTTCTGATCAGGGAACTCACTTCCCACACTCATGAAATTCACTGGTTTAACCATGTTTCCCACCATTCTAATGCAGTTGGCTTGACAGAATAGTAGAATGAACTTTTGAAGGTTTAGTTACAGCCCCAGCTAGGTGACAATACCTTGCAAGGCTAGGGCAGGGTTCCCCAGGAGGCTGTAGAAGCTCTGAATCAGTGTCCAATATATGGTGCTGTTTCTCCCATAGCCAGAATTCATGGGTTCAGGAATCCAGGAGTGGGAATGAGAGTGACGCCACTCACGATTTCCCCTAGTGACCCACTATCAAAATTTTTGCTTGTTTCTGCAACCTTATGCTATGCTGGCCTAGAGGTCCTGGTTCTAAGGGGAGGAACACTTTCATCAGGAGACCCAACAATCCTGTTGAACTAGAAGTTAAAACCGCTACTCTGGGATTCTCCTGCCTCTGAAGCAACAGCAAGTAAGAAAGTTACTATGCTGGCTGGGCTGATTAATCCTGACTACCAAGGGGAAATCGGACTGCTATTCCACAATGTAGGTAAGGAAGAGTGTGTTTGGAATATAAGAGATTCCTGAGAGCATCACTTAGTATTATCATGCCTTGTGATTAAAGTCAGTGCAAAACTGTAACAACCCCATCCTAGGACTAATGACCTGGACCCTTCAGAAATGAAGGTTAGAGTCACCCCAGCAAGTCAAAAGCCACAACTAGCTGAGGTGCTTGTCAAGGGCAAAGGAAATACAGAACGGACAGAAGAAGGTAGTTATAAACACCAGCTGTGACCAGCTATAGAAATGGGAAACATAATTATCATGAGTTTTTATTCCTTATTTTTTATGGAAAGTTTGCATGTATGTAAGAAGCAAATATCTTTGTTTTCTTCCCTTTTTTCTCCCCTTGTCATGTAACGTGTTGACTTTATATCACGGTATTTACGTATTGTTAACTTTACATCATAGTACTTAAGCTACGGGATATCATGAAGAAAAGTATCACTCAAAGACTTTGTATTTTCCGGAGAAAGGGTTAGCATGTTTTCAGTTGCACACAGGACGGTTGTATCATGTTAGGCAGAAGCATAATCTTGTTATTGTCTCTATTTGGAGATTAAAATGACTTACAGAAATGTGAATGGGCACGAAGTTGACAAGGGTAGACTCATGATGGTTAATTTTATATGTTAACCTGGTTAGTCCACAGTACGCAGACGTTTGGTCAAACATCAGTCTGGATGTTACTGTGAAGGTATTTTTCAGATGAGATTTACATTTAAATCAGTAGACCTTGAGTAAAGCAGGTTACCTTCTGTAATGTAAGTGGGCCTCATCCAATCAGTTGAAGGCCTTAAGAAAAAACAGATTGTGGTACCCTGGGGAAGAAGAAATTCTGCCTCCAGACTGTCTTCAAACTCAAGCTGCCATATCAACTATTCCCTGGGTGCCAGGGTAGCCTGGAACCTGCCAGCCTACTCTATAGGTTTTGGGCTTGCCAGCTTCCACAATCATGTGAGTCAATTCCTTAAAATAAATTAGTTTTTAAAATACATCCACACAAACATATTATATTGATTCTGTTTCTCTGGAGAATCCTAATACACTGAGAGATGGCCATTAATCCTTGGCTGGATGCCCCAGGTTGGAAACACCACCTAAGATGCTCTTGCCTTTATTGAAAAATGCTTTGGTTAGAAAGTTCTTTTTCATGGCCAAAAAGGATCTGCTCCTTTAACCTCCACCCTCTACCAATCTCAGCCCTGCATCCTCCAGGTGATCACAAAAGCCCTACAAATCTCACCTTCACTGAAGCCTTCAAGAAACTGCCCCGTGGCTGCCCCAGTCCCATGGAAGAGAAGTCACTGGGAAAAAGTTGCCAAGCCTGTACCTAAATAATCTCCCTTTGGGGAAAGTTCCTTGAAAGGAAGGTAAGGTTGGGGAGAAGGAAGGAGGGAGGGAAGAAAAGAGAGATAGGAGAAAAAGAGGAAAGAAGGAAGAAAGGAAGATGGAAATGCTTCCAAATACCTGCTGTGTATTTTTCATGTAATCCACCAAACACTTTGAGTAGAGATTATTCCCCACCACAGCGAAGATTAGAAAGCAAAAGATCCACAAGGGAAGGTAAATTGGCAGTGGCCATCTTTGTGATACCTCCCTTCTCAAGAGGTCCTTCCCTCAGGCCAGGCGCGGTGGCTCAGGCCTGTAATCCCAGCACTTTGGGAGGCCAAGGCAGGTGGATCACGAGGTCAGGAGTTCAAGACCAGCCTGGCCAACATGGTGAAACCCCGTCTCTACTAAAAATACAAAAATTAGCGGGGCATGGTGGTACATGTCTATAATCCCAGCTACTCGGGAGGCTGAGGCAGGAGAATCACTTGAACCCAGGAGGCGGAGGTTGCAGTGAGCCAAGATCATGCCACTGCACTCTAGCCTGGGTGACAGTGCAAGACTCTGTCTCAAAAAAAAAAAAAAAAAAAAAAAATCCTCCCTCAAGGAAGTCACCAACAGAAGCTTCCAGTTAGCAGCCTAGAAGCTTAACTACTTAATCAGTGGGCTCAGGAAAGACCTGGGAATGGTTCTCATTGGTCTAGCTTAGGTCATATGCTCATTCCTGAACCAATCACTATGGCTAGAAGAATGAAATGTTTTGATTGGCTAGCCCAAGATCATGTGCCCTTGCCTGGTCCAGAGGGTGAGAGCCGCCTCAGTTAAATGGAAAGAGGCAGAGGGATGAGGCCCGCCCCCATTACAATGAAGGAGGTAATGAGTGCTGGAAAAGCAGAAAAAATAAACAATAACGGAATCATGGTCTGAATAAAAGGGATTTCAGCAACACAGTGAATGTCTCCATCCAGTTAAGCTCTATTTAAAAAGTTATATATATATATATATATATATATATATATATATATATACACACATATATATAAATACTCTATATTGAATTATTAAAGTATAATAGTAATTGTTAAGAATGACCCAGAAAGGGAAGGTCTTGGACAATGGTAAGTTTCAACCAGCACAAATTAGTTGTTAGCACCCACAGCTCTGATCTGAAGTGCCTAGCTAGCTCTGTTCTCTTCCCAAAGGGCATATATCCTCCTCCCCTATCCCAGAAGGAAGGTCTAGCCTTTGAGGCTCTTTCCTAGTTATCCTCCCCATGTATATAATCACCCTTTGCAAGTCATATTTTTGATTTCTCAGATGTTTCCAAGATGCTTTATTGGTTAAAGCTCATTGACATGACCTGTTCCTCCATGCTCAACACTGTCTCAGTTATGGCCTCCAGCACCCGCCTGGTTTTTCATGGAAGGTGTCAGTGTTGCACTTTTACAGCTCCAATGCACAGCCTGAAATACATTTTACAGAAACTTCAACCTCACCAAACACCAATTATTCATATCTCGTTACCATATATTTTTAAAGTAATGCACAACTTAGAACATTTAAAACCACGCAGTTCTTTGCATTATGAACACATCCTTACTAACTCACAACTATAAACAATTATACTTAATCTCAGTGTACCCTCTGGGGTTAAGTAGGAAACAACTTTATAATTCTAGATTTATTCTTAGGCTTAAAAAAAAAAACATTCTTGGCATATTTGAGCTCTGAGTTTAGTATTTCTGAACTTCAGGGCAGATTGACAACTAAAGCCCTTACAGAGACTTTTATTTAATCTTTCTTTTCACTAAAATCAGAAGCTTTGTGAATTCCTACCTAAGATGTAGACAAGAGAAGGCATTGGATACCTTCTGATTACTCTTTCTCAGCTTCCTTACCTCATATTTTCTTTGGACAAATTCAGAGAAGAGGAAACAAAGGAGAATAGACAGACTGTATTCATTCATTCATTCATTCATTCAACAGATTTTTTTTGAGTGGCCACTGTGTATGAGGCACTGCGACAGGTCCTGGGTATATGATAGTGAGCAGAAAAGATTCTATCCTTGTAAGGTTTATGGTCTAGTACAAGGATCAGCTGACTATAGCCTATAGGCCAAATCTGGCCTGCCACCAGTTTTTATATGACCCACAAGCTAAGAATGGGTTTTACACTGAAATTGTTGAAAAAAAATCAAAAGAATATTTTGTGACACGTGAAAAGTATGTAAAATTCAAATTTCAGTGTCCACAAATATAGTTTTATTAGAACACGGCCATGCCCATCAATTTACATATTGCCCATGGCTGCTTTCATACAGTAGCAGAGTTGACAGGTTGCAACACAGACCATATGGATCGCAAAGACCAAAATGTTTACTGCCTGGCCCTTTATAGAAAAGGTTTGCCACCCCTGGTCTAGCAGTAAATTGGAGAGGGGCTAGGAAGGAAATGGCTACCTCCTCATAGTGGAATAGAATCAGTATCCCAACCAACAGGTGGAGATGCAATCTACAGAATTTATTTTGCAGTAAGAGGTCTCAAGGTGCTCATCTTTCAGTCAAGGCTTTTGCTGGCTGCTGCTTCTCAGCTTTAACCTGTTTTAACAATAGAAAGTCACACCCTTCTTGTCCATTTGCTAATCAACTATTGACCTCCTCCTCCTCCACCAGCCAGCCAGATCCACTTTGTCCTTCCAGACCTAACTGAAGACCACTTATTTCTAGAGATATTTGATCAAGATCTTAGCAACTTGGAGTACTTTGAACAATTCCAGGGGACACCACTCAGTCCAGCCCACAGTGACCTCTTTCATCACCAAAAACCTATGACATTGGAAATGATGCCACTTAGCATTTAATTGCTAAGCGTTTCCTGCCTTATCTTCTTAAGAGAGTAAGTTCTGGCAACTGTGCCTTACCTATTAATATATCTTCCACAAAAGAGTGGACGCACAGTTTCCTGATTCATTAGTTATGTATATAAGAGTGATGTTGGGATAAGGACTCATCCTAGAGGTGGAAGAATTCAATCCATGCTCTAGTCTCACCATTTAATAACTGCAATATTCTCTCACCCTTTGTTTTCATAGCACTGAAATGGAAACAGTGGCTCCTATCTCACTGGCTTGTGTAAGAATTACTAAAAAACAATGGTTCTCAACCTGGAGGCTTTATCAAAACACAGATTGCTGGGCTCCATGCCCAGAGATTCTGATTCAGTTTTTCTAAGGTAAGGCCTAGGAATTTGCATTTGCTGACACTGCTTGGTCCAGAAGCCTCACTTTGAGAACCACTGCTTAATATAATGTAGCGAAGACACACAGAGGACACATTTTGATTCCCTTGGAAAGAAATGATCTTCATAATGATGACAGAGGTGATGATGACAGTGATGATGATGATAGTGGTAATGCTCACAATGTTCCTAGAGCCTAAATTTTATACCATATGCAAGTTTTTCTATCAAAGTAGTTTCAAATTCTTTCAGACATTGGGAAGATGGGATGCTTTCTGCATAACCACAAGAAAAAATTGATGCACTTAATTCTGTCACACGAGTCAGCAACAACTTTACTACCAGAAAATATGGCTATATTATATGCATGCAGGTTTCTGCATCTCAAAAAAGTAACAATACATAAAACACTCCTTTAAAAATCACATTTTAAAATTTCCCATTAATGTTTATTGTTCATTCATTTTTGGCTCAGTTTAAAGAAAATTTATGGAAGAAAAAGTTAGAATTGAGAAAGTTCTATCCCAAGACCTTGATGTTATTGATGAGTAGGGAAAAGGCCACCATGATGTGATTTTGGTGTTCCCCGTGGGGATCCTTTGAGAGCCACCATGGCATAACTATGACAAGCCAGTGTTGCAGCCTGGTCTCTGTGGGATGTGGCACCTTGGTGAGGCCACCATGGCATTGGTTTCATCCACCACACTGCAGAATGGGAAACACAAAAGTAACTGGATTCTGGAGGAATCCAGAATGTTAATGACCACTCATCTAACTCGCAAGAGCCAGAGGCCATTTTGTGAATTTTGACTGGGAAATGGAAGTGCCAAGGAAAGAAATACCTTTATGTTAGTTGGCCAACACTTTTTCTTCCCTATTGGAAAGATTTTTTAATAAAAAAAAAAATTATAGCAAAAAATATTTCCATTGATGGCCAGGCATGGTAGCTCACACCTGGAATCACAGCACTTTGGGAGGCCAAGGTGGTCAGATCACTTGAGGCCAGGAGTTTGAGACTAGTCTGGCCAACATGGTAAAACCCTGTATCTACTAAAAAAAAAAAAAAAAAAAAAAAAAAAAAAAAAAAAAAAAATTAGCTGGGCATGGCAGCACATGTCTGTGGTCCCAGCTACTGGTAGGCTGAGGCACAAGAATCGCCAGAACCCAGGAGGTGGAGGTTGCAGTGAGCCGAAATTGCACCACTGCACTCAAGCTTGGGCAACAGAGTGAGATTCTGTCTCAAAAAAGCAAACAAAATTTTTTTTTTCCATTGACTGAGCCCACTATGTACATGAAGGAAGTTACCTTGATGCATTTTCTCTCCTCCTCATTTTCTCTCCTCTTCACAGCAATGCTGCCATGTATTTGTTCTATCTTCCATTTTGGAGTGAACAATAGAATCTACTTGGTAAGGTTGTTTATGGATTAAATGAGATAATGCCTGTAAAGTGCTTAACTCAGCAGAGCACACAGTAAAGTGCTTGATAAATGCGTGTTCTTATTGATTCTGAAGCTTGAGAAGGATTCACTATTCTTTGTATAAGCAACAGCAGATTCAAATTTAGCTGTATCATAATATATTGGATTGCTCCTGGTTGCCCTTCCAGGACTAGTCTTCCACCTTCTTTTGTACCAGGGAAGCTAAGTCCTGTGGTTATGTCAAGAGGCTCCCTTGCCCTCTCCTGGGCTTGGCCAGTGGGGAACACCTGCAGAAACTGGGAGAGAGGGAAGGATAAGAGTGAGGTCAGGGCACCTCTTTTCCCAGATCTCTATGCCAAGAACTGAAGCTGACCATGTTGCTGAGCTGAAGCTCTTTACTACTGTGAGACAGGCCTCTCTCCACAGCATGATCTACAGGTTGTAATAACCACTTCTTCCCTCCCACCCTCTTTTTTCCTCCCAACTTTTCCAATTCCCTCTCCCCAGTACTAACCTCAGGATACTGCCTATTCCTTGTGATTTCTCTATACCTTTCCCACATCTTTGAAAAAAATTCCTTTCTCAAACTCTCTTTAAATTATCCAGTTTGAGTGTGCCATTGGTTTCCTGCTAGGACCTAACAGAAGTTCCCCCCCACTTTCCCTGTTGACAGGATCCTTAGTGTCTCCACAATTTTTTTCATGTTCATGATTAACAGAAATACCTCATCTTTAGTTAGAGCTAAACAATTTAATAAGTATGTCCTAACAGTAGCTGATTTTTTAAACAATGCACATATAGTGTTTCTATACACCAATAGTGAACTATCCAGAAAAAAATCAAGAAATCAATCCCATTTATAATCACCACAAAAATAACACCTAGGAATTTTTTTTTAGTCAGGGTCTTGCTCTGCCACCCAGGCTGGAGTGCAATGGCACCATCACGGCTCATTGCAGTCTCAACATCACAGACTCAAGTGACCCTCCCATCTCAGCCTCCTAAGTAGCTAACATTACAGGCACACTCCACCGTGCCCAGGTAATTTAAAAAAAAATTGTAGAAGTGGAAGTCTCACTATGTTGCCCAGGCTAGTCTCAAACTCCTGGGCTGAAGTGATCATCCCACCTCAGCCTCCCACCTAGGAATGAGTTTAACCAAGGAGGTGAAAAAGCTTTACAATGAAAACTATAAAACATTGATGAAAACCTGAAGAAAACATATATAAAGACATCCATGTTCATGGATTGATAGAATATTGTTTAAAATGTTCATACTACCCAAAGCAATCTACACATCCAGTGTAATCCCTATCAAAATACCAATGATGTACTTCACTGAAATATAAAAGTCCTAAAACGTATATTGAACAATCCTAAAATGTATATGGAACCACAAAAGATCCTAAATAGCCAAAGCAATCTGGAGCAAAAAGAACAAAGCTGGAGTCATTACACTTCCTGTCTTCAAAATATACAACAAAGCTATAGTAACCAAATAGCATGGTACTGGCACAAAAATAGATGCACAGACTAATGGAACAGAATGGAGAACCCAGAAATAAACCTACGTACTTACAGCAACTGATTGATAAAAGTGCCAAGAACACACATTGGAGAAAGAACCACTCAACAAATGGTGCTGGGAAAGCTGGATATTCACATGCAGAAGAATGAGACTAGACCCTATTTCTCACCATATACAAAAATCAACTCAAAATGGATTAAAGACTTAAATGTAGATCCTAAAACTATAAGCTATTAGAATAAATCCTCCATGACATTAGTCTGGGCAAAGATTTTTTTGTCAAGAACACAAAAGCACAGGCAACAAAAGCAAAAATAGACAAATGAGATTTCATCAAAATACAAAGCTTCTGCACAGCAAAGAAAACAATCGACACAGTGAAGAGGAAAACTATAGAAATATTTGCAAACTACACATCTGATAAGGGTTAATATCAAGTATATATAAGTAATGCAAAAACCTCAAAAGCCAAAAAACAACATCCAATTTAAAAATGGGCAAAAAGGGCTGGGTGTGGTGGCTCACGCCTGTAATCCCAGCACTTTGGGAGGTCGAGGTGGGTGGATCATATGAGGTCAGGAGTTTGAGACCAGCCTGGCCAATATGGTGAAACCTAGTCTCTACTAAAAATACAAAAATTACCCGGGCATGGTGGCGTGTGTCTGTAATCCCAGCTACTCGGGAGGCTGAGGCAGGAGAATTGCTTGAACCCAGGAGGTGGAGGTTGCAGTGAGCCAAGATGGTGCCGCTGCACTCCAGTCTAGGTGACAGAGCAAGACTCCATCTTAAAAAAAAAAAAAAAAAAAAAAAAAAACCGGTCAAAAAATCTGAACAGGCATCTCTCAAAAGAAGACGTACAAATGACCAACAGGTATATGAAAAAATGTTCAACACTACTAATCATTAGGGAGATGAAATTAAAATCACAATGAGATATCACTTTACCCCAGTTAGAATGGCTATCATCAAAAAGACAAAAGATAACAAATGCTGGCAAGGATCTCAAGAAAGAACTTATACACTGCTGATGAAACAGCAAGTTAGTACAGCAACCATGGAAAACAGTGGGCCGTTCCTCAAAAAATTAAAATAGAACTACCATGTGATCCAGAAATCCCATTACTGGGTATATACCTAAAAGAAAGGAAATCAGAGTATCGAAGAGATAGCTGCACTCCCGTGTTTACTGCAGCACTATTCACAATAGTCAAGATATGGAATCAACCCAAGTGTCCATCAATAGACAGATGGATTTTTTGTAATGTGGTATATATACTCAATGGAATACATTTCAGCCATAAAAAAAAGAATAAAATCCTGCCACTTGTGGCAACGTGGATGAACCTGGAGAATATTGTGTTAAGTGATGTGAGCCAGAAACAGAAAGATAAATACTGCATGATATCACTCATATGCAGCATCTAAAAAAGCTGATCTCATAGAAGCAGGAAGCAGAATAGTGGTTACCAGAAATTGGGGAAGGTAGAAGGAAGAGAAGAAGGGAGAGATAGGTTAATGAGTAGAGAGTCACAGATAGGAGAAATAAGTTCTGGTGTGCTATTTCCCAGAGGGTGGTTATGGTTAACAATGTCATATGCTGTATTTCAAAGTAGCTAGAAAAGAGGATTTTTGAATCTTCTCACCACAAAGAAATGATGAATGTTTGAGATGATGGAAATGCTAGATACCCTGATTTCATCATTATGCAATGTATACATGTATTGAAAATCTCACTGTACTCCATAAATATGTATAATTATGTGTCAAAAAACAATCACATAAATTGATTTAAAAAATATTTTTATTTCATTCTGAAATAACTATAATTACTTAATAATGGGATCTGTATATTTGTTGGGCACTACACAACTTCTTAAACCTTGGAATCAGATTAGACACCATGATCTTCATTGCCTGCTCTACAGTGGTTTACATACCATACTTTATTTTAACCACAGCAATGACTAAAAGCCTCTGTTTGCAAAGACATGATGTCATCAAAAGGAACGTAGCTTAACCTAAAGTTGAAACTGTATTAGCAGAGCTGGTATTACCGTGATGTCCGGAGGATATCAAGTTTCCCTCCAAACGTTAAAAATATCCCATTGCAATTGACAAATGGGATCTAATTAAACTAAAGAGCTTCTGCACAGCAAAAGAAACTACCATCACAGTGAAGAGGCAACCTACAAAATGGGAGAAAATTTTTGCAACCTACTCATCTGACAAAGTGCTAATATCCAGAATCTACAATGAACTCAAACAAATTTACAAGAAAAAAACAAACAACCCCATCAAAAAGTGGGCAAAGAACATGAACAGACACTTCTCAAAAGAAGACATTTATGCAGCCAAAAAACACATGAAAAAATGCTCATCATCACTGCCCATCAGAGAAATGCAAATCAAAACCACAATGAGATACTATCTCACACCAGTTAGAATGGCAATCATTAAAAAGTCAGGAAACAACAGGTGCTGGAGAGGATGTGGAGAAATAGGAACACTTTTACACTGTTGGTGGGACTGTAAACTAGTTCAACCGTTGTGGAAGTCAGTGTGGCAATTCCTCAGGGATCTAGAACTGGAAATACCATTTGACCCAGCCATCCCATTACTGGGTATATACCCAAAGGACTATAAATCATGCTGCTATAAAGACACATGCACAGGTATATTTACTGCGGCATTATTCACAATAGCAAAGACTTGGAACCAACCCAAATGTCCAACAATGATAGACTGGATTAAGAAAATGTGGCACATATACACCATGGAATTCTATGCAGCCGTAAAAAATGATGAGTTCATGTCCTTTGTAGGGACATGGATGAAATTGGAAAACATCATTCTCAGTAAACTATCGCAAGAACAAAAAACCAAACACCGCATATTCTCACTCATAGGTAGGAATTGAACAATGAGATCACATGGACACAGGAAGGGGAATATCACACTCTGGGGACTGTTGTGGGGTGGGGGGAGGGGGAGGGATAGCATTGGGAGATATACCTAATGCTAGATGACGAGTTAGTGGGTGCAGTGCACCAGCATGGCACATGTATACATATGTAACTAACCTGCACAATGTGCACATGTACCCTAAAACTTAAAGTATAATAAAAAAAAAAGAAAAAAAAATATCCCATTGCACCCTCTAAGTTTACTGAGGTGCTCTCAGCACAGAGTTTGGGAATCATGGACATAGCATCATTCTCACTCTGTTGCATTCTGATATGCTTTTTCTGAGCAGTAAAGAAAGAGGAGAATTTGTGGCCAGCTTGACAGGAATTGTACCCGGGAGTAGGGTCATCTGTACCAAAGAGCTACTCCACACCTGGCTGACCCCCATCCATTGAATTTGACTTCTCATGATCTTTTTACATGTGATCTTGGCTTTCAATCCTGGGAGAAGCCCCTCCACCCCCATTTGGGGCCAGTCAGGCCCTCTTCTTCTATCTACAGAGAGGCTGAAATGGTTGCAGCCCTGTCCTTCCTCATATGTCTCTGTCTCTGGGAGAAAAGCCAAGCCACAACTTGGCTCTTTTATTCACTGTTCTGAACTTTTTTTTTCTCTTGGTCTCTTATCTCCTCTGTTCAAAGCCAATGTCTATTGCCACTTTGCAGCCAACATGGCCAGAGATGAAAGATTCTGTCATTATTTTCCCTACATAACAAATCACAAAGCTGTTTTATCCCATTCCATGATTGCCTCTGCTTCAAGACTCATTGTTTCTAACTATCAGAGGCACATATGAATTTCCTCTTTATGCCTTTTCTCTTCCATTCCCTGCAAACACTTAGCCATTTATTCATTTTTATCAACACAAACATCAGTAACACTTCGGAATAATCGGCTCCTCTATGATAGCTCATTTATTATTCATTGCAATAACCTTCAACTCACTCCACATCAATAAAGCAGAGAGAGAACCAGCTCTGCCCTCCCACACATGGGCTGGGTGTGCACTCTCAGGGCTGCTATAGGAAGCCTCTGTCCACAGCACCAGCAGGATGCCCAGATCCTGCCTTACCGTCATGTACTCCCAGGTGTTTCTGGAAATCGCTGAAATCAAACAGGCTGTCAGGAGCTCAGGGCAAACTACCCAACACACACACACTTCTTATTATTCGAACTAAAATAAGCCTAAAAAGAGGGGGCTTTTGTGTCAGCCTGAGCTTGAATCCCAACTGTACTATTCACAAGCAGGTGACTTATTCTCTTTGAATCTTAGTTTCTGCATCTCCAGAATGAGGCTATGATTACCTGCCTCCGAGGCCTGTTACACAGTGAGTAAATAAACTATGTGGACTGCGTAATGCTGGCACATGGTAGGCACATTAGTGTCATTAGGGACTATGAGTCCTCCCACATGCTGTAGCTCAGTTTGCAGGCTTTGCAGTAACAGAGATTGCAAAGAGCTTGCACACATGGACTTTCAAGCTAGACATTGAGCTTACTGGCACAAGTTTCTTCACTTCCTGGGTCACTGTCCTTGTACAAGTGACTGAAACCTCTCTAAGCCTCTATTAAAAAGCGGCTAATAACCCTCCTGCATACAGTTGTTATGAAGGTTAATAAATGTCTTAGTGCATGGAAAACATTAACACATTACCTGGGGCATGCATTTGCTAAGTACATCACAAATGCCTAATGAGCTGTTTTTATAACCATTGTTAATATTTGCCAAAATTTCAGGCCATACCTGTCTGGGAGTAAAAGTGAGTCACAGTCTCACCACTCAGTTTCTCACTTTGACTATATACACGACAGTGACTATATAGAGACCATATGAACTACTATATAAACTACTGAAGAAGATTTAGGTCTTCAAAGTTTCCCCTGTACCGGGTGGTGTCCCCCGGAATTACACCCAGGTATCTCAGCTACGTCCTATTTCAGTTCTGTCTCTAGCTGCAGATGAGGTCTGCTACAGAGACTTCTAAGGCTGGCAAAGCCTTACAGAGGGGTGCAATATTGCCCGTAACACAGACTTCTTTTCTTCTAAACACCTTTTAGGTGTTTGGCTTAGAAGCCACATTGTGTCAGAGCCATGGGGTATGGAAGGTGCCCCTCAGGGGTAAGCCACCAGCATGGCACTTTCCATACATGGGGGAGACCCCCATACCCTTCCCCACTGGGCCACAGGCCAAAGTTGAGGCACCTGTGAGACCCACCACTGGCTCCCAGCATCTCCTGGGGTTCAGGTGAACCTTCCCCTTCAGCACAGCCTGCTCATGCTCTGTTTTCTCCTCCATCCCTGCCTCTACTGCATTCTGCTGATTCCCTGTCAATGTGCTTATCCCCTAAAAATATGGGTATCCATGTAAGCAGCACACAGACAGGCAAAGTGAGGCACTGCAGAATGTGGAGGGGAAAGAGAATTTGAGACCAGGAATAGCACGGATCACAGCACAAGAAGAAATGTTGGCTCACTTCCCAGGTTCCCTCCAACCCCTATTTCTAGCCAATCTTGGTGAGTTGGGCAGAGGAGGCCCCGGGAGCATCACAGGCCACTCTCATGTTAAGGTTGCTCAAAACTAGAAGGTGCCTAGAAGAACTTTAATGACCTCATTTAACCTTAGTTATTACCTCTTTGAAGATTCTACATCAGAGTATGTAATCACATTCTGAGGTCCTGGGGGTTAGGACTTTAACACATGAGTTTTAAGAAGACACGGTTCAGCCATAACAATAGGCAAAGCACTTTGAGGTGAGGAGTCTCTGGAGATTACAGGCCTCTCTGCACAACCTGCAAAATGAGCATGTGTCTGATTCTGTCGCATGAACACACAACATAACCTGTTCATCAGCACAGGGATCTCACCTCCATCCTGCCACCCAGTGAGGCCCTTCCTGTCAAAACCCCTGTCTCATCTCTCACTTAGCTTGCACTCCCGTCAGGAACAGCAGGAGAGACACCTGAAGAGCATCAGGGAGGATGTGAGGAAAACTGTCATTCCCCTACCCATGTGACACCCGCCCACCTGCCTCTGTGCAGGGCCCTCCCTGGGAATAGAGGGCACTCCAGGGGGGTGGCATAGGTGGGGCACAGGTGGCTTGAATAAAGGAAGCATCTCTGAGGGTACAGGGCAAGCCTCACTACCATTGCCATCCCTATGGGGACAGCATAGCTGTTCCCAGTGTGGCAGGGTGGGACAAGCAGGCCTCACAGAACTGGGCCTCTTAGGCTGGTGACAGTGCTCCCACACTCCCCAGTGGGGGGCTACGAGTTTGGACATAATTACAGCAGTGATTATAATTGTGATGACCTTTGGACAGAGTGCTGGAAAAGGATTTTATAATAAGGTGTTGATGAGGCTGAACAAGGAGTGAAAGGCTCATAGAGTGCCTTGGAGTGGGCTACGCAGGAGTGTGTGTGTGTGTGTGTGTGTGTGTGTGTACATGCACATGTGTGTATCTGGGAGACAGCCCCACCAGAGCGGCTTCTTGCCCAAGGACATTTCTCCTGCAAAGCAAGCCTTTCAAAGAACAGAGACCAGAGCTCACCTAAGACATAACCTGGAGCCACATGGCACTCCCCAATAAGAAACAGGATGCTCAGCCTGGTTAGATGTGCTGGGACCATTAGCCTCACATCAGGGCCTCAGGCCAGCCAAATCAAAGGAAAACAAAAACACTGATATCCTACGTACCATGTAGCAAGCACTATTGTGCTTTAACCCACTCCAGCTCAGTTTGATTCTCATAACAGCCTATAATGTAGGTATGAGCCCATTTTACAGGCAAGGAGTTACATTACTTGCCCAAAGCTATACAGCTAGTAGAAAGCTGTGCTGGGATTTGAACCCAGGCGGGTGTGGCTTGAAGGTCCACAGTCTTAGCCTATATTGCCTTCCCAGACTGAGAAGCAAGGATGAATTAGGAATCATGATACATGGAGGTCAAGAAACCAGGCATCAGATCCTCTGCTCCACGGGGCCACCAGAGCCT
Source organism: Homo sapiens (assembly GCF_000001405.40). Lineage (NCBI taxonomy): Eukaryota > Metazoa > Chordata > Mammalia > Primates > Hominidae > Homo > Homo sapiens. The sequence continues at coordinate 41,781,405 of NC_000020.11, read as the reverse complement.
GGGGCAGAATCTTAAATTGCCAGAAGGAGGCCTACAGTGTGAAGGGAGTGATACCAGGTAATCAGAGAGAGGGCCTCAGGGAGGCCCCCCAACCCTCCCTTTTAGCCCATCCCTGGCTGCTGCCCTCATCAAGTCATGTCCACATCCTCCCATCTGCACTACTCTAGCCCTGGCTTAGCCAGACGTGCTTCCACTACACTCAGTGCAGGGCTGCTCAACTCCAAGAGTGCCATTCACATTATTGTTTATGTTCTGCTGGCAAACCCTGCTCAGAAGATGAGAGAAGAGCTATGATGCACAGGGGTGGAGGGGCGCCCCCAGGAGAGGCCCATGACCTTTGCATCAGAATCCATTTTACATATTATGTCACTGGGTAAAAGGCAGAGAAATCATGGGGCTTGATCCACACTCTCAAATTTTGTCTCAAAATAAACCCATTCATTCATGTATTCATTCAGCACATTTATCAAACACCAACTATGGGCCAAAATGCAATGGAGACCTAAAAAGCATAATTCTTGCCCTGATGCAGCTTGCCATCTATCAGGTGAGACTGACATCAGACAATCACATGAATAAATGCAGTAGAACTGCAGTGAAGGGCAAAGATGGAGAGTTACAGAGTAAAAGGAGAGCCTGGAGGAGGGAGCTTTGACATAGTGAAGTCAGGAAAGGCCTCTCTAAAGCAGCAGCACTAGCTGAAGGCCTAAGGAATGAAGGGGCCTAGGGAAGAGAGATCTTTCCAGGCAGAGGTTAAGTATGCTCAAAGGCTCTGTGGCCAGAAGAAGTGTATTTGTTGGCTACCACTGTGTAACAAATCATCCCCAAACGTAGTAGTTGAAAATCATAAGTATTGGTATTGCACACAGGTCTACAGGTCTACAGCTCAGTGGGGCTTGCTCGGGTGTCTTCTTCAGCTGTGGGTCATGTAGGTGGCTCTGTTGACCTTGGCTGGGCCCTCTGACAGGTATGAGGTCAGCTGGCTGTAAACTAGTCTAGAATAACCTGAATAACCTCAGCTGGCACAACTGGGCTCACCTCCTCATGATCTTTCAATCTCCAGCAGGCTAGCCCAGGATCCAACAGGCCAGGCAAGCGGCATGAGTCTCATGAGAACAGGTTAGATCTCATCTTTGTTTAAAATGTTGATGCTCTTTTCAACCTAGACTTATTGCACTGATTTTATTATTGTTTATTTCAATTTTACTTTAAGTTCTGGGATACATGTGCTGAACATGCAGGTTTGTTACATAGGTATACATGTGTCATGGTGCTCTGCTGCACCTATCAACCCATCAACTAGGTTTTAAGCCCCACATGCATTAGGTATTTGTCCTAATGCTCCACATCTCCTTGCTCCCCACCCCCCGACAGGCCCCAGTATGTGATATTCCCCTCCCTGTGTCCATGTGTTCCCATTGTTCAACTCCCACTTATGAGTGACAACATGCAATGTGGCACATATATACCATGGAACACTATGCAGCCATAAAAAAGAATGAATATATGTCCTTTGCAGGGACATGAATAAAGCTGGAAACAATCATCCTCAGCAAACTAACACAGGATTTATTTTAATATTCAAATATTCTCTCTTGATTACTGAGTTTTTGAATGCCCCCTTAAATTTCACTTTTGAAGCAAACTCACTCATCCCACTCTGGTCTCAGCCCTGAAACAGGGGCAGTGCCCAGTTTCTACAAGGAGGAAGGCAATTATCTCTATCCGAGTAGACCCGGAAGCTCTCCAGGGGAAGCAAAGCCTGAGGGCACTCCTGAGAAGTCAGTAGGAAATGAACAGAACAAGACAGGGCTCAGCATACCAGGCAAAGGGAACAGCACGTGCAAAGACTCAGAGATATGAAACAGCTGAGTCATAAAATGTGGGGTAAAAAGGAACTGAGGGGTTGATTTTGGAAAGGGAGGTAGAGGCCAACTACCCAGGGCCTCAAGTGCCAGACTGGACAGCTCAGACTCTACCCTCTGGGTGACTGGGAATTTGGAGGCTTTGAAGCAGGTAACAGACATCACCTGCAAATTCAATGTATTTAACAAACAGTGATTCCGTAACTACTGTGTGCCAGGTGGTGATCTAATCATTATGTGCCAGGTGGTCTGTGGCAACAACCCTATGAGGTAGATCTGGCAGATGAGGAAACTGAGGCACAGAGAGTGTGAGTGGCTTGCCCAAGTTCCCATAAGAAAGAAGTGGCAGAGCTAGGATTTAAACCCTGACAGTCTATCTCTGAGTTCCCATTCTTAACTACTACATTTGGCTACTTCCCTACCCAATCATATTTTAGAGAGAATGCTTGGCCAAAGTATTGATGAACTAGAAGTCAGAAATTTAGGGGTTTGGAAGTGTATGTAGGAATGCAGTAGGAGACTGGTTGAAGAGGTTGTTTTGAGTTGTGGAGGGAGATGTAGGTGGTCTGAACTAAGCAGGGACAAGAACTGTAGGTATGGAATGCATCAACCCCATAGACAAGGGAGAAGCCAAGGTGGTTGGTAGCTCAGAGAGGGAGGGAGGCTGGGAGCCAGCCTTAGGTGAATGGAGCTTGATAGGGTCAGGGGAGGATGGTTAGTACTGGAACAAAGATGACAGCAAAGGGGGTGGCAGAGTGCAAAGCAAAAGGATATTTTGCATAGAGTGAGAGATGCCAGGGAAATGAGGACATCATTGATGCTGCCTCCCTGTGACCATGGAAAGCATAGTACCGGGAATAAAGAGTGTGCCCAATGCGAGCAGGCAGTAAGAACTGCAGCACGTTGGGTAAGAGACACATTTGTGAAGAGCAGGAGTTGGATGGAACATCCTGCAGAGCCAAGGTTTGCATGCAGTGGAAAAGCAAGAGGAAGAGCCAGTGGTGGGGCATGAGGTTTCATAGGAAGATGGAGGGAAAATGCAACTGCCCATGATCCTCACACTCAACCAGACTGCCCACATGCTAACCCCATGCCAGGCAGGGCTGTAGGCACAGGGGACAAAAAGTAGAAGAGCCATTGAAGTGTTTCTAGCCAACACCACCCATTGCATAGATAGGGACTTTGGCTCACCTCTGTATGCCAAAAGATGCTTATTACAAAAACTTATAACTCTGCTCCAAAGGCTTTTATCTGGTTGCAGAAGAGTCAATGGTCTCAGAAATAGCCCTCAACCAATGATGGCCTGGGAGTTGGTAAGTAAATTTCCAGGTTCCTCACCCCTCGGGTAGGATAATTCTGAGGTGTGTATCCCCACAGTTCTTTAGCAGAATTCTGCCCTGGTTGCTCTGAGGGTAACCTGCTTGGTAACATACTTTATTACCTTCCTTCTTTTTTCTATCTTACTTTTCCTTTCTTACTGGGGCTTCCTCTTATTACCTCCCAAATAAACTACTTGCATTTCATTCCTTGTCTCTGCGTCTGCTTCTGGGGGATCTAACTAAGGCAGGGAAACTGGGACCCAGAGAGGGAAATAAATTGCCCTTAGTCACAGAGTTTCTCACTGCAGAGTGGTGCTCAAGCCCAAGTATCCCAACTCCAAATTCAGCAAAGGGCAGAAATTAAGAGCACAAAATGTAAAACCACAAAGATCTGATCTCACTCAGCTGCATAGATTATATTACTATTCTCTGATCTCTGCCTTTCCTCTAAGAGACTTAGATATCTCTCCCCAATTGTCATTCATTGCAGTACCTCCCAGTGTGAGGAGTAAACTTCCTCACCCCATTGAAAGAAGGCTTGGCCATATGACCACCTTTGATCAATGAAATGTGAGCAGAGGTGATATATGCCCATTCTGAGCAGAAGCTTTCACAGCCATGGCCAGTTCCACCAGTTTTCTTGCTCTTGTCTTCTTCTGCCATGAGAATAGTATGTCCCAGATAGAGGCTACTATTTCAGCCTGGATCCTGTAATAAAGTCAGGTAAAGGAGAGCAGCTGATCCATGAGTGGCATAAAATAGGAGCAAAACACTCTTGTGATTTTAAACCACTGAGACTGGTGGACTATTTGTTACCACAACCTAACAAAAGCTGACTAATGCATTCACCACATATTGGCTATATTGCCTAAAATAAATAACTAAACCTCTGTGAGCTATCACTTCATCCTCTATGAAAATAGGACTAATAATAATAGTATCCACTCAATGGAATGTTTGTGGGAGTTACACAAGATTTAGCACAGGGGTGCGGTGGCTCACGCCTGTAATCCCAGCACTTTGGGAGGCCAAGGTGGGCAGATCACCTGAGGTTAGGAGTTCAAGTCCAGCCTGGCCAACATGGCAAAACCCCATCTCTACTAAAAATACAATAATTAGCCGGGTGTGGTGGCAGGCGCCTGTAGTCCCAGCTACCCGGCTGGTGGAGCTTACAGTAAGCCAAGATCGTACCACTGCACTCCAGCCTGGGCGACAGAGCGAGACTCCATCTCAAAAAAAAAAAAAAAAAAAAAAAGACTTAGCACAGTGCCTGGCACAGAGTAAATGCCCAATACATGTTAATTGTTAAGGTTATTATGTTTTTCTCTGCGCTTCAAAGAGATTTCTTCAGAAAGCAAGTTCCACAGAGAAAATACTTGGCTCCTACAGGGTTCACCCCTGGCTGGTTTGTTAAAGGTACTTACATTCTCTTTCTCATGGCCCTGCTTGGAAGTGTTTTGCCCCCATCATGATGCCACAAGAAGCACCAAGCAGGCCTGAGTCCCAGCAGGCTTGCGTGCGGGAAACCCATAGTAGTTAATGAATCCCCATGGTGAGGTCCGGATTATCCCTGGTTTAATACCCCGAAATGGCAGGGAGTCATTTATCCATGAGCTATGGCCTCTCCCTGTTGCCTGTGCATTACGAGTTATTTATGAGGCAATTTGCACAGTTTCACACTGGCTGGCCATTATGCTGCTGTCTGCTAACCACTAGGAGGGTTGCTGAACCCAGAGAAAAAATGGTCCTCCCACTGCCTCGGCTTTGCCAGTGACAATGAGCCACTGATTCCTTCTAGTGCAGCATGTTTGCTCTTCAGGGAAGAGAACAGGGACAAAAGTCTGATGAAGAGAAATCCTGCCACATTTACAGGTAGCAACTCCAAATGCACCTGGGGGCTTGTTATGAAAGGCCGGACTCCAGAAAAAAATAAAAAAAAAAGAGAGACTACTGGGAAATCCACTGGTTGCAGTGAGAGGTTATTTTAACATGCACTCTGAAAGGAGAGTAGGCAGGCTGTCATGACAGGGACACCACCTTGGACTATTGTGATGAGAAAATGTCATAATCTGGTGATGTGTTTTGCACATGGCTTGACACAGAAAATTCTCAGTAAATGTTACCTGCTGTTATCATGATTATGACCTGCATCTCAGCTGGTTCCCACTATCTTGGGTGTCATGCTCTAATTCCCTGGTCAGTTTGCTACTACCAGTTCAGCCCATGGGTACAGAAGCTTTTGATTCCAGCTACATGGGCTTCATCAACTGCGCAGAGGATCCTCCTATAAACAAGCTAATATCCGAAAGACAACTCAAAAGTTTATATATTCATATTTGTCCAAATATACAATGCTGTCCACTGGTCACACTCTACATCACATAGCTCTTGGATAAAACCTTGGGTTGTTGTTTCTTGTCTATTTTTCCCCATAACATCGTCTAGGTCTGAATGTTCCCCCAGTCAGTTTCAGTACAATAAATAGACTAGTTACAAATAACAGCTAAAGTCTGTTGAGTGTTTGCCTTGTGCCAGGTACCCTGTAAGTGTCTTGCATGCCTTATCTCTTTTAATCTTCACAGCCACCTGGTAAAGTCTGGACTATCATATTTTCTATTCAACAGCTAAGACTAAAGGGCTTAAGTGACTTGCCCAAGGTCACATAACAAATAGGAAGGAACATCGGAGGTTTGAATCCAGGTAGTCTGATTTCAGAGCAGGAGTTTGTAGCAGTTCTTGAAGGGGTCCCACCCATGTCTCCTGGAGCCTCACCATTTCAGGGCATGCCAACCAACTTCCATCTCTGCGGTCTGCCAGCAAAGCCAACTGAAAATGCCATACCTCAACCCATGGCTGATGAAAGTGGGTGTCTAACTACCCCAGCTCTCTCACCCCTTGAGGGGGATAATTATGCAGTTCTGTTCTGGCTCTCAGAGTTCTCTAGTGGAATTAATCTTCTTTTGCCCAAGGTGGTCATCTACCTGAGAACACATCCTGCATAGACTTCCTTCCTGTATTAGTTCGTTCTCACGCTGCTTTAAAGAACTGCCCAAGACTGGGTAATTTATAAAGGAGAGAGATTTAATTGACTCAGAGTTCAGCATGGCTGGGGGCGGCCGGGGTGGGGGGCTCAGGACACTTACAATCTTGGTGAAAGGCGAAGGCGAAGCAAGGCACTTCTCCACAAGGCGGCAGGAAGGACAATGAACAGAGAAGGAACAACCAAGCACTTATAAAACCATCAGATCTAGTAAGAACGAACTCACTAGCACGGGAACAGCATCGGAGAAACCGGCCACATGATTCAATTACCTCCACCTGGTCTCACCCTTGACATGTGAGGATTATGGGGATTATAATTCATGATGATATTTGAGTGGGGACACAAAGCCTAACCATATCACTTCCCTTCCCTGTCTCACTTCCCAGTGTTTCCCACTGCATTTTCTGGAATCCAATCCCAAAAAGGAAACTTTCTTCGCTATCTCTGTTTCTGAGTCTGCATCCAGGGAAACACAAACTAACACAATGATTTTTCCTCAAATCAATTCAGTTTATTTTCCTTTTCCTGGAACCAAAATTCTTTATTCATTGAAGCTATTAAACTCCTGAGAAGTTTTCAGGATTCTATTCATTCCATGTGCAGTTGTCCACAAAGGTCAGGGGCAGCTGGTGAGAGAGGTGGCTTTGTCTGCCCTGTGCAGGTAGAGTGACAGTTCTACTTCTTTCTGCAGGACAAAAATAACCAGGGCCACAACTAGAAAAGGTTTCGAGCACACTATCTGTTTCGCTTGCGGCTCAAACACATTCAAATGGACCCAAACTACAAGTGATTCCCATAATTATGACTCCCAAGTGTTCACTTTTCTGAGGCAGATAATCTTTGTTTTACTGACAACAACAAGATGATGGGTTTGCTGACAATCCCAGTTGCTACATAATGTAGGGGAAGTTGAAGAGGATAGAATAGAATCTGATTAAATTGAAGGAGGAGAAGCTGAGAGAAAGCAATACTCACTACCTTCAGTGGAAACCAGCCCCAAAGACCACAAGTTTTCCCAGGAAGAGAAAAACCCTCCCCTTCAGCAGGAACACAGTGCCCTTCCTCTCTCATGCCTGTGCTGAATCCAGCCATCACAGGCAGCCAAGCCCTGGGGAAGTTGCTTCACTTCTCTGAGCCTCTATTTCCTTATCTGAGAAATGGGAATAATAAGTACCTACCTCATTCATTCAATGTCTTCTTATTGAATGTCTACCACGTACTGGACACTTATAGGAATTAAAAGAGATAATGTACGTGAAGGACCTGGCACATAATAAGCACTCGGTAACCTTTTTTTCAACTTTTATTTTAGGATCAGGGGTACACAACCAGGTTTGTTATATAGGTAAACTGTGTGTCATGAGGGTTTGGTATACAGATTATTTCAACTCAAATATTTAAAATCATTATTTATCACTGTTCATTTATTTCATCCTCAAAACAAAACTATTTTTGGGGGCTGCTCTTCTCTCCCTTTTAAAGATGAATTAACCAAGACTAAGAGAAGTCAAGTCTACTGATGCCTTGACTAGTGTTACACAGTCAAAATTTGTACCCAGAGCTTTGGATATAAAGACCAGGTATCTTTCCACCCCTCAGTGTCTTGGGCTCCCTGGACTCTAAAAGGAACACTCCCTGAGAGAATAGAGTGCAGAGCAGGGGTCAGCAAACATTTTCTGCAAAGGTCCTGACAGCAAATACTTTAGGCTTTGTGGGCCATAGGGTCTCTGTTGCAACTACTCAACTCTGCCAGGGTGGCCCAAATGTAGCCATAATCTAATCTAAACAGATGAGCATGGCTATGTTCTAATAAAACTTTAGTCATAAAAACAGGCAGTGGGCAAGATTTCACCTGTAGTTTGCCAATCTCTGGTATGGATTAAAAAAAAAAAAAAAAAAGCCTGAGCTTTGGAACTAGCCAATCCAGGATTCAAATTCCACCTCAGACAATACTAAATTTCATCCTCGGGCCATCTAAGCTTTCTAAGACTTGGTTTCCTCTCTAGTCAAACAGGAATCTTAATATTTATTTTGCAGGGCTTGTCAGGGGTTCAGGGGTAGGGGGCTGATGCTTAAGCCCCACCGTTCACTCCTCATCCCCTCCTGGATTTCTGCCAAGGAACAGACACCTAAGGGTCCACAGACAGAACAGAAACAGCCCCAGCTTCGAGCACACATGCAGTATTCAAATACAAACTTCTCTAGACAAAGGGCAACTGGAGGTCACAAACAAGTCCCCAGGTCTGAGTGAGCCCCCTACCCTCCTGCCCCAAAACCTAAATCTTGGGCTTTGCATGCTCACCTATGGAAAGAAATCTATGTGACCAGGTCTTCCAAGCAAACACTGAGTCCACAGACCCTACCAGTCATGTAGCAAGAATAGCCAGTCTCCACTTCCCAGGGGCAGGCAGAACAGAGACACTGCTCACTGGCATGCAGAGGTCTTGCTTACTAGCAAGAGGTGGCCCAGTGAACATTAAGCTCTAAGCAGTAGGGTTAGCGACCAGTGAGGGGGCTGCAGAGGAGCCTGGAAGCCCCTTCTGGGCCAAGGGGGCAGTGTGGGGCAGGAGGGAAGCAGTCTTGCCCCAGGGGGTTGTTGTGAGGACCACCATGGAACCTGGCACAGAGTAGGTTGAGTCTTGAGGTGAGTCCTCTGGAAGCAGAACCTGGGATAGGGATTCAGATGCAGGTGTTGTATCAAGGTAAAGTTGTCAGAAGAAATCCGTAAGGGAGGGAAGGAAGTAGAAGAGGGAAGGAAGAGTCCAGTAAGAATGGGGTTTGGGGTAAAATCTAGCCTTGGCCTGATCCATTGGGAGCTCTGGAGCATAAATCACACCACAGTGTTGATCTGCCTTAAGGCAAGGAGCTGACATTCTGTGCACCTGTATCAGTCACTGACACACCAAGGAGATGGGGGACCAACTTCCCAGGTACTGCCAGATGATATACCTTCAGTCATTCAGGGCCAATTCTTAGGTAAGTTCTTAGGTAGAAACCATTAGCTACAGCACTCCCAGTAGCTGAGGGATGATGGGCACACCTCCCAATAAAGGGGCTCTGAGCAGGCCACCAATAGCAGTAACCCCAAAAGGCATGATTGACTTTCTCATTAGCACCACTGTTCCCAGTAACAGAGCCTCCCAGGTGTGGTGAGCATTCCTGGGGCTTTAGACCTATACTCCTGAGGGTCTGCTTCATATATTGGGGTCTTTCCCAGATCAATCACCATTTAAAGGGGGCAAAACATCCTTCAGCATCCCAAAACAGATAACACTGCTAATCCCCTTAACATCCCCCTCTCCTATTGCAGAGGAACTCCTCTACTTCTGCCCAAAGAACTGATGGTCTCTTCCATGCCCCCATCCTCTGAAAAATCTGGTCTCCAAGATGGTTTTGTTCATTTATCTCCACTCAAACCTCTGATCCTCCCTGAGTATACGCCATTCACCCTGCTTCCCTTTCTTCAGCCTCCTCCTATCATAAAAACCACTTTCTTTCTTCTCTTCCATAACTAAAGTCTCATTTTATTCCAGCCCAAAGGGGAGACACCAGGGACCTTTTACAGATAAGGGTGCTCACAGAATGGGTGCTCTCTTCTCTTCCTCCCTATCTTCCTGCAATAAGGTTCTCCAAGGAATGTCAATGAAATGACCTCTGCCATAAACGGAAGAGATTTCTCAGCTATGGTCTTATCTTCACCCACGCATCACTGGCTGTCAGTCTGATGAGAATTTGAAGAATAAAGAGCAAAATCTGAGAATTCACAGATGGAAACTCACCTCATCCCACCCTTACCCAAACCCTCATGCCCCCATCAAGAGGATCTAGTGGACTCTGTTTCATCAGTCTGAGGACGTGTTGTCAGATTTGCCAGGAGGTAGAGAGGATATGTTTTGCAACCAGGGGAAGCAAAGAAACAAACAAGAAAACAAAGAAATCTTGCCTTGTATCTGAGAAATAAGAGTATTTATGCACATACTAAATGAAATCAGCTCAGTCACCATATGCACAGAGTGAAAGGGGCTGGTGTTCTAGACACTGACACTAAACAAAAGCTGCTTTCAAAACAATGCAGTCCGGGCATAGTGGCTCATCCCTGTAATCCCAGCACTTTGGGAGGCTGAGGCAGGTGGATCATGTGAGGTCAGGAGTCCAAGACCAGCCTGGCCAACATGGTGACACCCCATTTCTACCAAAACTACAAAAATTAGCCAGGCATGGTGGTACATGCCTATAATCTCAGCTACTTGGGAGGTTGAGGCATGAGAATCGCTTGAGCCCGGGAGGCAGAGGTTGCAGTGAGCCAAGATCAAGCCACTGAACTCCAACCTGGACAAAAGAGGGAGATTCTGTCTCAAAAAAATAAAAATAATACACGCACACAATGCATTTTGCAGGTTCCTGACAAAACCAAATAGTCATTTCTGGTGGTTTTATATTCAGATTAACTCTACAAATATTCAGCGAGCACCTGCTGTATGCCCAGCATTGTGCAATAGTCTAAAATACAAAGGTGGATGAGAAGGAGGTCACAGACTGCAGAGGGAAATCAGTGCATAAAAAAGCAAACAGACTACAACACAGCTCATGCTGTTGTCAGGGCAGGAAGACAGGTAGAAGGGAGTTGCTGCCTTGGCCTGAGGAGTTCCTCTCCTCAGGGGCTGCCCACGGGAGAGCTGGGTCTATAAAGAGAAGGAGTTCACAGGAAGAGAACACTTCTCCAACAGCATGGAGGCAGGAAAGAGCATGGTTTAGAAGCAAGTATTTGATGGAGATGAAATATCACCAGTGTGGGAAGAGGGGAAGGAGGTTATTTTCATCATCCTTATATTTGTAAATGCCTTATATGAGCAGGGCTTTCATCTGTCTTGCACTTCACTGTATCTCCAGCACTTAGAGCAGGGCCTACAGAATGTGCTTAATAAATATTTATTTTTGAAAGCGAACAGATGAATACATCAATGAATACGACATTTGCAACCTGGGTTTGTGAAGCACTTCAAACTAGTACACCCCTTTTATACGATGGCTTTATTAGTTAGAATAACACTAGCTATTATAACAAATAAACCCAGTATTTGCAATATCTTCACATAATAGAAATTTACCTCTCATTCACTTAAAAGTCCAATGCAAGTATCCATGGCTGGCCGTTGGCTTTCCTCCGCATGTTGATTTAAGGACCCGGGGTGCTTCCTGTGGCTCTACCATCCCCCGAGGGCCTCAGTGTCCTTTGTTTCTAGCCAGCAGAAGCAGAAAGAAAGCATAGGAAGCCTCACCAGCTTCTTAAAAGCCTCAGCTCACAAAGGATGCATCGCTGCCATTCACATCCCACTGGGGAGAACTGGTCAAGTGGCCTCACTTAAATGGAAGTGCAGGTGGAATGTGGAATTTCTGGCTAGACAGGCACCCCTCAGTGAAAACACCAACACCATACCATAGAAAGGAGAGTTTGTGGTGGACATAGCACTGTCTCAGCCACAACAGCCCTGGGCTCAGACAGGTTAAACCATGTATCCAAGAACATGCCACTCACAAGTGATGTAATCGTCCCTTCAGTTTAAGAAGTGGCCAAGTCCTTTCCTTCCTTCCCCTGCCTCCCTTATGCTAATTTTCCAAGCACTGAAGTCAGAAGGTGACATTTCCTGACCTTGTTCAAGATTCTGAAGAACTTTCCTATCAGAATCCTACAGCCTTATAAAAGAGATTTGTTTATTCTGCTCTTGGGGGAAACGCAAGCCAAGTTTTTAAACTAAAGGACCAAGAGAAAAATGTGCAAGAATTTTCCTAGGAATAGAGAGAGGGCGCCAATCAGAGCAGAAGACACAATGCCAGAAGAAAAGGGGGTTTGGGGAAAGCAACACAACCCAGGAGGGTCTGACAAGTTTGCTTCCATCCACAGCAACCCCCCAGT